>NC_000001.11:64705350-65008380 GCF_000001405.40 Homo sapiens | reverse complement strand
TCAAACTATTTCTCCAATTTAATCTCTTAGTACTTTTGCATAAATTCCATATGTATCAAGCTGCAAATTGCCCTACTCAATGTTACTAGGACACACCATACACATTTCTGCCTTCAGGCTTTTGCCCGGGCTTTTCTCCTTGCTTTCCTGCTCCCCTGGGCTTTTCTCTCCTACACTTCCGTACTGGGTGATCATTGGGTGGTCTGTCCATCCCATACGGGTGGCTTCCTGGATTTCTACCCTAATCCCAATTGGTTGGATCAGGGGTTGTCACCAAACTCAAGCTGTGCTAATCACAATCTAAATTCCCTGGGAACTTAGAAATAAGAAATAAGAGGCCAGGCATGGTGGCTTACACCTGTAATCCCAACACTTTGGGAGGCCAAGGCAGGCGGATCACCTGAGGTCAGGAGTTCGAGACCAGCCTGTACAACATGGTAAAACCTGTCTCTACTAAAAATACAAAAATTAGCTGAGTGTGGTGGTGTGCACCTGTAGCCCCACTTACTCAGGAGGCTGAGGCAGGAGAATCACTTGAACCCAGGAGGTGGAGGTTGCAGTGAGCCAAGATCATGCTGTTGCACTTCAGCCTGGACGACAGAGCAAAACGCTGTATCAGAAAGAAAAAAAAAAAACATACCTATAATCCCAGCACTTTAGGAGGCCGAGGTGGGCGGATCACCTGAGGTCAGGAGTTCGAGACTAGCCTGACCAACATGGAGAAACCCTGTCTCTACTAAAAATACAGAAAAATTAGCTGGGCGTGGTGGCATGCGCCTGTAGTCCCAGCTACTTGGGAGGCTGAGGCAAGAGAATTGCTTGAACATGGGAGGTGGAGGTTGCGGTGAGCTGAGATTGCACCATTGCACTCCAGCCTGGGCAACAAGAGCATGAAACTCCATCTCAAAAAACAAAACAAAACAAAACAAAAAACAACAAAGAAAGAAATAAGAGTAGGGGTCAGCCTCTCTCCAGGTGACCAGACTCGGGTCACCACAGGAGTGATGTGGTGGTTATCTGATCCATGGGATCCAGACACACAGCCAAAGTTGCCTGACAAAGAACAAGAATAAGACAGACCTACAGAGAGAAGACAAGAGACCAAGTCTGGATATTTCTCCAGTATGGCACCCGGATCTTCTTCCTTTCGGGAACCCACCTACAGGCCTGCCTTGGGTTCTGTCAGATACTGGGCTTCCTGAAGCTGTCTTTGTCCTATTTACATTCATAAAAGTGAGTCTGATTGTGTCTTCCTTTAAGCGCTTATCCAGTTACTTTTGATCTGTGAAGGCTTCCTTGACCACCCAAGCCCCAAGCTAAACTTGTTTGCTTGGCTATTAGGTCCACTCAGTTGGAACTTAAACTACTCATTTTCATCACTTTGTTTCAAAATCATGATTATCTGACATTACTGGGCAAACAGGAACTGTAGATAAGATAAGGATTAACATTTTTTTCCTTTTAAAAATGTTAATCATCTTAGATGGAACTTTTTAAGGCAGATGACAAAACTTACTTAGCTTATTAAATTGAGTGCATTACTATTTAATAATGTCTGGATGAATCAACGTAAATATTATGAAGATAAAATATTTTATATACAAGGCGTAATTCAGTGAATCTACAGGTTCAGCTAATATGGTAAGTACCTGCTACTGAAACAACAAAATAAGACCCCTGTTTGAGAAAGGGAAATATGAAATCAGATATATGAGTTCCCCTTTAAGAATGGAAACTGGGTTGGGTGTGGTGGTTTATACCTGTAATCCCAGTGCTTTGGGAGGCCAAGACAGGAGGATTATTTGAGGCCAGGTGTTCAACACAGCAAGACCCCATCTCTACAAAAAATAAACGAATTAGCCATGCATTGTGGCAAGCACCTGTAGTCCTACCTACTCAGGAGGCTGAGGCAGGACGATCCCTTGAACCCAGGAGCTCAAGGTTACAGTAAGCTATGAGAGTACCACTGCACTCCAGCCTGGGCAAAAGAGTAAGACCACATCTTTAAAAAATAAAAAAGAAGAAACAATAGAAGCCGTTTTAATTAAAGAAAAGCCATGAAGCAAATCACCTAGACCTAAAGATATTTTCAAATTCAGATACTGTCTGGTAAAATATTTCAGTCTGTGTGGATGGGAAAGCTAAGTTTATGACATAGTGAACTATTCAAAAAACCTTAAGAGATTCATCAATTAGTTTACCAAATACAATTTGAGTTTACCAAACTCAACTCTCCATTATAAGGAACAGATACTTCTATATTATTTCTTCACACTTATGTGAAGAGATAAAATCTCTCTTGCTTAGAAAGCCCATATTTATTGTTTACTTCTATATTAGTGTAGACATCAAGGTTAGTGAAACATTTAATTGTGAGATGTCCTAAAATGGGTGTGACTGGTGTCTGAGCATGAGAGTTCACAAATTATATTTATCTTAATTATTATGACTTTTAAAATTTTAATATCTGGAATGGCAACTTATTCTTCTGCAAGATCATCTTATTATAACTTATTCTTCTGCAAGACCATCTTGGCTAATTTTGGCCCTTTGCACTTCCATATACATTTTATAATTAAGTTGTCAAGTTCCATCAAAAAGTCTGCTGGGATTTTAATTGGAATTGCAATCAAATCTATAGGTCAATTGGAGATAACTCACATATTTTTAAAGAATTAATTGATTTTCCCTCTTATTTCTAGTTGACATAGTACATATTTATTGGATACAATGATATTTCAGTACATGTGTACAATGTGCAATGATCAAATCTGGGTAATTAGCATATCCATCACCTTGAAAGTATATCATTTATTTGTGTTGTGAACATTCAAAATTCTCTCTTCTAGCTTCTTGGAAAAAAATACATTAAATTATTGTTACCCGTATGCACCCTATAGTGCTATAGAACACTAGAACTTATTCCTTTCATCCAGCTGTAAATTTGTATTTGTTATGTAACCTCTCATCATCTTCCCCTCCCACTACCCTTCCCAGCCTCTAATAACCACAGAAAATTCACTTTTTTTTTTTTTTGAGATGGCGTTTTGCTCTTGTTGCCCAAGCTAGAGAGCAATGGCGTGATCTCGGCTTACTGCAACCTCCACCTCCTGGGTTCAAGTGATTCTTCTGCCTCAGCCTCCCCAGTAGCTGGGATTACAGGTGCGTGCCACCATGCCCTGCTAATTTTTGTATTTTTAGTAGAGATGGGGCTTCATCATGTTGGCCAGGCTGGTCTTACAGTTTTCGTTTGATAAAATGCTTTTTGTTTGTTTGTTTGTTTCTTGAGTTCAGATTCAGTAGCCTGGTATAATGACAAACTAGAAATCACAGTATGGGAAAAATATAGGAGATGATGCTTTGATTTCAGGAATATTGTGGATTATCAAACTAAAATTAGCAGATTCTATTTAGCCTCTTAGAATTTCAAAAATTTTTAGACATTAGTATACATCCCCACCTTCACGATATCAGAAATAAAGGGTAGTGAAGATAGCAGAGTGAAATATGAGAATTGTCTCCATTTCAGAAGGTATTTGGCTGAAATGAGACATTTCACAATTTGGTCTTCTGGTCTGCTCATCACTGGAAGTCCCAGCTTCTTCCTGGATAAGAAGTTGTACTTGGATTATATTATTATAACCACATTGTAATTATTATTGTGGAAACACCACAGACAACACGTAAAAGAATTTTTAGTCATAATCCCTACTTATAGTCTTGATTCCTTTGATCTTCACATCTACTTGTTTTGCAATTTTGGTTCCTAAATCAGACATTTGGTATAGTTGGTCAGCCTAGAAACGTCAAAGACAAAAGCTGTCTAGCTATTTGCAAGATTGTCATTGAAGTCCCTTGTGTTTGCACAGATTGCATCTGTCTATTCTGAAAGATGAGCAACAAATCCAGTCAAAGCCTGAGTGAAATAACTGACAATCTTAGATCAACCCTGATGGTCACTCACGAGTCCAGCAGTTTCTATGCAGAGCACCAAACACCTTACTTACAAAAGTAAGGTTAGTGGGAGCTTGGTATTTTCCATATCATCTTGGAGAAGCACTGTTTTGCTTATTCTGTTTTTCCTCCTCCTCCTCTTCCTCCTTTTCTTCACATATTTTGTGTGAATAAGAAAGTACTATTGGCTAGGCAGGTTGGCTTATTCCTGTAATCCCAGCACTTTGGGAGGCTGAGGCGGGTGGATCACCTGAGGTCAGGAATTTGAAACCAGCCTGGCCAACATGGTGAAACCCCGTCTCTACTAAAATACAAAAATTAGCCAGGCATGGTGGTGCACACTTGTAATCCCAGCTACTCGGGAGGCTGAGGCAGGAGAGTCAGTTGATCCCAGGAGGCAGAGGTTGCCATGAGCTGAGATCGCGCCGCTGCACTCCAGCCTGGGCGACAGAGCGAGAATACGTCTCAAAAAACAAAACAAAACAAAAAAGTGTTATTTATAGGAATAAGAACTAAAATGCCTTGTTAATATATTGTTTTGGCATTGCCAAATTTAGCCTATTTGAGTGCATGGATTGCATTTGGGGATTGCTGTTTTCTTTTTTGTTTTGTATGTTTGCTTTAGATGCGTAGACAGAGGGAGTGGAGTAAGGCTTTACAGAGATTACTACAGAAGGCATTTTTTTTTTTCATAAAGAGGGGAAAACGCACCCATCTCATAACAAGAATTTGGAGTCAAAACGAGACAGATTCCATTCCTGCCTTCCACATTAATTAGCTAGGTGACTTTGGGCAAATCACTTAACCTCTAGGTTTTCTCATCAGCAGAATGAAAGCGTTGGCCTATAGACACCCATTTAAATCCCTCCTCCAAATACTCATTCGTTCGATATTTTCTCAGTGTCTACTAAGCACAATCATTGTTAATAAACACTATGATTCTTGGAGAGCTCCAAATCGTGTCTCTGCTTTTAAGCATCATTCCCCTTCCTCCTTTAAAACCAGCGCCTGACTTCTCCCCCAAACAAATCGAAACACTTTTACCGTCTGAAAATGTACATGGGAAAAGAAACGCGTTTCATTGCAGTCACCCGGCGCCAACCTAGACCTGGCGGGCCAGCGAGCTCGTGAGATTTTCTTTCTTTCTAAAGGACAATCTCCACATTTTAAAGGGCAACCCAGTTACCCGAAGAAATACAACTTAAAGGGCGCCTGGAGCCAGGCCGGGACACCCACCCACGCTTTTCTAGGCTGAGGAAACCTGGGAAACTTTTGGGCTCCCGCCGAGTCACGCGGCTGTTCCACGGTAAGAATTGTGCAATGGGGCGAGTCAGGCGGGCGTCCTAGTAGGGAAGAAGCGGGGGAGGCTGCTGCGGTGCCAATGCTTTTCTTAAAAAAAAAAAAAAAAAAAAAGCTAGGTTGTCTCACGCCGTGCGAGGCGCGACGGCGCGGCCGGACAGCCCGGTTCCCGCTGGCCCCAAGCCCGGGCCAAGAAAGCATCGCTTCCCCGCCGGGACCTGGAAGGAGCAGCGCGTGCGTGCGTCCCCTCCCGGGGGCAGAGACTGCCCGCCCGCCACAGCGCTTTCCTGGGACTCTGCGAGGGGCCGGGGTGCGAGCGGGAACTGCGGCAGGCGCAGACTGGCCACATCGATCGTGGCGGGGAAGTCCGGGCTCGCGCTTTCGGTAAGAGCGCCCGGGCTTCCAACTGCGCGGTGCCCCCGCCTCCGCCGCCGCCGGCCAGGCTCGCACTTTCGGATGGTGACGCATCCAGCTGGCTCCGCGGAAGCCTGCGCTGAAACCTGGAGCCCTCCGGGGTGGCCTACTCCTCAGCGCTGCGTTACTGAGCGCTCCCTGGGTGCAGGCTTGGTGATCCAAGTTTGGTCACAGTCATCACTTATGTCACTATCCTTGTGATGTACATACTATAATTAGCGTCACTTAGAAGTGAGGAAACAGGCTCCAAAAGCTTGTTACTTGCTTGTAGTCAAACAGAAGGCAGAGCTGCGAATCAAATCCAGGTTTGTCTCGACATGCCACTAGCTCATACTTCCCTTGGATCAGCCACTAAATGGCTTTCACTCCAGTGAGCAGCGACCAGGTAACACATAGGACGGGTGCGTGGCGGTACCGAGCCCACTGCCCAGGGGCAGCGGGGGCGCTTGCTTCTGGCTGGGGCTCACTCATTTGCCCAAATGGGCTGTAAAATATATACATACACACCCATATATGTGCATATATACACATACGTATATACACACAAACATACGTATATACGTGTGTGTGTTTGTGTATACATACATATTGGACAGCATACCGCAGACTCTGAGCCTCAGTTTTCAATCTTGTATTGGGATCAGGGCACCTATTGTAAGGAGTAGTTGGAAGATGAAATAAGATAGTTTTAACATAGATGCCAGCATCTCGGGGACGCCTGATATATGCCATTTTGCTCTTTTTGCAGCACTCCTGGGGACATCAGGGCACTCACGCTCCTTAACACTGGACAGGAGACCTGCGCAGTCATTCTAGGTCAACACCCTCTCTGACAGACTAGGAATTTAATCCACTCAACGGGAAAATCACTTACCTGCATCACCATCTAGTTACTGACAGACACCAAGCTAGGGTTCCTGCTACCCCTCAAACACACATACCACACACTCACACTCAAACACTTGCTGCCCCTCAAACACACATACCACACGCACACACACTTGCTGCCTTTCAGGCACACATACCCCCCCCCCCACACACACACTTTCTACCTCTCAAACACACATACAACACACACATTTGCTGCCTCTCAAACACACATATCACGCACACAAACACACTTGCTACCTCTTAGACATACAACACACACACTACCACACACACACGCACACATGCACCCCCTCTTTTCCTCCTGGAAGATTCAGACCAGCTCTGGGGCCTGAACGTGACTTCCTCCGAGCGTTGGCAGTGGCGTGGGTGGGGACCTCCGGGAAGGCGAGCAGAGGAAATCAGTCACTGCACTCGCCGCCAGCCAGCGCACAGGGAGAGGGGGACCCAGCCCAGAGGTCCCGCCCCCAGCTCCGCAGGAGGCCTCTGCTGGCGGAGGCTGGGCCCCTTTTGGTAACAAGGGGAATCACTGCAGCCCAGTGAAAGATAAACGCGTGGGTCGGGCTGTGGAATGTCCAAAATTATGAAGATTAAGGAAACAGGCTTTAGGATTCACTTGAAAAGTGAAATCGGCGAATGAAAGTTTTCTAACATGATGAGATCTTGGAAATTGTCCACTCCATTTTTGGGAGGGGTTTAATAATCACTGCCCAACTAGAGCAGCTGTTTTTCCCCTTCCAACGCCCCATTTTGTGAATTGATGCTGAAATAACTGGCCAGGTCTTTCCTTTGGGCACCCTGGAATGTTGGGAATATGAATGGCCTCTTAGTAGAGTTGGAGCTCCAAAGGAAAGGACCCTTTAGAAACAAAAACTTCCATGGCGCCACCGCACTCCAGCCTGGGCCACAGAGTGAGACCCCATCTCAAAAACAAAACAAAACAAAAATCCAACCGCCCCCCCACCAAAAAAAAAACCCTCCTTTTTAAAAATCACAAAAATAATTATTATTCATTGCAGAAAAATCAGATTTTTTCCAGAATCAGAAAATAAATGGAAATCCCACCACCCAGAAAACCACTGTTAACAATCTGATGTATAGCATTATATGTAATCACATCGAACACAATGCTTTGTCACCTTTTTCCTTTGAATCAAATATCATGGAAAAATATTTTCCATACGTGTTTTTAAATCACTACTTCGTATTCCATTGTACATTTATTTAACCAAAGCCCTATTGAATAACTTAAAAATTGTGTCCGGAAGTATTGCTATTTAAACAGGACTGGAGTGTGCAGCTTTGTAGTTATTTTTTTTTTTTTTAAGAGATGGGGTCTCTCTCACCCAAGCTGTAGTGCAGTGGCACAATCATGGCTCACTGCAGCCTTGACCTCCTGGACTCAGGTGATCCTCCCACCTCAGCCTCCCAAGTATCTGGGATTACAGGCAGGACTCATCTTGCCAGGCTGTAACTATACCTGAACACATTCTCAATTATTTGCATGGGTAGATTTTCTGGAAGTGGTATTGCTGGGTTCAGGAATAAGGATTGCCCTACAATGATCTTTTAAGACTTACGATGGCCAAGGCGGGCGGATCATGAGGTCAGAAGATCAAGACCATCCTGCCCAACATGGTAAAACCCGTCTCTACTAAAAATACAAAATTAGCTGGGCATGGTGACACATGCCTGTAATCCCAGCTACTCGGGAGGCTGAGGGAGGAGAATCGCTTGAACCAGGGAGTCAGAGGTTGCAGTGACCCAAGATCGTGCCACTGCACTCCAGCCTGTTGACAGAGTGAGACTCCATCTTAAAAAAAAAAAAAAAACTTATGATTCTCTCCCCCAACCCCCAGTATTTTCCCAGACTTTCTATAATGTTTATTTACCAAAAATTGCTTGAGTGCCCATCACATGCCAGACATGCCAGAATATAGAGATGGATACATTATAGCACAGACCTGAAAAAAATACACTGTAGTTCAAGGTGCCGTAGATACTGTTAGAGAAAGCTTTGGGCAGCCAGGTGCCCACCCAGTTTGGGGAGGATCCTGAAGAACCAGTAGACTTTTTTTTTTTTTTTTTTTAAAGAGAGGGTCTCACTCTGTTGCCCAGGCTGGAGTGCAATGGTGTGATCATGGCTCACTGCAGCCTTGACCTCCCTGGCTTAAGTGATCCTCCTGCTTCAGCCTCCCAAGAAGCTGGGACCACAGGCATGTGCCACCACACCCAGTTAATTTTTTCTATTGTAGAGATGGAGTCTCCCTATGTTGCCCAGGCTGGTCTCGAGCTCCTGGGCTCAAGCCATCCTCCCACTTTGGCCTCCTAAAGTGCTAGGATTACAGCCATGAGCCTTTGCACCCAGCCTGACTTTCTTGAGACCAACAGATTGAGAAGTGAGAGGAAGTTAATGGGGAGTACTGAGGAAGGATGAGAAAGGCAAAGAGAGAGCCAAGGGGAATGTCCTATACAGAAACAAGGTGCCCAGGTATGTGTTCAAATAAATGAACACATGTGAGTTATCTTATGTGCTTGCACTGAGAGTAGAGCTGAGAAGGAGGGCAGTGACATATGGCAAAGAAACAGCCTATTATGTCATGCTGAGAAGGTTTGGACTTTGTTCACATAGCAACAGGAGAAAGTGATTTATAGAGCCTTCAAGGTCATGATGAAATTAGATCTCATCACTTAACCCAGTGAAGGGCACTGTCTTCTGTGGACCCCAAAAATCATTCCTGAGGAGAGAAAACAAAAGATAGGAAGATTTACAAGGGAAATATCCCAAATGAGTATTGAAATGAAAACTGCAGAAAAATGAATCAAATTTACTACCATGTTCATCATACTTAAGTGCTGTAGTTATTGTTAGTTAAGTTTGGTCCTAAACATCTGTATTAGTCCATTTTCACGTGGCTGATAAAGACATACCTGAAACTGGGCAATTTACAAAAGGAAGAAGTTTTAGTTGGTCTCAAAGTTCCACATGGCTGGGGAGGCCTCACAATCATGGTGGAAGGCAAGGAGGAACAAGTCACATCTTACATGGACGGCAGCAGGCAAAGAGAGAGCTTGTGCAGGGAAACTCCCATTTTTAAAACCATCAGATCTCCTGAGACTTATTCACTATCACAAGAATAGCATGGAAAAGACCCGCCCCCATGATTTAATTATCACTGGGTTCCTCCCATGACACATGGGAATTCAAGATGAGATTTGGGTGGGGACACAGCCAAACCATATCAACATCCTCTTCTCTTTTTCCACTTAAAAGAGAATGGCTTTAATACTAATCTTACGGCCAGAGATTACTTCAGTTTCCTGTTGTAATAGGAAAACAAATCCAAGACTTTCAATGAGTCTAAAAACATGTTACATAGATTTTAGTATGTGAAAGCCTTTTGTAAACTATAAAGTAGTACTCAATGAAAGACATTTTTCTGGACGGTAGCTTAAGAAAAACTTGTACAAAGGGTTAAAAACTCAAATGCCTGCTGTGACCATGTAAGTATGGTAATTACTTTCAACAATGCTTGGAAATTCCCAGCTGTTGTCTCTTTTACTATTTCCTCTCCCTCATTTTCTCTATCTCTTTGGAGAATTGTGATTACATGTGTATTAGACATTCTAATATATAATCCAAGTCTTGTAATCTCTCTTTCATATTTTGCATCTCTTCATACTCTTTGGACTGCATTTAGGACAGTTTTTTAGGATCTGACTTCCAGTTCATGAGTTTTTTCTCCAGCTGTATCCAATCTTCTTTTTAACTTGTTTGACTTTTTAATTTCTATCTTTTTGTTCTATTTCTAGAAGTTCTATTTCAGATCTGTTTGGAAAAGTTTGTATAGTCATTTGTTTCTTCACCATATTTACAGGCTTTTATTTCTTGAAACAAAAGTTTTAAAGATAAGATGAGAGGCTGTCTCGTCTTGTGGCTCTGGGCTTCCATCAGCAGGAAACAAGAGGGATCCCTGGGGTAACCTGTGCCTTGGAGAAGAACATTCCTTCTCTATCCTTCACATAAGCATTGTCAAGAATGAAGAGGGAGGCCCAGGACTCTGTATGTTCTGGAGAAGAGACTCCTCCCCACAACAGTCCCCGACAGCCCCACACTCCCACACTCATACCACCATTCTCTGCAACCATTATAAACCCATTATGCCGTTGTCCTTGTTTATGTCAGTCACACAAAAAGTCCAGGACCCCTAGGTTATCTCTCATACCCAAAGCTAATCCCAGCGTGGCTCTAAGGACAGTGAAATATCCTATATTATAATACTCTGTATCTCTCTTCTAGATTTTTTTTAACCACCTACCATCCTACATCTTTTATTAAGTAATTTGTCACCCCTTCTTAAAATGTAAACTTCTTTAAAGCAAGGGTGTTTATTTTGTTAGCCACTTTATCCTTAAGGCTTAGAACAATACCTGGCAAATAGAAGGTATTCAAATAATATTTGTCATGTGAGTTAATATTAAACATTCTTATTTTATATTCTATGTCTTGTCATTCTACATTTGAAGACTGCATGTATGATTTTTACCATCTCCTCCTTCTAGTTTTTACCCATTGTGCCGTTTACTTTTATGTTTTGTGGATTTTGACTCTGGGTTTATATTCCTTGGATTTTATCCGTAGAAATTACTTGAGGCATAGATTGACGTTACCTTCATTCAGAGATTATTTGTGTTTACTTTTACTAGTTGCCTGGGGTTAACTACTTACTCAGGACCAAATTAATCTCTCTCCTTGATTTTTTGTTTGTTTTTGTTTTTAACTATGTAAGTGGGTGACTTGACCTGCAAACCCATGTGTATGACAGTATCAACTGTGGATATAAATTATTGAAAGAGGAAATATACATATTTCCTCTACCAAATGCCAAGGTACAGATGGGCAAGTTTCCTTGCTCCTTTCTGTGCAGCAGGTTTCTTTCCTGTTCATCATTGCACTGGAAGTGCAGCCCCTTTGGGGTTTGCAGCTTTGTTAGATTTTCCTGTCTTAGGCGAGCTTCAGCTTGAGCTGATGTCTAAAAATCCGGTGTTCTTCAGATTTCTCAAGTGTAGCCTGATTTTTATGTGAATTCAGCAATTTTTAAGTGTTGGCAAACAGTTTAAAAAATGTTTTAATGTGCTGGGAAAAAATCACCGCAGGTCATATTTGATCTGTATAAGTTTACAATCTCTCTTCTAAACAGACTAAGCAATTAACCCACCAATCAACCCATGTGTATTGTATTTATATGATGCAGAATGCATTTTGTTAGAATGTATCTGTTAGATACAATAACCACAAATGTGGAAGGAAAAGTCCAATTTTAGATTTGTTTCTTTTTCTCTACAAATGTAATTATCAGATTATGTGTCTACATTTTTAATTCGGGAAATATCACTGTATCTATAATATGGGGAAATATAGGACATAGTTTCTGCTCTCAAAAATTTTACATTCTATGCATTACAGAATGTGCACACTGGATTGAAGTGTCAAGAGATTTAAAGAAGAGCAACTAGAAAGTCATTGGCTCAGTCTGAGTCTGCTTTAAAGGAGCCTTAACTAGGGTGGGCATGATGGCACTAGAAGGAAAAGGGCAGATATCAAGTATTTAAAAGATGATGTGATAGGAGTTGATAATGCATGTGGGGTAAGAATAAGGGAGAAATTATATTTTGTGCTTATGTGGTTGGGAAAATTTTAACCAAGCATTATGTTTTGTGACTGTCTAAAGAGTATCTTCAATGATTATTTTGAAGGAAAGAAAAAAAAAGAGCCCAATGTCAGCCAGGCGCAGTGGCTCAGGCCTATAATCCCAGCACTTTCAATGGCCGAAATGGGTGGGTGGATTGCCTGAGCCAAGGAGTTCAAGGCCAGCCTAGACAATATGGCAAAACCTCATCTCCACAAAAAATATAAAAATTAGCTGGGTGGGGTGGCGCACAGCTGTAGTCCCGGCTACTCAGGAGGCTGAGGTGGGAGGATCACCTGAGAGTAGGGAGGTTGAGGCTGCAGTGAGCCATGATCATGCCACTGCACTCCAGCCTGAGTGACAGAGAGAGACCCCTGTTTCAAAAACAAAACAAAACAAAAGGCCAATATCATTTTTCTTTTGGTTTCTTCATTTCTTATAAACTGAAGGCAATGTGAATGATTTTGTAATCTGTATAAGGCTCAACTGATCACTTTTTATATAACAAAAAGCTCAAGTATTAGGGGAAATAGTTTGTCTGATACAGTCATGTAAATTATCCTCTTTCAGTATTTTCGCATTATTAAAGGATTACCTTCCTCCTTAAGTAAACAAACAAACAAAAAACGTGCACAGGCATGTCAAGATTTTGAAATACCTACAGGCTTATTGTGTTGGAAGGCCTCACTGAAATAGACTGTTAATATTCTCCTAATTCAATGCTATTAGTTCCGTTTAGGGCATTCAGTGGCGTCTGATTGTTTGAAGGGGCTATAGGGAAACTGATGACATTAAGCAAGATAGATTATAGATCGCATTCAACTCTCATCTCTCGATGGGCCTAATGGGCATAGTTCCCATTACTGCTAATGGGAGTTTTGAGCCTAAGCCTTTGTGCTAAAAATCTATCAATCTCCTAATCCTGGCAGTAGGTTGCAAATGGGCTTTAACTTTAAGTGTAATTGGTTAATTGGTTGAGTCAATGATCTGATTGTAAATGATTAGCAGCCAACAGGTTTTATCTTCCTTTATTCTGCCTTTTTATAGCACCAGAATTATGGAACATTTATCAACAGCCTAAAATAAAGACAACACGAGGAGAATTTGGTTGCTTATATAGATTCAAGGTACAATCCTGCTGGATTCTGGGTAGGTTTTTTTTTTTTTTTTTTGCAGTTTAGGAATTACCAAATACTTTCACATGTATGGTGTCACGTCTTACTGTAATTCTTCCTGAAAGTGGGTAGGGCAGCCCTATTATCCTAATTTAGAGACTGATTATGAGAGTTGCCTTGAAGTTTCTTGTCCAGTGTCACAAAGCCCACCCATATGAGAACCAAGGCTAGAACTTCAATCTTTTAATGACAAATCCAGTGCTTTATCCTGGGCTCCAAATCACTTCTCGGCCATTCAATTAAAATGTGTTCTGTTGCGGTTTGAATGTGTGCCCCAAAAAAGCATGTGTTGAAAATGTAATCCTGAATGCGGCAGTGTTGGGAAATGGAGCCTAATCAGAGGTGTTTGGGTCAAGAGAGCTCCGCCCTCAAGAATAGATTAATACTGACTGTAAAAGGGCTGAGACTGTGCTTTTCATCTCTTATGCATGCTGTCTTGCCCTTCCACTTTCTGTCATGGTAAGATGCAGCAGAAGAGCCCTCGACACTGACATCCCAGCCTCCAGAACTGTATGAAATAAATCTCTGTTCTTTGTAAATTATCCAGTCTCAGGTATTTTGTTTACAGCCACATAAAACTAAGATATGTTCCTTCCGGGCTCATTACATGTGTGGCTGCATCAGGCGCTGGGGGCTGCAACAGTGCACAACATTGCCACTACTCTCAAATGACTTAATGTTTATTTGATGAAAGTTTGTGTACAATATGAAATGGCTACAGATCAGGTGCAGTGGCTTATGACTGCAATCCCAGCACTTTGGAAGGCCAAGGAAGGCGGATTACTTGAGCCCAAGAGTTTGAGACCAGCCTGGGCAACATGGCCAAAACCTGTCTCTACAAAAAATACAAAAATTAGCTGGGCATGGTGGTGTGTGTCTCTAGTCTCAGCTACTCAGAAGGCTGAGGTGGGAGGATCACCTGAGCCTAGGAGGTTGAGGCTGTAGTAAACTGTGATTACACCACTGCACTCCAGTCTGGGCACCAGAGAGAGACCTTGTCTCAAAAAAATAAGGTGCCAGGTGCGGTGGCACATGCCTGTAATCCCAGCACTTTGGGAGGCCGAAGTGGGTGGATCACCTGAGGCCAGGAGTTCAAGACCAGCCTGGCCAACATGGCGAAACCCCATCTCTACTGAAAAATACAAAAATTAGCCGGGCGTGATGGTGGGCGCCTGTAATCCCAGCTACTTGGGAGGCTGAGGGAGGAGAATCGCTTGAACCTGGGAGGCAGAGATTGCAGTGAACCAAGATCACACCACTGTACTTTAGCCTGGGCGACAGAGCCAGACTTCTCTCAAAATAAATAAATACATAAATAAATAAAAATAAAAATAAAAATAAAATAAAATGGCTAAAGCATAAGTTGTATTTTCATCAAGGATTACAGGACTGTAGACAAAAGAGAAATCATCATGGACTGTTCACTGGACAAAATTTCATGGAGAGGAGAAGACCTTTGGCGGTTCATGGATGTTCTATAATAAGTTAGGTAACTAACAGGCTAACTTTCTTGAGCACCTACACTGTGTAGGGCACTGTACTGGTACTTCTCATACCTTCTCTCATTCATATAATCCTCTGAGGTAGGTGTTATCCTCTCTACAGCAGGGAAAATCAATACCCAGAGAAGGGGAGAGACGTCCATGGCACACAGGAGAGGACAGAGCCAAGAATGAATATAGGACACCAGTGCCCCAACTCTTAACCACTACCATACACGGTTTTATAAAGTAAATTTTAAAAGTCGACTTTAAAACATGTATGCAACATTGTGTCCAGTCTCCCAAAACAAAAGAACAATGAGCGTTCCCTTTTCCCTTGATGTGTGGGCAGGTCTGTAGAGTAGTACAAGAAGAGATTATGTTCTGCATTCTCACTTCAACAAGAAAGTCCTGGTCCACCAATAATACCTTTAAGCTTCAGGATAATTGTGAAAAGGCCAACTAGTTAATCAAACATTTTCCCAAACTTAAGAAAAACACCAAGAAGGAATATAAGTACAGGGGACATTAGAGGATAAGCTCATAAGGGCTGGACTAAATCTTTTTTTTTTTTTTTTTTTTTGAGACAGAATCTCGGAATCTCGCTCTGTCGCCCAGGCTGGAGTGCAGTGGTGCAATCTTGGCTCACTGCAAGCTCCACCTCCTGGATTCCTGCCATTCTCCTGCCTCAGCCTCCCGAGTAGCTGGGACTACAGGCACCTGCCACCATGGTGGGCCAATTTTTTGTATTTTTGGTAGAGATGGGGTTTCACCATGTTAGCCAGGATGGTCTCGATCTCCTGACCTCATGATTCGCCCGCCTCGGCCTCCCAACGTGCTGGGATTACAGGCGTGAGCCACCGCGCCTGGCCTAAATCTTTTAAGGAGACTCAGTCTTTGTGGCCTGACACTTGGGGAACAGTCAGCTTCAGGAAGTTGGGATGCCACACCTTTGTTTCTTGAACCATTTAGGGAGGTGTTTCTTGAACCATTTTGAAATCAGAAGTGTGAGTCCTCCAGCCCTGACTTTTTTTTCAAGATTGTTTTGGCTATTTCAGGTCCCTTGCAATCCCATATGAATTTTTTATTTTTTATTTTTTGAGACCGACTCTCACTCTGTTGCCCAGGCTGGAGTGCGGTTGCATGATCTCAGCTCACTGCAAGCTCCACCTCCCGGGTTCAAGTGATTCTTGTGCCTCAGCCTCCTGAGTAGCTTGGACTACAGACGTGAGCCACCATGTCCAGCTAATTCTTGTATTTTTAGTAGAGGCGGGCTTTCACGACGTTGGCCAGGCTGATCTCGAACTCCTGACCTCAGGGGATACGCCCGCCTCGGCCTCCCAAAGTGCTGAGATTTTGGTGTGAACCAATGCGCCTGGCCACAATCACATATGAATTTGAGGATATGCTTTTTCCATTGAGCAAAAAAGCTATTGGGATTTTTATAGGGATTGTGTTGAATCTGTACATTGTTTTGGGTATTGTCATCTTAACAATACTAAGTCTTCCAGTTTATGAATGTGGGTAACTTCTAATTTATTTATTTCTTCATTAATCTCTTTCAGCAATGTTTTTACAGTTTTCAGTGTATAATATTTACTTCTTTGGATAAATTTATTCCTAAGTATCTTATACTTTTTGATGCGATTGTAATGCAGATAGAATTGCTTTATTTCCTTTTCAAATATCCACTGCTGATGTATAGACAACTGATTTTTGTGTGTTGATTTTATAACCTGCAACTTTGTTGAATTCATTTATTAGTTCAAGTAGGTTTCTTGTAGATTCTTTGGTCGTAGAGATACAGTTTTACTTCTTTCTTTCCCATTTGGATGCTCTTTCTTTCTGCTTCCTGTCAACTTGCTCTGGCTAGAATTTTCAGTAGGATGTTGAATAGCAGTTTTGAAAGCAGGCATCTGCATTCCTGGTGATCAAACTAATTAAATTAAAATACATGTAATTATTTAGTTTGAGACAATTAGATTTAAATGGCTAGGTTAGGGCCTTAATCCAATATGATTGGTTTCTGTATAAGAAGAAGAAATATCACAGTGTGCATGCACAGAAGTACGACCATGTGAAGAGGTAGCAAGAGAGCAGCAATCTACAAGCCAAGGAAAGAGGCCACAGAGGAAACCAACCCTGCCAGCATCTTGATCTTGGACTTCCAGCTTCCAGAACTGTGAGAAAATATATTTTTGTTGTTCAAGCCACTCAGTCTGTTATATTTTGTTATGGTAGCCCTAGCAAACTAATACAAACCCCTCTAGTGGTTTTTTTCATTTCAGTTATTCTACTACTTTTCTGCTCCAAAACTTCTGTTTGGTTCCTTTTCATAACTTCTATCTTTGTACTGGTGTTCTCATTTTGTTCATACACTATTTTCCTGATTTTCTTTAGTTTTATGTCCACATTTTCCTTTAGCTCTTTGAGCATATTTAAGAGCATTGTTTTAAAGTTTTTGTCTAATAAGTTCAATATCTGGGCTTCCTCACACGTGGTTTTTGTCAGCTTCTTTTCTTTTTTTTTTTCTTCTTTTCTTTTTTTTTTTTTTTTTTTTGAGACGGAGTCTCGCTCTGTCGCCCAGGCTGGAATGCAGTGGTGCAATCTCAGGTCACTGCAACCCTGCCTCCCAGGTTCAAGCAATTCTCCTGCCTCAGCCTCCAAGTAGCTGGGACTACAGGCACATGCTACCACTGCCGGCTAATTTTTTGTATTTTAGTAGAGATGGGGTTTTACCATGTTGCCCAGGCTGATTTCGAACTCCTGATCTCAGGCAATCCGCCTGCCTCTGCCTGCCAAAGTGCTGGGATTACAGGCGTGAGCGACCGTGCCTGGCCCATATTTTCTTTTATTGAAGTATACTTTCCTGTTTCTTTGTGTACCTTCTTGTGATTTTTTTTGTTGTTGTTTTTGAAAACTGGACTTTTGAATAGTATATTGTGGCAACTCTGAAAATAAGATTCTTCTCCTTCTTTGGGGTTTACTGTTTTATTTTATTTATTTTTTTGTGTGTGTGGTTGTTTTTGTTTTCATTGTTGAGACCTGTAATAGTCTTGTTCTAGTAACTTTTCCTATTTTTGCAGAGACTTTTCTTTGTCATGTGTGGTTGCTGAAGTCTCTGTCCCTTAGCTTGTATTCAGTGAGTGGGGTTTTTTTGTTTGTTTGTTTGTTTTTGAGACAGAGTTTTTGCTCTGTTGCCCAGGCTGGAGTGAACTGGCCTGATGTCAGCTCACTGCAATCTCCCAGGTTCAAGCAATTCTCCTGCCTCAGCCTCCTGTGTAGCTAAGATTGCAGGCACATGCCACCACACCCAGCTAAATTTTGTATTTTTAGTAGAGATGGGGTTTCACCATGTTGTCCGGGCTGGCCTCGAACTCCTGACCGCAAGTGATCTGCCTGCCTCAGCCTCCCAAAGTACTGGGATTATAGGCGTGAGCCACCACGCCTGGCCTTCAGTGAGTGCTTTGACAGAATTTTACCTGAATGTCAAGAGCTAAAAAACAAAACAAACAAACAAACAAAAATACTTTTCTCAGTTTTTGCCAATTGGGCGTGTACTGGGGCCCTCCTTCAACACTTAGCCAGGCTTTCACTGAGCTTAGGAATCAGCTGTGATGAAACCTGAAGTTTTTAATCATGTCTTTTCTGAGCAAGCATCTTGCCCTGGGCACATGCATGGCTGGCTAAATTCCCTGCATTCACAGGTGCTTCTGATTGTCCTAACTTCCCAAAGAAACTCTGTTCTCAAATTTTTTGCCCAAGCCTTAGGTGGTTTATTGCATGTCTCAACTGTGACCTTTTGCCTCAGGCCTTGTTCTTCTACCTTATGATGATTCAAGCAATGCCTGCTGCTTTTCCAATCTGGGTTAGTTCAGAGTTAGGCAAACAGAGGTGAGCATTTTGTGCCAGTCCTTCACGTACAGACAGGTTAAAACCGATCTACACAATAATTTGCAAATAAGGTCTGCTTTGCTCCCTCTAGAACCAGGGACCCCACTCCCATGCCGACAGTATGGGCTGCTGTCTTCAGGACCATTGCAAGGTAAGGTGTGGAATAACAGCAAATAAAAATGCCACAAAACTTTCCTACCATTTTTGAGTTTATTTTATTTATTTATTTATTTATTTATTTATTTATTTATTTATTTATTTGAGATGGAGTCTCTCTTTGTCGCCCAGGCTGGAGTGCAGTGGCATGATCTTGGCTCACTGCAGCCTCTGCCTCCCAGGTTCAAACAATTCTCCTGCCTCAGCCTCCGGAGTAGCTGGGATTACAGGCACGTGCCACCACACCCAGCAAATTTTTGTATTTTTAGTAGAGATGGGGTTTGACCATGTTGGCCAGGCTGGTCTTGAACTCCTGACCTCATGATCCACCCACCTTGGCCTCCCAAAGTGCTGGGATTACAGGCGTGAGCCACCATGCCCAGCCTTATCTCTGTATTTTATATATATATATATATATATATATATACACACACACACACACACACATATACATATATATATACATACATACATATATATACACATACATATATATATACACATACATACATATATATATATTTTTAAATTTTATTTATTTTAGTTAGGGGCTCACTCTTTCACCCAGGCTTCAGTGCAGTGTCAAGATCATAGTTCACTGCAGCCTTGACTTCCCAGGCTCAAATGATCCTCCCACTTCAGCCTCCCCAGTAGTTGGGACTACAGGCATGCACCACCAGGCCTGGCTGATTTTTATTTTTTTATTTTTTATAGAGGCAGGGTCTCACTGTGTTTCCCAGGCTAGTCTGAAACTCCTGGGCTCAAGAGATCCTCTTGTCTTGACCTCCCAAAATGCTGGGATTACAGGCATGAGCCACCACTGCAACTGGCCCATTTTTTATTTTTCTTAATTCAGCATCCACTTGGTGGCTGTAAGCCTCTGACTTTTTTCCAGAGTCTGAAGAAGTTAATTCTGACAGATTCTGCTTGTTTTTTGAGTTTCTATGGGGGGGACAGGAGCTTGGGGCTGCCTACTCTGCCATTTTGCTGACCTAAGTAGAGTTTGAAATCTTAAAATAATTAAATGGTTAAATGAATGAACTTTGGAGACAGATGGTCTGAATTTTAATCCTGCCTGTGCCACCAAAAAGTTTGTAATAAGTGAATTATTTAATCTCTAAACTTCAATTTCTCATCTGTAAAGTAGGAATATGGGAAGGGCTAATTAGGATCATTTATTGTAAAATCAGTAGTGTGCAGTAAATATTTGACAAGCAGCTCTCAGAAGGGATGGGACTGAAAACCCTGATTTTTAGTGTTTGCCAGTTTCCATGGTGTAAATATTCCTGATATGGCCGAATTTAAGATGCCAGTGTAAAATCTTCTAATGCGGCTTGAGAAAACACACACATAATTGACTCTCATGAGCCAGGGAAGGCCAACTCTAGCATATCACTTTCTTAAAAAGTATGAGGTACACAATAAGTGATCAATCAATAAATATTATCATCTTCAATTGCTTTGAACAAAATGAATAAAATAAGAATGGTTTCTGAAAAGTCAAGATACAGCATCTCCCTCTATATTGCCCTATGTTATAAAATACTTTATACTCTAGGTACTTGGAAATGTTATCTCCAGACAGTCCATCTTCTGTGAGAACAACATTTCACATCCCCTTTCTATCTTTAGGTCTTGCATCATTGTTTACAGTGAACACAATCACAGAGAGAATAGTCATTGTCCACAAGTCTGCCTGAAACTGACCACACTTCAAAGGACTTGCTTCTAATTGACTAATCTATTAACTTTTCAGGCTGCAGGAAGACTTAGAGGCATCATCCTGCCTTGGCTTCTGGTTGCCAAGGTGTTCTGCCTGATACCAACTTTGTCAGCAGTCACCAACTAGCCATGCTTTTCCCTTGAAGGCACATGTAGATTGCCTAACCATCCACACCAGGCAAACAATTCTTCAAATGTCATGCCCTTTGCACTTCTGTTCAGATCCAGCCTTAGAGAAGCTTGTGAAGCAATGACTGTTTTAATTGGTCTCCTGGGTACCCAGGCCTAATCCTTTACCAAGTCACTAGTTATCCCATGTTCCTTATCTGTCTGTCTATCCATCTATCCTTCCATCCTCATCCAATACTTACAGAATGCCTATGGCTGCAAATACAAGGATGACTGCTTGGTTCCTGCTGTCCATAAACTCACAGCCTGGGATAAGGTAGGGTAGAGTGAATAGATATGCAAGCAAAATAGAATGGATTGTGATAAGGGAAAGTAGAAAAGTACATGCAAAGTACTCTGGGAAACTAAAGGAGGAATTCTGCCTACCTTGAGGAACTAAGGAAGTTTTCAGGGAGTGCGTGCAGGTAACCGTAGGGTAAGATTGGCTGGGAGCCAAATTGTGCTAGACCTTGTGCACCTGACTGTGGCAATGGCTGCTTCAGCAACAGGGAGCCTTTCTTTCCTTTTGTTATTTCCCTGCATCTTACAACGTTAAGGCCTTGGTCCCTGCTAATAATAAAATAATAATCAACTTTATAAAGAGCTTACAATATGCCAGATACTGTACTAAGTGCTTTATATTTTTTTTTTGGGTGGGGGGTGGCTGTTGGGCAGTGTCTCACTCTGTCACCCAGGCTGGAGGGCAGTGGCACAATCATGGCTCACTGCAGCCTTGACCTCCTGGGCTCAAGCCTCCCACCTCAGCCTCCCAAGTAGCTGGGACTACAGGCATGCAACACCATTTTTTTGTAGAGACGGTCTCTCTCTGTTTCCCAGGCTGGTCTTGAATAACACCTGGGCTCAAGTGATCTTCTTGCCTCAGCCCTCCAAAGTGCTGGGATTACAGACATGAGCCACTGCACCCAGCTTATTATTTAACTTAATCTTCACAACAACTTTAGAAGATAGAAAATAGGAGATGCTGTAATGGTGAGAGTTTTAGAGCATTCCTGAGGACCTGGAGAAAACTTGCTGCCGAGAAGGAAATTTTGAAGGTTTCATTGGTTGAAAAAGGTGTCTCTGGAATCACACTCCTAGATCTTTCTTAAAGACTTGAAAAGAATTAGATTAGGGGCCAGGTACAGTGGCTCACACCTGTAATCCCAGCACTTTGGGAGGCCGAGGTGGGTGAGTCACCTGAAGTCAGGAGTTCGAGACCAGCCTGGCTAACATCTTGAAACCCTATCTCTACTAAAAATACAAAAAATTAACAGGGTGTGGTTGTGCACACCTATAATGCCAGCTATTTGGGAGGCTGAGGCAGGAGAATCGCCTGAACCCGGGAGGCAGAGGTTGCAGTGAGCTGAGATCGCCCCACTGCACTCCAGGCTGAGCAACAAGAGTGAAACTCTGTCCAAAAAAAAAAAAAACAATTAGATTGAGGCCATGGGGGACATAGAAGGTCACCCCATCTCTGATCTTCGCCATCACAATTGCTACAATCGGCTCTTTCCAATTTGGCTACAACACTGGGGTCATCAATGCTCCTGAGATGATCATAAGGGAATTTATCAACACTTTGAAGGACAAGGCAAATACCCCTCCCTCTGAGATGTTGTGCTTGTCCCTTTGGTGCTTGTCTATGGCCATATTCTCCATTGGTTGTATGATTAGCTCCTTTTCTGTTGGACTGTTTGTCAACAGCTTTGACAGGCGTAATTCAATGCTTACTGTCAACCTGTTGGCTGCCACTGGTGGCTGCCTTATGGGACTGTGTAAAGTAGCTGAGTTGGTTGAAATACTGATCCTGGCCTACTTGGTTATTGGCCTCTTCTGCAGACTCTGCACAGGTTTTGTGCCCACGTACATCGGAGACATCTCACCTATTGGCCTGCAAGGTGTCTTTGGCACTCTCAACCAGCTGGGCATTGTTGTTGGAATTCTGGTGGCCCAGATCTTTGATCTGGAATTCATCCTGGGGTCTGAAGACCTATGGCCTGTGCTATTAGGCTTTCCCATCTCTCCTGCTATGCTACAAAGTGCAGCCCTTCCTTTTTGCCCTGAAAGTCCCAGATTCTTGCTCATTAACAGAAAAGAAGAGGAGAATGCTAAGGAGATCCTCCAGTGGTTGTGGGGCACCCAGGATGTATCCCAAGACATCCAGGAGATGAAAGATGAGAGTGCAAGGATGGCACAAGAAAAGCAAGTCACTGTGCTGGAGCTCTTTAGAGTATCCAGCTACCGACAGCCCATCATCATTTCCATCATGCTCCAGCTCTCTCAGCAGCTCTCTGTAATCAATACTGTGTTCTATTACTCAACAGGAATCTTTAAGGGTGCAGGTGTTCAAGAGCCCATCTGTGTCACCATTGGTGTGGGTGTGGTTAATACTATCTTCACTATAGTTTCCCTATTTCTAGTGGAAAGGGCAGTAAGAAGGACTCTACATATGATAGGCCTTGGAGGGATGGCTTTTTGTTCCATCCTCATGTCTGTTTGTTTGTTATTGAAGGATGAGTGTAATGGGATAAGCTTTGTCTGTATTGGGGCTATCTTGGTCTTTGTGGTCTTCTTTGAAATTGGGCCAGACCACATTCCCTGGTTTATTGTGGCTGAACTCTTCAGCCAGGGCCCTGGCCCAGCTGTGATGGCAGTGGCCGGCTGCTCCACCTGGACCTCCAACTTCCTAGTCAGATTGCTTTTCCCTTCTGCTGCTTACTATTTAGGAGCCTACGTTTTTATTATCTTCACCGACTTCCTCATTACCTTCTTGATCTTTACCTTCTTCAAAGTCCCTGAGATGTGTTACAGGACTTTCAAGGATATCACATAGGCCTTTGAGGGGCAGGCACACGATGCAAATAGATCTGGAAGGACTGTGTCATGGAGATGAACAGTATCCAGCCTGCTAAGGAGACCACCACCAATGTCTAAATCATGCCTCCTTCAACCTCCCTCCCAGCAAGGGAAAGCCACCTCCCTGAATGAGGGAGAGACCTCATAAGGATGAACCCAGGGCTGCTTCTGAATGCTGCTACTTGATTCCTTTCTCCCTCAACAAGACTGGAGCTTGTTGAATTTTCAATGGCTTTTAAAATATTTCATTTCTTGGACATTCTCTTCTGCGTAGGAGAGACCAAGTGAACCTACCCTTCATTTCAGGAGGGATTGACCACTTGGGATACGACAACTTTGCCAGCTCTTCTCCCTTGGGTTCTAATATTGCCCTCTAGGGGATATAGGGGAGGAAAAGTAAGGTGCAGTTCCCCCAACCGCAGACTTACCAGGAAGCAGATACACACACACTGTGGGAAGGCAGACAGGGTTTATGTAAGAGCACCTTCCTCACTTCCATACAGCTGTACACAGCAAATTAACTTGAGTTTTATTTATTTTTACCTCCTGGTTTAATTACATAAATATTATGTTTTAAGTGTAATTTTGCCAAATAATGAAAACATAAGGAAACTGAGGTTAAAAGGAGGTGTTTAAAAGAGGTTATAGAGTAGAAGATTTGATGCTGGAGCGGTTAAGGTGCAATAAGGAGAATTTAGGGAGAAATGTAGTTAATTATTGGAGGGTAAATGATGTGGTGCCTGAGATCTGCACATTACCTCTTAACAATTTCTGTCCTTCAGGTGGAAACTCTTAAGTTTAATTTCTCAGAAAAGTCATATGCCTATATAATAAAGCTACTGATTTCTTTTGGAACTTTTTTCTTTAAAATTATAGTTTATATGTAGTATTACTTGAAGTCCAGGATTATTAACCAAGATGGGCATTGTAGTTAATGGCAGTTGATGGGTTCTAATTTTGGATGGAGTCCAGGGCAGGGAAAGTTATTTCTAGAAAGCCTGTTCCTTCTCACTGGACCAAACAACTCCTTCCCCTTGTAGTAGACTCATTACTTTTTAAGTAACCCCACCACCCATCTGGTGGTAGAGCCATCCAAATGAGAAACCTAAAATAATTGGTTCTTGGTAGAGGTTCGTCATTTCTCCATTTTGTTCTTTAGGAGATTTTAGGTGTTGATTTTTGTTTTACTTTGACCCATATCTTTAAAGGAATTCCAGAAAGAATGTTTATAGCTGACTTGGAATTTGTAGCCTCAGCTCTGGGAGAAGATTTTTTTCTGAACGATTATTATCTAACGTGTGTTGTTGCTTCAGGGTCACGGCATGCTTGTCTATGTCTGTTACCATGACCACCGTGGTCCTGTGCCGAGTGCCCTTAGGGGGATTGAATCTTTCCAATAGGCCATGTTTGAGATAGTATGAGTCAGTGTGCAGTGTAGCCCATACTTGAGAGTATGAATGTATGTGCACTGTCACTTTGCTCTGGGTGGAAGTAGGTTATTGTTGACTTATTTGCTCTGTGTTTATTCCCACAGCCCCCTTTTTCCTATGTTGCTGGATCTCCCTTTCCCTTCTTGGTGCTTACACATCTCAGACCCTTTAGCTGAATGCTTGCTAAAGTAAAATGCTTGAACAGTATTTTGGTTCTCAGTTCTCACTGTTCCCTCTGGTTGTTGAGGCGTCGAATAAAAATGCACATAGCAGTGGGGTTTAGCTGGAAAAGGTGACCTTCTTCCAACTTCACCTCTACTTCTGGCTCCTCAAACAGCGGGTGGACAGTAAGGCAGGGAAGTTGTTTTCTCATTTCTCACTGACCAGACTGTGAATATTTTCATATGGATTTTCTCTTATTAATGTTACTCTGGTGCTTCTTTGTTTTAAGATAAAAATTCTGAATGTACACATGAAAAAAAAAGACAGAAAATATTATCACTCCCATTTTACAGATTAAAAAACTGAGATTTAAAGTAGTAATGTACTACTCACAGCCACACAACTAGGATGAAGCAGAGCTAAAACTCAGCTCTCATTCACTGCCAAGCCTGTGGTCTTAGAGACATAAGCCAGCAGGACTTGGTGTCATTAAGGGACTGGGGAGAGTGGTTCCATTCCCCCAAATCCTCCCCCAGAGAACTTCCTCGTATTTTATAATGGTCATACCTTCAACCCTTTTACCTCCTACCTGGGCTGATTGCAATAATCTGAAAGGGCCCTGTTTGAGGGGCAATGGTAGTTACTGTGGAGAAGGGCTTCAAAGAATATGGATGGTGGTGCCAATTTACCTCCCGGACTGTGGCTGCTGCTGTGTGATGTTGGGGTAATGGTTAATCTGCTCTTGTGTGAGTCAGCTAATGCCCCTCCCAAATCACATAATGCGTTAACTCAGTTAAAAGACACCTGCCCAACTCATCTGAATGTCAGACCTGAGTGTCAGCTCCCATTTTACACTCTGTAAAAGGAAGGAGGATTTTAACTTAACACTCGAAATCTTCAAAGAATACAGTTGATCTTTTTCAGCCAACAGAAAGACTGCTTCCCTGGTTGTATGTGTGTGTGTGTGCGTGTGTGTGCGTGTGTG
Source organism: Homo sapiens (assembly GCF_000001405.40). NCBI lineage: Eukaryota > Metazoa > Chordata > Mammalia > Primates > Hominidae > Homo > Homo sapiens. The sequence goes on along the minus strand of NC_000001.11, from coordinate 64,982,106 downwards.
TGTGCGTGTGTGTGTGTGTGTGTTATTTAACTTAGTGTTGACATCAACTCTGTAGAATTGTATATGTACAGATAAGTAACTGGAAGCTCGGAAAGGTGAAGCCACTTGTTCAAGTTCATGGAGTCAACTTTCTTTTTACATCTCCAGGACACTAACTGTTGGGATAGTTTGTTTAGTTTGCATCCTAGTGGATAAGTGCTCTTCTTAGTGATGATGAAAATTTGAATATCTCTAAAGGGGCATTATTATCCTGGAGTGTGAGACAGTGAAAAGAACAGGAGCTTTGAAGCTAGGTGTGCCCTGTTAAAACTTCAGTTCCTGCTGTGTAATAGTGTAAACACTGGCAAATCACCTAATCTCACCTCAAAAGGTGATTTTGAGAATGAAAGCAGATGGCTGGGAGGTAAGGGTACTTAAATACATGTTAGTCCTTTCCAGGTCCTCATTGCTGGAATTTGAGTGGACATCTCCAGCCATCTCAAGCAAATTGATTAAATACTCAGTGCATTCTTAGAGATATTTTAATTTATTTTAATTGAAACAAACACCTGCCATGTGGCATTTTTAGGAAAATTTAGGGAAGGTCTTGTGAAACTAGGCAAATCATAAAGCTCCCACAGGTTGAGGCTCAACAGACCAATCAGTGAGGCCCATTTTACCCTGGAGGCACTGGGCCAGGTGCCACGAGCGTTCCAGGGGTGAAGGGAAAAGCCTGCCGTACTGGAACTGCAAAACATCTGGTCAAGGAGATATAGCACCAACAGAAGGAAAGACAAACAGCAATAGAAGGCATTAAAAGACACGTTTCCAAGGAATGATGTAGGCAATAAATACTGTGTGAATTCAGGACAGAGAGAGAGATCACTTAGAAAGGTCCAAAAAACCCTTCCTGACTCATTTCCTGTACTTTCTCTTTCTGTCCCTTCATAGCCCTGTGGGTTTCTCTTAGAGTTACCAGGGCACTTATCTCTGTGTAACAAGGTGGAGACAATATCGCCATTGTTTTACAGCTGGTGCCATATTTCTTCCTGAAAATAGAAGCATCTAGGCTTGGAAAAAATCAGTTGAGAAATTAGGTGTAATAGAATAAATAGGTTGGAAAATGCTTGAGGTAGAAAATTGATGCCCAACAATGATAGACTGGATTAAGAAAATGTGGCACATATACACCATGGAATACTATGCAGCCATAAAAAATGATGAGTTCATGTCCTTTGTAGGGACATGGATGAAGCTGGAAACCATCATTCTCAGCAAACTATCGCAAGGACAAAAAACCAAACACCGCATGTTCTCACTCCATAGGTGGGAACTGAACAATGAGAACTCTCGGACACAGGAAGGGGAACATCACACACCAGGGCCTGTCGTGGGGTAGGGGGAGGAGGGTGGGATAGCATTAGGAGGTATACCTAATGTAAATGACGAGTTAATGGGTGCAGCACACCAACATGGCACATGTATACATATGTGACAAACCGGCACGTTGTGCACATGTACCCTAAAACTTAAAGTATATATATATATAAAAAAAGAGTTTAAAAAAAAAAAAGAAAATTGAGACCAAGGATCCAGCTGTTAGAGGAGGGTCAACTTGCTGTGCATACTGCAGGGAGGTTTTGGAAATTTTGGGGGGCAATCTGCAATGGAGAACGCGAGGGCAAAAGGAGGGAGGGCAGAGGGAAAATGGAGAAAGCAGCCACCAGGGCAGCAGAGCTGTGATTCCTACCTACCTACATCTTCAGGGATGGCTGCCAAACCCAGGGAGCTTTGTGTGAGTGCCTTCATTGTAACATGGTGCAAAACAGAGTAGAATGAGGAGGTGGAAGTGTCCCTCCAGAAGTTACCTCACTCTTGAAAGGGCTTTACACTTCCACAGTCCAGGCACCGTGTTGAGAGTTCAAACCAAGTTTACCCAGATCTTTCAGCAACAAACAGGTCTCATCTGACTTCTGAGTTTTATCTCCAAGTCTTTTCTCTTTCCTTCTTGACCTTTCCCTCCCCTCCAAAGCTTACTTAGTACAGTGTCTGACGTATAGTAGATGCTCTACAAATATCTGTCATGCTGAATCAATATAAATATTGTATTATACATGGTTTCTGCTGTCGTGGTACCTAAAATTGAGGGAAGACAATACACGTGCATTTCAGACACAAAAATAAACCTAATCTTAACAATTCTGGGAAGGATATAAATGCCAATTAAATAGGCCTGACACTTTCCTGCCTCTTTTTCAGTGTCCTTCACGGTTCGGTTCACATTTCACAAGCCCCATGAAGTCTATCTGGATTTTCGGTAATGTTTCCTGTCTCTGAAATCTTATGACATTTATGTCTGTATCAGCCATTTGATGCTTGATTATCTATTTTTCAGATGGATGTCTTGCCTTTTCCTCTACACACTACAGGAAGAGTGGCCACCCCTGCCAAGGGCCTAGTATAGTACCCTATACATGTAGCTGATCAGTTGATTGTTACTGATCATATGTATCCTGCATCATGTTATAAAAAATTAACACAGTGCTTGGCACATACTTGTACTGAGTAAGTATTTGCTGAATTGACTTAAAGTGTTGGATGCCATAGACCTCTGAGAATATATAATTTCTATGTATCACTCTCCTAGCAGAATAAGAGAATATTAGAACTTGGGAAGAAGTCACATCTAATTCTTTTCTATTTTTATTTCATTTTATTTCTTTTTTTTAGAAGTGAGGTCTCACTCTGTCACCCATTCTGGGGTGCAATGGCATGAGCATAGCTCACTACAGCCTCGAACTCCTGGGGTCAAGCAATCCTCCCACCTCAGCTTCCAAGTAGTTGCAGCTATAGCTGCACACCATTGTACATGGCTAATTTTTATTTATTCATTTTTTTTTATAGAGAGGAGGTCTCACTATGTTGCCCAGGCTGGTCTTAAACTCCTCAAGTGATCCTCCTGCCTTGGCCTCCCAAAGTGCTGGGATTACCGGCAGGAGCCACTGTGCCTGGCCAGTTCTTGTTCAGCTACAATTTATTTTCCTATTGCTTTTTGGAATGTAATTTAAACTTTACACTTCAGTTATCCCACTTGTCAAATGCATACATGATTTCGTGGCCAATAACCTGTACGTGGACACAGTAAAGTTAAAACAATAAAGATGCACGGAATTTTGATGCTGATAGGTATCATAAAATAATGTGATCCAAACTAAGGAGATATCTGAGCTCAGAGACAGTAAAAAGACCACCCTAAGTTTTTTTTTTTTTTTAATCTATCAAAGAGCTCATCCAGCATGCAAGTGTCCTGCTTTCTGATCCAGCAGCCTTTCTAGCACCCCGGCCTTGATTGTCAGAATAGCATCTGCTTATAAGGTTTTTAAATTATTAATACAGTATACTAAATCCCAGGAGTAGAATAAGCCTTGTTATTACGGCTAGTAAGTCAGCCCAGAGCAATCTGATATTCCTGTAAAACTGAATGGATTTTGAAGTAAAGCATCCTTGGGCTCACTGGCCTCAGAGGAGGCCATCATCTCATTTACCTATTTAAGAAAAACCCCATAAAAGAGTGTTCTATATGGACATTCATTATGTCTTAAGCTTTATTGATTCTGTTATGTTGCCGTTAATTATAGGAACCACGAAAGCCTTCAATTAGATTAAAGCCATAATAAATAAGATTAGTAACACTTATTCTGCTCTGTATGTTAAGTGTTTTTATAATAAACTAATGTTTATCTTTCTGGACATTACTACATTGACATCCTATACAATAATTAAATCAGATATTTTGAGTTGTTTTAGGCAAAAAGATTTGAGTGTTTTTTTCTTTGTTTGTTTTATTTTTGAGATGTAGTCTTGCTCTGCTGCCCAGGCTGGAGTGCAGTGGTGTGATCTCGGCTCACTGCAACGTGTGCCTCTTGAGTTCAAGCAATTCTCCTGCCTCAGCCTCTTGAGTAGCTGGGACTACAGGCGCGCACCACCACGCCCAGCTAATTTTTGTATTTTTAGTAGAGACGGGGTTTCACCACGTTGGCCAGGATGGTCTCAATCTCTTGACCTCATGATCTGCCTGCCTCAGCCTCCCAAAGTGTTGGGGTTACAGGCGTGAGCCACCACGTCCAGCCAAGTATATTTTAATAACTACTGACATTAACTACCATCGTTAATCCTCATTATAATTCTACAAAGTGGACATTAGTATCATCCTTACTTACCGATGACGATGAAATTAAAGCTTATGGAAATTCAGTATCTTGCTCAAGATCCCACAGTAGGGAAGCCAGGATTAAATGAGATAACACATATGTACTTAGCACAGTGCTGGGCAGATAGTGTGTTCAACAAATGCAAGTAAGAGATTCAGTATGAAGTGAAAATAAGTTAAAAATTAGGGTCAGGCGCGGTGGCTCACGCCTGTAATCCCAGCACTTTGGGAGGCCAAGACGTGTAGATCATGAGGTCAGGAGATTGAGACCATCCTTGCTAACACGGTGAAACCCCCGTCTCTATTAAAAACACAAAAAATTAGCCGGGCATGGTGGTGGATGCCTGTAGTCCCACCTAGTCGGGAGGCTGAGGCAGGAGAATGGCAGGAACCCAGGAGGCAGAGCTTGCAGTGAGCCAAGATTGCTCCACAGAGCAAGACTCCATCTAAAAAAAAAAAAAAAGATGGCTGGGTGCAGTGGCTCATGCCTGTAATCCCAGTACTTTGGGATGCTGAGACAGGAGGACTGCTTGAGCCCAGGGGTTCGAGACCAGCCTAGGCAACATAGCAAGACCTCATCTCTACAAAAAATGAAACAAAATTTAGCTGGGTGTGGTGGCATGCACTTGCAGTCATAGCTACTTGGGAGGCTGAGGTGGGAGGATGGCCTGAGCCAGGAGGTCAAGGCTGGAGTGAGCTGTGGTTGTGCCACTACACTCCAGCTTGGGCGACAGAGGGAGATCCTATCTCAACAAACAAACAAACAAACAAACAAACAAGATGAAGCTGTTGTGAGGACAATATAGAAAGTACATGTTATAAGTTTCTATGTATCTGTATCCTGTATATGTAATAGATGTATGATTAAAATTTGATTCTGAACTTCTTAGCAATCAGATCAAAGGGAGAAATACAATCAGGTATGTAAGTGATAAGGAACATTGCCCAAGAGAAGTATAGCTATTTCTGGAGCTCAGACTTAAGGGCACTCTTTCAAGACACACGATCTAATACCCCAGCAAGGACCCTAGAGAATGAGGGTAAACTTATCGTGGGGTGGCTCTTAGAAGCCTGGAAAAGGTGGTTGTTAACCTGGGTAAAGTGGAGAAGCCCAAGTTGCCCTGGCAGAAGGTATAGGAAGGATTAAAAGGCTGAGGGAAGGGGCATGTTAGGATGGAAATATCATGTAAGACCAGAAGACCCACTGAGGATTATGTTCCATGTGAGGCCCAAAGAACACGCTATTCACTAAGACCATTAAGAATACACTGTTGAGAGAGACATTGGCGTCACTAAGAAGTATAATAATAGCCTCCTCTGCAGGGCATTGCTGAAAGTAGGAGAGTGATCCCAGAGCTGAGCTCCTTAACAGCCATGTGTATGATGGGGACTCTGGCCAAGGAATGGAGACCAATTGGAAGTGTGTAACTCCCAGAAGCCATGAGGTCACAATTACCATAATAACCAACAAGGTCAGAGGAGCAGCCAAGGTGGCTTGATCTGCAGGAATTGCAAAGACGGTTAATAGTGCATAGTGTTCTTTAGAGGCAAATATGTAGCCAAAAAAGATGCTACATAAAATCTCAAAATGCATGGGTCCATGACTGTGGGGTCCACAGGTCATACATAACACCACCCAGAGGAGCTGACTTCACAGAGTGTGGAAATGGCCTTGGAAAAGCACACCTGCAGCGATAGGAGGCAACCCTCTAATAGGCTGGGATGACATTCTACAGGATATGCATTGAATCAGAGACCTCTATATGGCACTGTGTCCACAATAAAAAGAATAAATGGATCTAGGATCAAAGGGGTCAAAGTAGGCGTGGTCCCACTTACCATCACTCCCAGTGACCCAATGGGAACTGTCCTTCCAGTCCCCAAAACTCTGTGTTAATCAAGTGGTAAAGATCCTGGTCCCCAAACTCAGTGTACTCTTGCCAGGGGACACAACAAAGGTCCCATTGTATTACAAATTACTGCTGCCACCAGGGCACTTTGAATTCCTTGTCTCCAGGGACCAGCAGGAGAAAAGAGTCACCATCGTGACAGGGGGAATCCATCCTCATCAGCCCGAGGAAGTGGATGGCGCTAGGGAGGAAGATGTGTGGAACCCAGATCTCCTTGGGCGTTTCCTGGTACTCCCTTGACTCACTGGAATTAGGGTTGGATGTGTATAGTGCTCCTGGCCTGAGAAGGGTATGACTGCAAAGGGCTCAGATCCACAAGGAATGAAGATTTGGGTCACGTCACCACATAACATTTCTCAAAAAAACATCAGGACTTGCTGAGGTGATAGCTAAGGGTGAGGGAAATGGGCCATGCAAAAGGGACAGGATGTGAACCAGGTTGGGCCTGAGAACTGGCCATAGTTTGTCCTATTAACCTATCACTTCTAAGCTTCCCTTCAGGAAGAGCAGTCCATGGATTTGTGGAGAGGCTGCTCCCTGAGCATGCATGCAGAGGTGGATCTGTGCAGTCCAGTGTGTGAAATGTGGCCACCATGAAAGTGCACTGCTCAGATCTCCTGCTGTGGGAGCATGACTGACTGACAGCCCCAGCTGTTGCCTCTGTGCACACACCACCATGTTTGCACAGAGCTGGGCTTTCCATACCAATGACAGAGCATGGCAGGTATATGAAAGCTGGTCAGTTCTTTTGGGGTGCAGTGGTGCATGCCTATAGTCCTAGCTACAGAGGAGGCTAAGGCTGATCACCTGAGGCCAGGAGTTCAAGGCTGTAGTATACTATGATCACTCCTGTGAATAGCCACTCCACTCCAGCCCGGGCAATGTAGTGAGATCCCTGATTCTAAAAGGAAAAAAAAAAAACTATACAAAATTAGCTGGGCATGGTGGCACATGCTTGTAATCCCAGCTACTTGTGAGACTGAGGCAGGAGAATTGCTTGAACCTGGGAGGCAGAGGTTGCAGTGGGCCGAGATTGCATCATTGCACTCCAGCCTGGGCAATAAGGGTGAAACTCCATCTCAAAAAAACAAAAAACAAAAAACAAAACAAAACAAACAAACAAAAACAAAACAAAACAAAAAAAGAAAAGAGAATGCTGGCTAATTCCCGTGAGCCGTGGCCACTTTGGCTCAAGGACTCTGATTGGCCTAACCAAGGCTCTTTTGGAACTGTGCTATATAGTCTTTGACTCTCTATCCCCATCGTCTCTTTTTCCCTCTCTTCTTCCACAGATGTCAGAGCTGCAGCATGATCTGGAGGCTTTCCTCGCTTTCTTCTGCTTCCCCTCCCTTGATCCTTCACAGGCATTTTCCTCAATACATCTCTTGCCTGGCTAATCCTGTCTGATGAGTTTCCAGATGGACCTGAATTAAGTATGTTCTCCAGCTAGCTGCTAGCTAGTTAAAGGCAGATCCATGTGCCATACTATGGTAGGGATGGTTAGTTTATATATACCTTCTTATCTAACTTTCATAATCATTTACTGAGGTAAATGGGCTGGGTAGTATGATTGCAATTTTATGTATAAGGAAACAGGATTAATTTAGGAACTTGCCTGGGATATACACTAGTAAGTGGCAGAGCTGAGCTGAAATTTAAACTTAAGTTGGTATTACTCCAAAGTTACCTTAACTACTCATCTGTGGGGCAGTTAGACTGAGAGTGAAGTTGACATCTTATGAGAGTTGAAGTATCTGAGGAAGATAAACTTGATGTTCTACAGAAGTTGGGGGAGGAAGTTCTCCAAATCAGAATCAAGTTTTTTTCTCAAGCAATGATTTTAGGACAATACCAAATGTGTGATACCCATACCAAATGTGTGATACCTATGTATTGAATTTATGACAGAGTTACCAACGTTCTACTTTGGACAATTAACTGAAAATTTTCAGTCTAAAAACATAATGTGGACATTTATAATTATATATACATACATGATTCATTTGCTTTTCATCTTTTTTCTTTACTGAATTATAGCTTTAGCAAATATCTATTGAATTTTTATTATATGTCATGCATGATACCTTTAAGGAAAAATATATATATTCCCTTTCCTTCCCATTATATTTAATCCGATTTTTTTCTTACTTTCTGTCATTATGAATAAGTATTTTAGACAGCCTACTGTTTGCATGGTACTAAGCAATAGAAAAGGGCCTCCTTCCTGTAAGTCTAATCACACCCCACCTTAGATGGAAGCTGATTCAATGGGTTAGTGAGCATGTAGAGAAAGATCTGCTCAGTCAGTGTCAAAGTTTATTTCAGCGGTAGGTTGTAAGAGGTTCAACATTTGATTTTCCTTTTCCTTTTTTTTTTTTTTTTTTTTGCAAAGTGAGACGAGGGAAGGGATTGTTAAAAGGTGAACATTTACTTAATACTATATTTTCAATAGAAAATGACAGTTTGATTTTAAAAAAAGCAATTTTGACACTTCAGAACATCCATTGAAATCTTATAGGTTTAAATACTGAATGTGTAAAATATTTAGCTGTATAAAATATAATAGATTAAAAAAATAGAATGTTTATGCCCTCCTCCCCAATATTTATATTCCTTAAATCTTTCTTTTCTTTTCTTTTGTTCTCTTCCTTTCCCTTCCCTTCCCCTCCCCTCCCTCCTTCCCTCCCTTCCTTCCTTTCTCTCTCTTTCTTTCTCGCCCTTTCTTTCTTTCCTTCCTTCCGTCTTTCTTTCTCTCTTTCTTTCTCCTTCTTTCTTTCTTTCTTTTCCTTTCTTTCTTTCTTTTCCTTTCTTTCTTTCTTTTTCTTTCTTTCTTTCTTTTTCTTCCTTTCTTCCTTTCTTTCTTTCTTTCTCTTTTTCTTTCTTTCTTTTTGACAGAATCTTGTTCTGCTGCCCAGGCTGGAGTGCAGTGGCACAATCATGGCTCACTGTGGCCTCTACCTTCTGGGCTCAAGTAATCCTCCTGCCTCAGCCTCCTCAGTAGCTAGGACTACAGATGCATGCCACCATGCCCAGCTAGTTTTTAAATTTTTTATAGAGTCCAGGGTCTCCCTATGTTGCCCAGGCTGGTCTTGAACTCCTGGCCTCAAGCATTCCTCCCACCTTAGCCTCCAAAAGTGCTGGAGTTACAGGCGTGAGCCACCACCCAGCCTATGCAAATAATTTTTAAACAATAAATATTAAATGGTTTTGTTTCTTTTGGAGACAGGGTCTCACTCTATCACTCAGGCTGGAGTGCAGTGGTGGGATCGTGGCTCATGGCAGCTTCAACCTCCCAGGCTCAAGCGATCCTCCCACCTCAGCCTACTGAGTAGCTGGGACTACAGGCACAAGCCACCACACCTGGCTAATTTTTGTATTTTTTGCAGAGATGGAGTTTTGTCATGTTGCTCAGGCTGGTCTCAAACTCCTGAGCTCAAGTGATCCACCCGCCTTGACCTCCCAAAGTGCTGGGATTACCGGCATGAGCCACTGCATGCAGCCTAAACTGTATATTAAAACGACTGCTTTAGAACACAGTCACAGAAATGGGATTGAGTCAAATGGACTGTATAATTTTAGATTAATTCATAGATTAGTATTGGCAAGTTACTTTCTATTCAGTTTCCACAAATCTACACTGCCCTGAAAAGCATACACCCTATCAGGGTCTAAAACAGTGGACATTATAATTTTTCAAATAGTTTGTACCTTTAATGTTTTAAAAATGTATCTTGTAGCTTTAATTTGAATTTTTACATTTATTAAAGAAGTTAATGATTTTCTATATGCTTTCTCACTAGTTTCTATTTTTCTTTTAACATATCAATGTGCATGTGGAAGAGTAGGTAGGGGGAATATTATCTGTTTTTGTTCTTTGCCCACCATCTACTAGGGTCATTGTATCTTCTGTCAATTTGTAATAATGAGATCTTTAATAAAGATAGCAATATTGTATCTGTCACACTTTTTTCTTTTTTTTGAGACAAGGTCTTGTTCTGTTGCCCAGGCTGCAGTACAGTGTTTGCAAACAAACAAAAACCCACAACAATTCAACATATTTGAGTACAAGAAAATGGAGAACTTCTTCAAGTGTAGTTTTTTAGGGCAAATAACATGCCGTAAAATGCATATCAAAAGTATGATAGATAAGGCCGAGCACGGTGGCTTACGCCTGTAATCTCAGCACTTTGGAAGGCCGAGGTGGGTGGATCACTTGAGGTCAGGCGTTTGAGACCAGCCTGGCCAACATAGCGAAACCCTGTCTCTACTAAAAATACAAAAATTAGCTAGGCATGTTGGCACGTGCCTGTAATCCCAGCTACTTGGGAGGTTGAGGCAGGAGAATCGCTTGAACTCGGGAGGCAGAGTTTGCAGTGAGCCGAGATCACGCCACTGTACTCGAGCCTGGGCGACAGAGTGAAACTCCATCTCAAAAAAAAAAAAAAGTATGACAGAGAAACCTGGGCAACATGATGAAACCGCGTCTCTGCAAAAAGCAGCCAAGTGTGATGGCACGCACCTGTAGTCCCTGCTACTCAGGAGGCTGAGGCAGGAGGATCGATTGAGGCTGGGAGGTCAAGACTGCAGTGACCTGTGATTGTGCCACTGCACTCCAAAGCAAGACTCTGACTCAAAAAAAAATTATTTGCATGAAAAACTTCATTCGTTATGAAGACTTGTATAGAAACATTGAAATACACTTATGAATTACAATTAAGTTTAAGGAACAGTTTACAAAGTGACATGTATGCCATGACTATATTTATATGAAAAATATGCCCCGTGGAAAAAGATAATGGGAAGAAAACATATAATATGGTGACTGATTTATATCAGGTTTGCAAGATTACAGTCAATTTTTTCTCCAGATTCCAATTTTTGGAAACAAATTTCATGATTTGTACAATGGGGATTTAGTTTAGTTTAGTGTTGTTGAAAAAACATCATTGTTTGCATCTAACATATTTTCCCATTGTTATCTAAGCAATAGCTTTTGCAGAGGAAGACTGATGGGGACATATTCTTTTGATGAAGATTTATGTGTGAAACTGTGTGTATGATTGATGGTTGGGTGGTTGTTATTAATTTTCTAATAAGAGGCTTCTACACTGCATTTGGTTTAATTAAATTTAGATGTATGTCATGGATTGCATGTTAGAAGGAAATATTTGTATTCTTTTGTTTTACACTATTGTGTCTCTCCTATATATCATATATTCTACTGAGTGGCATTTTTTTTTTTTTTTGAGACAGAGTCTCTCTGTCGTCTAGGCTGGAGTGCAGTGGTGTGCTCTAGGCTCACTGCAACCTCCGCCTCCCAGGTTCAAGCGGTTCTCGTGCCTCAGCCTCTCGAGTAGCTGGGACTACAGGTGCATGCCACCACGCCTGGCTAATTTTTGTATTTTTTTGTATTTTTAGTAGAGACAGTTTTGCCATGTTGGCCAGGCTTGTCTTGAACTCCTGACGTCAGGTGATCCACCTGCCTTGGCCTCCCAAAGTGCTGGGATTGCAGGATTACAGGCATGAACCACTGCACCCGGCCCTTTTTGTTTTGTTTTGTTTTTTTGAGATGGAATTTTTCTCTTGTTGCCCAGGCTGGAGTGCAGTGGTGCCATCTTGGCTCACTGCAGCCTCTGCCTTCCGGGTTCAAGCTATTTTCCTGCCTCAGCCTCCCGAGAAGCTGGAATTACAGGTGCCCACCACCATGCCCAACTAATTTTTTGTATTTTTAGTAGAGACGGGGTTTCACCATGTTGGCCAGGCTGGTTTTGAACTCCTGGCCTCAAGCAATCCACCCCGTCTTGGCCTCCCAAAGTGCTAGGATTACAGGTGTGAGCCACTGTGCCCGGCCGTTTTTTTTTTTTTTTTTTTTTGAGACAGGGTCTCACTCTGTTTCCCAGGCTTCAGTGCAGTGGCACCATACTAGCTCACTGCAGCCTTGATCTCCTGGGCTCAAGTGATCCTTCCACCTCGACTCCTGAGTAGCTGGGACCACAGGCATGTGCCACCACACTCAGTTATTTTTTGTATTTTTTGTAGATACAGGGTTTTGCCATGTTGCGCAAGCTGGTCTCATTTTGAACTCCTGAACCCATTTTGAACTCCTGAACTCCCAAAATGCTGGGATTACAGGTCTAAGCCACCACGCCTGGCTCAGTGACTGTTTAAAACTTTCCTCTTCTCAAACATAAAACTGAATTTCTTATCCTGTTTAGTCGGTGGCATCCAGTCGGTGGCATCCTTGGTCAGCTTATTAACCAATTCAGAAAATTTGGGAGTCATGCGAGATTCCTCTCTCTGCCTCAGTAGCCACATCTAATCAGTCACCAAGCACTGTCCATTCTATCTCCTCAGGCCTTTTGCATCTTCCTCAGTATCCTTCCCCAGTCCACTGCCTTAGATAGGCTGTCATCTCTCGCAGCTTGCAGTTTTACAATGACATGTAATTAATCTCCTTGCCCTCCAATTCATCTTCCACATTATCCCTAGACTAGTGGTTCTCAGTGGGGTGTGATTTTGCACCCCAGGGGACATTTGGCAACGTCTGAAGACATTTTTGGAAGTCACAGCTGGGAAAGGAGGAGGGTGGGGAGTTGCGGGGGGGTGTGATGGGGGAACAAGAGGACTTGCTACTAGCACCTAGTAGTCAGAGGTCAGAGATGCTGCTAAACATCCTACAATGCACAGGACACCCCCACTACAACAAGAATTTTCCAGCCCACAATGTCAATAGTGCTGAGGTTGAGAGCCCTTGCCCTAGGGTGATTCTTCTAAAACAAAAACCTTAAATCTCTCAAAAAAAAAAACCCACTATTTTATTTTAGGCAAAAGTTTTTGCATGGGATTCAACTTTTCTCATTCCCCAGTCACACAGCATATACTTATTTTTTTTTTTTAAGAGAAGGGGTCTCACTCTGTTGCCCAGGCTAAAGTGCAGTGGTGTGATCCTAGCTCACTGCAGCCTCAAACTCCTGGGCTCAAGTGATCCTCCAGCATCAGCCTCCCAAGTAGTCGGAAATACAGGCATGTGCCACCATGCCCAGCTAGTTTACCTTTTTTTTTTTTTTTTTTTTTTTGAGAGGGAGTCTCGCTCTGTCGCCCAGGCTGGAGTGCAGTGGCACAATCTCAGCTCACTGCAAACTCTGCCTCCCGGCTTCAAGCGATTCTTGTGCCTCAGTCTCCCAAGTAGCTGAGATTACAGGTTCCCGCCACCACGTCCAGCTAATTTTTGTATTTTTAGTAGAGATGGGGTTTCGCCATGTTGGCCAGGCTGGTCTCAAACTCCTGACCTCAAGTGATTGGCCCACCTCGGCCTCCCAAAGTGCTGGGATTACAGGCGTGAGCCACTGCACCTGGCCTTTGTTTGTTTGTTTGTTTTTATTTTAGAGACAGGGTCTTGCTGTGTTGCCCAAGTTGGTGTCAAACTCCTGGCCTCAAGCAGTCCTCCTGCCTCAGCCTCCCAAAGTGCTGAGATTACAGGCATGAGCCGCCACACCCAGCCAGCATATACTATTACTGCCTGAATATGCCGCTACCTCCTGACTCCTGCCTCCTGTCGGCTACTTGAAGCTTATTCTGACTTCCTCAGACTCGGCTGGGTGACTGTCTTCTGTGATCACCATTACAGGACCGGGAATCACTGAATTGTTACTTGCCTGTCTCTCTGACTGCATTGAGCATTCAGAGGTCAGGAACCTAGTCTATTTTTTTTTTCTCTGAATCTTCATCACCTAGCACAATGTCTGTTATAGACGAACAGATCTAAACTGAATCCAGGCCCTCTCCCCCTGATTCCACCCTGTGAACAGCCAGATTCGTTCGTGGGCACAATGGGTTCACTGCTGCCTTCCTGACTTTCCTTTTTCTTTACATCCTCACCTGAAATGCTGTTCTTTCACGTCTCTGTCTCCCTTCATGTCAGTCTCACCTGTTCTTTATGGTCCAGCTCAATAAAAACCCCTACCACTTCCTGAGCCCATGCCATGTGGGCTATATTATCATAGTTCACCTTCAGCAAAACCCCTTTAAGGAAGGCATTATCCCTATTTAACAGGTGAAGAAAATGATGCAAACAGCCCTGAGGTGTTGTTCAGAGTGTGGCAGATGAGACAAGACTTGCACACAAACACCCACAATGCAGGCAACCCGGGTTGCCTCCCTGTCTGCTCTGATCTCCGGTCTTCTTTGGTCCTCTTTTCTGTACTTCTGGAAGGCACTTTGGAGATCCTTTTGTCTGCTGCTCCACTGAGAATTGAGTCAACTAAGAATTGTTTAGGGCAACACAGGTGGTTACTGGTGGAGGCCAAACCTCAAATTCAGTAGTCTAATTCGGATGCTTGACTTTATTCCACACCCAGAATATCTTGCTCAGTTTCAGTTGCAGTAACTCAAGTGATCAGGAACTGTCCAGCAGGGTTAGTGAAGTCAGCACAGGTGGGGCAGCCTCTGTCCACAGCCCTGAAGCTGCAGAATTCTGACCGTGCACGGCCTCGGAGGATTTTCATCCAGGGATTGTCAGGGGGAAGTCGCTGGAGTGTTTTAAGCATGGGAGTGTGTGGAACAGATTTGAATTTTTAAAAGTTCATTGTAGAGAATTAATTGGGGGCTGGAGTGAATGGAGTGACGATTTAAGAGATGTTCGTGGTCCCTTCAGGTGAGAGATGGTGGCAGCTCGGACCGTGTTGCCGGAACATAGACAAGTGAACTGATTGGAGAGATACCTAAGGAAATAAAATTGTTAGGATTTGTCCGTGGACTGCCTACGAAGTATGAATCTTGGCTACAGTGTGACCTTGATTAAGACACTAAAGACTTAATTTGTTCCTCATGGATAAGATGATGCTACTACTTTGAGAGGTTATTAGTAAAAAATGAAAAGCGCTGTACATGCATTAGGTATCAGTGAATGTAGTTCTAATTCCTATTATGCATATGCTTTTTTTTTTTTCGTAAAGAGCTTTTAAAATACGGAATGGGTTGGATCTGCAGTAGCTTGTCCAAGCTGGGGGCTGTATTGTTAAATTCTTTTTAGTCTAGTGCTCCACTAGCTCCTCTCCTACTGAGCTGGGGTAAGAAGCGGAGCGTATACGGAGGAGGCGGGATGCATTTCTGCATCGAGCGCACAAAGGTGTGGCGGAGGGGGCTCCAGAGCTGGGAGGGGTCAATCTACGGGCGAATCCTGGCAATTTTACTCCCCGCGATAGATGACCTCGCGTCCTAGATGAGTTTCTAGATTCTAGAATCTAGAGGACGCGGTGAACAGAGACGAGTGGGGGCAGCTTCGCGAGCGAAGCCGGATGGGGGCGGGGCGGGTAGGCCGGAGGCGCAGAGTCTCCGCCGGGACCGCGACCCCGCCCCGCTTTCCGGGGCTGCCGCTGGTGACGTCGCGAGGGGGTGGGCCCGGCGGCCACGGGGGTGGGGCCGGCCGCGGGGCGGGGCGGGGCGGGACGGGAGGCGGTGCGTCGCTGAGCGCAGGCCGCGGCGGCCGCGGAGTATCCTGGAGCTGCAGACAGTGCGGGCCTGCGCCCAGTCCCGGCTGTCCTCGCCGCGACCCCTCCTCAGCCCTGGGCGCGCGCACGCTGGGGCCCCGCGGGGCTGGCCGCCTAGCGAGCCTGCCGGTCGACCCCAGCCAGCGCAGCGACGGGGCGCTGCCTGGCCCAGGCGCACACGGAAGTGGTGAGTGTCACCGGGGGAGGTGGAGGAGCCGGGGCGGCCGCGGTCGGCAGGCGAGGGGCGCGCAGCCCGGACTGGCCGGAGGCGCGGCCACCGCTCTTGGTCGGTCCTTAGGCTGCGCGGCCCGGGCTGCTCCTGAGCGCAGCTCAGGACCCCGCGGCTCGGGCGGGGAAGGCGGGGATTTCCAGCCCCGCGGAGCCGGCGGGCGGCGAGGAGGTCGCCGGGCGGGGGCCCCCGGCCGGGAGAAGAGCGGTTAAGCCAGGCCGCCCCCTCCCCCAGCGCGCACGGCAAGTTTTCATAAACAAGCCCGGAGCGCGCTGTCTGACATCCTGTTTATACCACCCCGAGATACAGGCGCGGGCTGGAGGGCTGACGTCCCTAGCTCCTTGTACCGCGAACTTGACCGCCAGCTCCCGGCCGGGGTGGCAGCGCAGAAAGGTTTTCTTCTTCGGCCCCAGGAAGGAGGCTGAGGGTCTTAGCTTTTTTCCTTCCTTGCGGTCTCAGCGAGGGAAAGTTTCTGGGATTTGGAGCTGGGTGTTGGGCGTCCGCGAACTCGGGAAACGCCCCCTCCCCTCTTAGGTTCTGTTAGGAACCAGGCCTCAGGTAGCCAGCGAGAAGTGGGAAAGGAGACCCTGGGCGAGAGGACCAGGGAAGGGGAACAGTGGGAGAGAACTACCCGGGGAATTGCGAATCCCACTGGAAAGGGACTGATTAACCGAAACTGGGGCTGGTCTCTGGCTCCCTCACTCCAACTCCATCCGCGCATCGTCGGCGACCGGGAGCATCGGAGGACTAATAGACACTCCTCCAAAGTCACTCCCCAGGGTCCCTGGGATGTGGGCTCCTTGGATGTGTGTTTACCACGGAACTTCTAGATAAAAGATGCGATGTTTGCCAGGTGTTTGTGCACACGTTTTTTGGAGGGTTTGCACTCCATGATTTCCTGTGTGTTCCTGGGGAAGGGGACCCCGTCCTTCCTGCCACTCTTCTTACTACGTGGCTGTGAGCTGCCTTCTGCCCCTGGTTGAGTACATCGCTATACATGTCATTGACACTTTTCCCCCCAAGTCATAGGGTTTTTCTCTCACTGGCAGGAATTTACAGTGGTATAAAATTGTCATTACTTCTTTCAGGGAGTAAAACATGGGTAGTTAAGTGATGAGAATAATGCAGAGAGAGATGTAAATCAGGGCGTGTTTGGTTTTGGCTATTTTTTTATTTTTTGAAGAAAAGATTTGAGTTAAATATGGGTATAGGCACAGTAGATTTTGTTTAAGATGAGCAATTCGTATTGATTGAATCTTTGTTCTTCCCTTTCCAAAACCCCATTATGTGTTGTTTCTTGATTTTGCTTTTGGTGACTCTGATGTTTTCCAAGACCAGGGGATTATTTTCATTGAAGGATCAATGTGTTCTTTTGTACTTTGTGGTGAAGATTAATGGAGACCACCAGGGTTCCAGACATTTCTGGTACAATATGCTTTGTAATGTGGAGAAAATGTCTCCCCTGTATAGATCCAGATCACATTTAAAGATGTGAAGACATCATACTGGAATGACTTTGGACATTATAAATAGGAATAATCATAACCTCTTCTTAATTCTGTATATCATATTAACTAAGTGCTTTGACTGAGTCTTAGTTTCTGCAAATAGATACAAAACTATGTTTTTTTACTGCTAGGATTGCAGTGTGATACTCCACACTGAATACAGCCAGTTTAAATGGTTTCCTCCATTTCATACTATACTAATTATTTACTACCATTGGGAAATGATTGTAGAGAATGCATAAATTAGATATAGGTAAAATAATTCAAACATTTCCTAAAATATAACTACATTTCAGTTGTTGTAATTTAGGATCTTAACATGAGCTTGGCTAAAGCCATATACTTCCGACTGAAACAAGCATTGAGAACGTGTAGGTTGATACTCATTTGTGTAGAGAGAACAAGAGAACACTAAGGTATAACTGCATAGCAAAGACCATGATCTGTGTTTTCTAATTCTCAGATTCCTCTGGTGTTTTTTTCCCCTCAAAGACACATCCCATTTTGTATGTCCTTATGTCCTGATAAGATAATAGCATGCTGTTAGAAGATTTATTGTCTGAGATGTGAATATTCATACAAATAAATTTTTCTTGTTCATTTTCACATTTAAAACCATTATTTTAAGTGGATGGGGAATTGGCTTATTAATGGAATCTCGCTGAAGAAGGAACATTGGATGTTCTGTGATTATTGTGGCTCAGTGGTATATGGAACCTTGTCATTGAACAGGAGTGTTGGAAGGAACTTTCAGATTTTTTTAGACTAGTAAGGGTATGATTTTGCACCCAATGAGATATTTGCAGTTTCTGGAGACATTTTTGGTTGTTACAACTTGGGGGAAGGGAGCGGTGCTACTGGTAGGCATCTAGTGGTTAGAGGCTAGGGATGCTACTAAACATCCTATAACGCACAAGACAGCCCCCCATCCCAAACAAAGAATTATCCATCTCAGTAGTGCCCAGGTTAAGAAGTCCTGCTTTGGAATACTGAGTAAGGAGCAAGAAGATCTGGGCTCTTGTGGCAAATTTTTTCACTTCAGGGCACCTCTTTTCTTCATTTGCAAAATGGAGATAAAAATATTCTCCCTGGTCATCTCGCAGAGTTTTGGGGGGAAGTCAGGTAAATAATGCATGGAAACTGTGACGTGCTATGCAAATCATAACTAATATGAAGAGTATTTTTCATAAGTGAATCATTAGATTTACCGGTAGTTGAGGGAACCAGGGTTAAGGCAATATGTTGAGTAAAAAGCCGCCTGTGGATGGTTTGATATTATCGAATTCTTTGTTATTCATTTTTTGGGGTAAAGGTTTTTTTAGTATACTTAGTTTTCTTATTGTCAGAACATGTACTTTTTAGCTCTATAATTTCTTTAAGCAAAGGTTATTTTTCCCATCATAACAATAAGGAGAATTCACTATAGAAAAATTAGAAAATATAGGAAAGTAGAAAATAGAGGGAACAAGTCATTCATGCTCTACTCGCTTGTCCATTTAAGCACACTCACATCCTTGCCAATTTCTTTTCTATAAGAGCAGTTAGGATTCAGAGAATGATGAGAGAGAGTAGCTGGTGACCAAGGAAGGTGTTCCTTGTTTCTGTGCCCTTCATTTCTTTCTTTTTTAATAATTACGATGTAAAGGTAAATTACATTATAGTAGGCATCAGAGACATCGGTTCATTGTTTTTATTATTATTTTTATTTTTCGAGATGGTGTCTCACTCTGTCGCCCAGTCTGGAATGCAGTGGCACAGTCTAGGCTCACTGCAACCTCTGCCTCCCAGGTTCAAGTGATTCTCGTGCCTCAGCCTCCCGAGTAGCTGGGATTACAGGCACGTTCCACCATGCCTGGGTAATTTTTGTGTTGTTTTTTAGTAGAGATGGGATTTCACCATGTTGGCCAGGCTGGTCTAGAACTTCTGATCTCAAGTGATCCGCCTGCCTTGGCCTCCCACAGTGCTGGGATTACAGGCGTGAGCCACCGCGCCTGGCCTGGTTCATTGTTTTTATACTTTCCTTGCTGCCTCCAAGCCATGTTCTCATTCAGCTTGTTTCCTCTCTGCTTCTTACTCTCCCCCGTGCTCAGCTAGGTGTGCCACTGTTGCTTCCTGTCTCAGAAACCCTCTGGTTACATGGGATTTCAAACAGCTGTCATGTTGAAATGACTGGGTTTCAGGGACCGGAAACTAATTCCTGTGAGTATTCTTTCCTCTGAGGTGCACCAGCCTTCTTGGCAGTTTAAGGCGACAGGAAAGCATAAAACATTAAGCTCATTTCCGTGATACCTCCACTTCTGAGGGTTTATGATCCATGATTCTTTGTAGTTGGCAGTGGGCACACATTCTTCCTTGGTGCTCTGCGGATAAACTGCCCAGTCCCGAGGCAAGACCTGCTTTAGAAGCAAAAGGATAATTTCTTTTAAGTCTACTCTGGCCAGAAGATAGAGCTGGCGTTTGTTGGGATATTTTTAATCTGCAGTAACTGAATTTATTTAACAGTACTATTCACACTAGCATTTTATACATTCTTTTATTCATTTAGCAAATACTTGTTGAGCTCTTGCAGTGAATCTCAGAGAGTGAATAGACAGACAACAAAACAGGTACAAATCTGTCCTCGTGTGGAATTTACAGTCTAGTGGAAGACCCTGAGGGCATGTTCAGTTTTACAGTTGCAGACTATATGCATGTAAAAGAGTAAATCTTTGTGATTGTAGAATGTTTCCTAGAACCCTTCATGGCACTCCTTTGAAGTTTGAGGACTAGGAAGTAGCTTCCCCTTGTTATCTTTCTTTTTTTAATGTTACAGATTAATTCATTCTTTGTATGCACAGACATCTCTTTGGTACCTATTAAGTGCCTGGCAGAAGGATAAGACATAGTTTATATGGAAATAAACTTGGTATACATGGCTGTAACACATTGTGGGTGATGCTGTAGTAGCAGTCAGAATTAAGAGCTCCAGGACCCTGAAGAGAGCTAATTCCTGCGTGGAGCCCTTGTCAAATGCTTTTTTGAAGAGGCTTCATTTGAGTTGGGCCTTCAGGAGTGAGTAGGAGTTCCTTTGTTTTAGGGTGGGAAGGAAGTCTAGGCAGAGATACAGTGTGAGCAAGGACATAAAAGTGGGCATGTACGTGGTGTCAGTGGCAGACTTGGAAGTGGCCACTAGATTAGAGCAAAGACTGCTTGGGAGGGAGCGGAAGGAGGTAGGGCAGGACATGCAGGTTGGATCCAGATTGTGAAGACCGTAGCTCTTTCCACAAATTTGTGAGCAGTGTTAGGTTAGGGACTGAGGCCTCTGTTGAACGAATGAGTGGGGAAGATGAGAAGCCATTTGAAGTTTCCAAGCTCAAGAATAACATCGTTAGCAAATGAAGACCTGAAGCACTGAGAGTTCTATGAAGGGTGAGCTTCATCTGACCATTGTGCAACTCTCTCCTCCCCATCCCAGAAAACGCCTTTTATTATCTGCCATTTATCAACTATCCAGAAGACTACTAGGAAACAAGAAAGGCTTCGAGCCAAGCAAGATGTCATGAAGTTCATCCATGCTTTTCTTACAGTGGAATAAAACCTACTTTGATTTGCTTTTAATTTATAAAGACTTTTTTTTGACAGTTTATCTAACTGGTTTTTAAGCCATTAGGAAATTAAATACAAGAAACCTAAGAGGCAAGAGTTGTTAAGTGGATGAATACAGGAAGACATGTTCTCAGAGGCAAGCAGTGTTAATTTTTATCTTAGAAGTGAATAAGGAGTTTCTACTGGTTTATGACAAGGAGAACCAAAACTCAAAAGTGAAACAATCTGGGGCATTTAGTGGAGGGCAAACACCATTGTCAACAAGCTAGCAATTTGAGGTTGCATTGTTAATCACAGCACAGTATGGTGTTTGGTATTGGTAATGATCATCAAGCCATGAAGAAGAGGTCAAGTTGTTGAGCATAAATGAAGTGAAAGTTCACATCTCTAGCAGAAAAGGGCAACTTCAGATGTCTCATTTAGGGGTTAGGAGGTATGTAAGAAGGTCTGAGGACAATATAAGAAGCTGCTTTCAGAGAATTTCTGTAGACAAATTCAAAGAAGAGGTTTTCTTCAGGGTGAAACACCAGTGAGGAATCTTTGCTTTAACTCAGGGAAGATTACTTAAGAGTGAGCTGCGAGAGAAGGTTGACTGTGAAACCTAGGAAGAGGAGCTGCGGCCGTCTGCATAGAAGATAGTAATAACTTGAAGCCGGCTGTAGGAGACTAAATCACATCAATTTATGGTACCTCTGAGTAGAAAACAGACTGATTGATTGTCTTTTAGCCTTGTTTTGTTTTTTGATTCTGATAGTCTGTTTTTGGAGGCTCTGGATCTACACTGTATGATTTGATCCTAGCTGTGAGTTTGCAAGCAAGTTACGCCTGTTTCCTTATCCATAGAATGACAATAAAGACAGTACCTACCTCTGAGGTTGTTTTGAGGGTTGAATGACTATGCTTAAGATTTTGAAGTGATGCCAGCATGAGCTGAAAATGTGCTAGCTATTTTTACATTTTATTTTATTTTGAGACAAGGTCTCGCGCTGTCACCCAGGCTGAAGTGCAGTGGTGTGGTCATAACTCAAGTCAGCGTTGACCTTCTGGGCTCAAGCAATCCTCCCCACCTCAGCCTTCCGAGTAGCAGGAACCACAGACATGTGCCACAATACCCAGCTAATTTTTAAATTGTTTTGTTGAGAGAGGTTTCATTCTGTTATTCAGGCTGGTCTCGAACTCCTGGGCTCAAGCAATCCTCCTGCCTTGGCCTCCCAAAGTTTTGGGATAATAGGCATGAACCACCATGCCTGGCTTATTTTATTTTAATGATTGATAAATAGGATGTGTATTTTAAAAAAAACCCTCAAATTATATTCAGAATGTTTAACATAGTAGGGAAGATGCCACCAGTAGATACAAAACAAAAACTAACAGATATATTCTATGTTAGATTTCAGTTAGCAATGAGTAAATCAAAAAAGAAGGCAGTTTCTCAAATCTAGAAGGGTTTATTACGTAGACAGTGCCAAAGGTGCTAGGTAAATTAGGTTTTACTCTTATTTTTAAGGAAAAATGACTAACAAAGGTGCTTTTATTTAATTTAAAGTGCCATCCAAGGTATATAATTTGGTAGGAATGTATTTGACTTTCTGGGAAAGTTAATGTGAAGATACTGTGTTGACCTCACTGATTCAGTTTACTTAGCAAGTTGTGGGCTATTGGCAGAGGCACCATGTATACCTGTTTGTAAAACGGTGTCTTCAGAGTTGTGTGGAAATTAAATATCTTGTAAATCAGATAATACTCCAGGGAGTTTTGCTGGTAAGGAATTATAAGAGTTTAAAGGGACTCTCAAATATGTATTCAGTTTCTATGGAATGCCCTTTTACAGTTTCTGTTTCCATAAACATATTTTGCTTTCCTAAAGCAAGATTTACCCAAAATGTAAAAGTGTGCAAAGAGTTGGCCCTTCCTCCTAATCATAGATGTGTGTTTTAAAATATTTTAAATGTATTTCCTTCTTGGTGATGTATATGTTGGACTGGTTTCTTGGGTCTGGGCATTATTTATACTCAAGAACAGTTGTTGCCACGTGATTGGAAAAGCGCTATTGATGTCATTCTCATCCCATATGCTTTGACAGCAAAGGAGTTAGCTGTATCTTCCCTTGTCTTCCCACTCTAGAATGAGAAAGACAAGAAAGCTCCCTAATTTGATTTGTATGGAGGGGGAGTGGGTAGGAAAGTCCACTTCAGCTGAAAAGGCTGACCTGTAGGTATTTAAAACATAAATTTAGGTCTGTTATTTTCACATACACTTGGTAACTCAGACTGGTCTGAATATAAAGTAGAAATAGCTAAGAACCATTTGTAATGAATGCAACTCTTATTTGTTTTTAATGGTGTTTTAAGGACTTAAGGGTATTAGAACTGACAACAGTTTATTCAGTTAAGCACAATTTTATCTGGAGGCTTGCTTGCACAGTTAATTTGATCAGGTTGTAGTAAGGCTATATAACAGTTTTTTTCAATTATGATTTAAAATAATGTTTATATTGTACTAAGAGAAAAGATAACAGAAAACAACTCAAGGAAAAAATAATCTGCCAAATATGTGTCTTTCCAGATAAAAATTTTGTTATTAAACTAGTTTGGTGGATCACACACAGGGATGCGGACAGATGCAATATATATTATAAAGAAAGAAGTACAATGGCTTTTTGCCAGGTGTACCTGCAAACCCATTTTAGCACTAATTCACATAACATAGACTAAAAAGTAATATGCTAATGTCTTAATTTAATATTCTGACTGATTTTGTTCAGTTAAAACCATTCTGTAAAACTTAAGGCAAGTCCACGAATCACAGTATACGGGTTATCTTTTTGGGAAAATCATTTGATGTATGGTGGTAACTCCAAGGAACCTCATGTTTTTACTTGTGTAGAACGACCATTCACTTGGGTTGGTTGGAAGTAGGAAGAAGTCAGAGGAGGTCATATTGGCCCAAACATAAATTGTAAGCCCACTTGATGTGATTTAGGAAGCAGGCCACCTACCATCTACAAGCTGGCTGAAATACAAATGCTCTTAGGTTTTCATGTTTGTTCCTTTATTCAGCAACTCTCTGTAGATCTCACTGTATGTGAGAACAAGATGGGCTTGGCTCCTGCCCTTAGAAAAGTTCCTTGCTAGTTGAAAAAACAATTCAGCAATTATATTACTGTTTGTTACAGTGATGCTGAGTACCGGGAGAGATGTCAGAGGTGGGTTGTAAGAAAAGGGAGTCTTTGCAGTACACTTTTTTTTTTTTTTGAGACGGAGTCTCGCTCTTTCGCCCAGGCCGGGCTGCAGTGGCGCTATCTCGGCTCACTGCAACCTCTGCCTCCCGGGTTCACGCCATTCTCCTGCCTCAGCCTCCCAAGTGGCTGGGATTACAGGCTCCCGCCACCGCGCCCGGCTAATTTTTTGTATTTTTAGTAGAGACGGGGTTTCACCATGTTAGCCAGGATGGTCTCGATCTCCTGACCTCGTGATCCGCCTGCCTCGGCCTCCCAAAGTGCTGGGATTACAGGCTCCCGCCACCACGCCCGGCTAATTTTTTGTATTTTTAGTAGAGACGGGGTTTCACCGTGTTAGCCAGGATGGTCTCGATCTCCTGACCTCGTGATCCGCCTGCCTCAGCCTCCCAAAGTGCTGGGATTACAGGCATGAGCCACTGCACCCGGCCTGCAGTACACTTTTATACATGGAAATCTGAAGTGTGAAAGAGCTGTGCCAAGAGAATGAGGAGGATTTCCAGTGAGAGGCACGAATATGTGCCAAAGACCTATGGTGGGACCAACACCCTGCAGCTGGTGCAGAGAGAACAAAGGTGGAGGCTGGTGAGGCAGGAAGGAACCTGGTCAAGCAGGGCCTTATGTGCTTTATTACTTTTGGGCCTTATAATGCATTAGGGGAAGTTGAAGTTTTTAAGCAGGGTAGTAACATGATGAGATTTGTGTCCCATGAAAAAACGGAAGGATCCCATCCACTCACTGTTGCCCCTAGAGCACCTCTCCTCTCTTTCCTCTTTCCCTTCATTCTGCTGCCAAATACCTTGAAAACCTTCACTTCCTCCCACCCACTCATTCTTTAACCCTTTGCAAACTGACTGCCACCTCTACACTCATGAGACTGCTTCCTTGAGGTCACCAGTGACCTTCTTGCTGTCACATTTTAACACCTTTTTTCTGCCCTAGTTATCTAAAACAGTTCATGCTGCTGAAAACCTCCTTCCTGGCAGATGTCCCTCAACCCTACTGGTGCCTGGCTTCTGAGACACAGTAAGGACTTCCTTTCTCTGTATGTCTCTGTTCTCTTTTTGAGTATCGTCTCTTTCTCTCACTTCTCCTCCTCCCCCAATGAGGATGTTTCTAAAGGTTCTGTGAATGGTAGATTTATATGTTGCGAAAACTGTGCAGATGACCCACTTTTGCCTGAGCTCCAGTTGTCCCTTTTTATTTATTTTCCTTCCTCTCTGCTCCTTACCTCCCCCAAATACTGGTTGCACAGTTTCAGACACTATTCAAGGCACTGGGGACACTGGGGAACAAGAGAGGAAAGGTCCCTGTCCTTAAGTAGCCAACAGTCTAAGATGTTAAACACATTGATAAACAAGATAATTTCAGGTGGTGATAAGTGCAATAGAGAAAGTTAGCAAGGTATGGGTAGTGAATGCTTAGGTTGGGGGGTTGGGAGAAGGGCTCCTGGTCTGAGAAAGTGACATTTAAATTCAGCCCTGAAGGATGAGTAATGAGTAGAAGCCAGGCAGTGCAATGATCTGTAAGAAAAATGTACTAGGCAGAGGGGATAGCCAGTGCCACGCCCCTTCAGTGGGATGAGCTTTCCATTTCACACTGGGCTGCCTTGCTGTGTGTCCTTTGACACCTCCCATTTAACTGCTCCAAGATTGATACCGTCTTTCTTTCTGACCCATCATCATAATAATGGATGATTTCTCTGTTTTGGTTAATACCGTCTCTATCCACCACCCTGAAAACCCTAGGCCAGCAGTCTGAAAACTTTGTGAGGGGAAAGACAGTAAACATTTTCAGCTTTGAGCACAGTACAGTCTGTCACAAGTACTGAATCTGCTATTGTAGCACCAATGTAGATATAGACAGTATGTAAACCAATGAGTGTGGCTGTGCTCCAATACAACTTTATGTATGGACACTGACATTTCTATTTTCACTTGTAACAAAATATTTTTCTTTTTTTTCCAACCATTTAAAAATGCGTCAGCTTATTGGCGTTCAAAATGGGCAGCGGCAGGCCAGATTTGGCTCACAGGCCAGGATCTGCTGCCCCCTGCCTTAGACTAACCCTGATCTCTCCCTTTGCTTTTGCCCCACCCCACCTCCTCCCTAGGCCCTTTCAGGGCTCCCTCCCTGGTATTCGTATTCAGCACCTTTGCCACTCGCTGTCCCCACTGCTGCAGCCTTCCTTTGGCTTTCTTTACCTGGGTGATCTATCATTGCGCACTCTATGTCCATGTGCAGACATTATTTAGCTCCCACTTTAAGTGAGCACATGCTGTATTTATCTTTCCGTGTCTGACTACTGATCACAAGCCTTTAGAAGCCCCTATTGCCTATAGAAAACAATCCAAACTCCACCTTAGTCTGATAGTAAAGGTTCCTTATGCTAAAACCTCAGTTTAACTTTCTAGCATACTCTCCTATTTCTCTCCTTCTACACTGTCCCAAAATAGATTATTCATTATTTTGCTTTCAATGTTTCCCATGCTTTTCTGTGTTCTTGTTCATTTAATGCACTTTTCCCGTGCTTCATGCTTTCCATCTGTCAGAATTCCATAGCTTTCAAGGCCCCTTCAAATGTCCCTGGTCTCTTCCTCTGCCCCTCCCTACCCCAACAAGCGGTGTGTATACACATAGTCCCCTGGTGGTGTGTGATCCTCTGTTCCAGTACGTCGTGTTCTGGTCTGTGCTTCTGTTCTTTTGCAGACACACCTCCACTATGCAGTCACGAGGCCCTTGAGGACAGGAACCATCTCTTTCTTCGTAATGTCACCTTTCCCAGTAGGCACACGGCTGTTTATTGAATAAACACAGATCCTGTGTACACTTGCTCAAATTGTACAAAATTTGCAGGAGATTCAAAGTGGAAACATTTTACTGAAGGGAATTCGGTCAAATTACATCCTTGATTCTTGTATAGGTGGTACAGTTTTGTAAAGGATCATCAAGTATTTTGGAAGACTCATTGGCTCTGCCAGTGGCTTAGATAAATAAATTCGGGCAAGTTATTGATCTCTCTCCTCAGAGAAAAAAATTGATGTGTTTTCTTTTATATAAAGAGAAAAAGAAAAAGAAAAAATGTGATCTGTAACTCATTATGTTTCCTTGCTAGAAAGCTCAAAGATACGTTATTTGCCTGTTTTTAGTTGCTATCCAGTTTTCTTACAATAATCTCTCTGCCTCAGTCTCCTCATCGGATTACTTGTCACATGTGTTAAATCCTTCTTTTAATTGATGGTTCTGTTGTATATATCTTTTATATTTATATAGGTAGCCTCAACTCTCCTTTTTTTGGAGAGTGGTAATAGAAATATAAATAATAAATAGTTGCCCTTTGGTTTCCCCAACCTGTGGTGACAACAAGATAATAAAACAGATACTTATCCTATATAAAACAGGCAAAAAGGCTTTGGGACAATATGGGAATCATGATGTGGGTTTGGTGGAAAACGAGCAAAGCACCTTGTAAGGATCTTGTAGTCTGAAGATTAAGGTGTGCTTGGGGTAGGTCATGTCCTCCCAGCTCTGTGGGATTTGTAGCACATCATCCCACGTGGGGAGGAGAGTGGGCACGGGCATGAGACTATTTATTAGCTTTTACTGTGTCAGTTGTTGGGTTATGTATTTTGCATTTGATATTTAATTTAATCTTTGTAATAGCCAGAGACTTGGATCTTATTGGCATCATTTTCCAGATGAGCAGAGCTAATAAATGGCAGAACTAGAATTCAAATCTGAGGCTCTCTGGCATTGAAAACAACAACAAAACATGTTTCTACTCTTCAAAGAGACTTTTTCTCCTGGATTGTCACTTGTCCTTTTCTTTCTCTTTCTCTCCTGACATTGGTATTTAAAATGAGAACCTAGGAAACTTGTTTCTTCTAACCTAATGTTTTTGAAGCAGTTTTAGGTCCTTGGAGATGTGCCTTGATGTGTCTATACAATATAGTATTTGGTATTGTTAGATATAAAGAAGACCTGAGGCCGAGTGCGGTCGCTCATGCCTATAATCCCAGCACATTGGGAGGCCAAGGCAGGCAGATCACTTGAGGTCAGGAGTTCAAGACCAGCCTGGCCAACACAGTGAAACCCCATCTCTTCTAAAAATACGAAAAAAAGAAAAAAAGAAATTAGCTGGGCGTGGCAGCACGCACCTGTAATCCCAGCTACTCAGGAGGCTGAGGCGGGAGAATTGCATGAACCTGGGAGGCAGAGGTTGCAGTGAGCTGAGATGATGCCACTTCACTCTGGCCTGGGGGACAGAGCAAGACTCTGTCTCAAAAAAATAAAAAAAAATTTTTTGTTTTTTAGGTTTTGGGGCAGGGCAGTTGGGTTCATTTAGCTGTCCTAAAGTAAGTTTGGTATATTTTTGTGAAATATTTAGTTTAAAAGTTGTATTGCTGTTTTTGACATTTTAAGTCAGACGAGATTTACTGTTGCTTTATATTACCTGACTGTTATATAACACGTCCTGTGTTTACCTGTGTGGGTCTGAGCGTACCAGATGTGGTGTTATGAAAAGCGTGCTGGACTTGGAACCAGGACGAGCCGATGTGAGGCTGTCCTCTGCCACTTACTAGCTCTGTGACTTTGGGCTCATAATTGAGCCTTATTTTTTTCTCAATTGTAAATGGACTGTGTAGACCTGTCACAGAGGAAGTTTTGTGAAGCTTAAATGAGGTAGAACCTACAAAATAGCTTCAGACAGTGCCTGGGATCCAGCAGCATTTAACGAAAGTTACCCACTGCTACCCCAAATACTGAATATTGCCAGAAAATCTGTAAATGATTACATAATGTTTACACCTTTATAAGTGGTAACTTTGTAGGTAAATATTATTCAAGTTATGAACCTCTGATTTAGGAAACCTCCTTATGCAAATGGTTGGCTTCCCACTACAGAAACATCAGTAATAAGATAGTGGTTTAGACTCCCAAATCTGCGACCAGTCTGTATGTTTGAATCCTGGCTTATGATCAGTCATAGCTGAGTGATCGTGGGCAAGTTATTCAACCGCTTTGTGCCTCAGTTTCCTCATCTGTAAAAGGATAATAGGATAATAATGGCTCCTACCTTATGGGATTGTGAAAATTAAATGAGAATGTGTGTTTATGTATGTGTGTGTTTGTCTGTATTTGTACCAATACCCTATTGGAGTTTACCACTATTATTTACTGTTCCTCTTCTCTTTTCCTCCCTGTGTAAACAGCCCCATAAGTTATCTGGAAGTTCCCTAGTATCTCTTTCTTATCTTCTGTTACTGGAAGACTCCTTTTTCTTCTGTCTTTGGTCCCGTGTTAGTTGCTTCATTTTAATTGAGGCTATCTTGTTCTAGTGTGCAATACATTCTCATTGATCCCTTCCCTATACATTTCTTGCCTAGACACTTTGAAAAAGTGTTTTTGTTTTGGGTGGAAACTGAACATTTTCTAATAATGACTCATAAACCCAGCCAGGTGTTAAGGATACTCCTATATCAAGGAAAATGAAAGCTATACAGTCTCAAGCAAATGAAAAAACTATATAAAATGCCTAATTGTTTATTGAATGTTTATGCCAGAAATTCAGATCAATAAACTGAGCCTTAGAATGGTTGATGTTTAAAGGTACCCGGCTTTTAAGTGGAGGAACCTAGATTTGATCAAAGCCAGACCAACCTGGCCCTTGGTTTCACAATCCCTAAGCTCACTTGCCTTAATAAGGCCTCTAGGCACCACCTCAAGACTCCATCTGCACCCCTTATGAACCTACACTCTGCTTTCCCTCACACTCCTGCTTTTGAGATGGCAAAATCACTTATGGTTCTTTTTGGCTGCAGTAATGTTTCCTGCTATTTTGGCAGGGCAAATGTATAGCGTTTCAGATACTTTATGTGTTAAATTGGCCTTTTGTGTGTTGGCTTGGAAACTTAACCACATTTACTGCAGTGTGTCTGGGGGAAATGTGCGCCAAGTTTCAAACAACCAACTGGGAATGAATTCTTTAAAAGGCAGAACTTGTGCCTGGCGCGGTGGCTCACGCCTGTAATCCCAGCACTTTGGGAGGCCGAGGCGGGCGGATCACGAGGTCAGGATTCGAGACCATCCTAGCTAACACGGTGAAACCCTGTCTCTACTAAAAATACAAAAAATTAGCTGGGCGTGGTGGCGGGCGCCTGTAGTCCCAGCTACTCGGGAGGCTGAGGCAGGAGAATGGCGTGAACCCGGGAGGTGGAGCTTGCAGTGAGCAGAGATCGAGCCACTGCACTCCAGCCTGGGCGACAGAGCGAGACTCCGTCTCAAAAAAAAAAAAAAAAAAAAAAAAAAAGGCAGAACTTGTTTATAGCTAAGGGCTGCTGGTGTATTTATTTGAGTGTGTTACCTGCATTGGTATGCTTTAAGGGCTTCTGTGTCATGCCTGAAGCGACATATTCTGGAATGTATACATTATTGCACTTCCTTGGTTAATTGTCCTCACTGTTGCTGACCTTTGTACACTGAACCACTGCCATTGTGTTTGGCACGTAGTAGGAACCCTGTGAAGAGACTTATTTAGTCCTCTTTAAAGATCAATGGTTCTTTATACTTTTCTGTATGCTTGATATATTTCAATTTAAAAAAATCAGTGGAGTAAGGAAGGATCAGGCAACATTGAAAGAGGAATATTGCCACACAGTTGCCAATCTGATGAAAATACTGCTTATGCTAGGTCGAATTGAGACTCTGAAAGGTATTTGGGAGCCAGACACTTATGAGAATACATATTGCTTTGAATATTGGAAGAAAGCAAAGCAGTCAAACGAATTTCTTCTTGGCTTGGAGTTTTGTTTACTTTTCTCAGGTTAGAATTGATAGTTCTAATGGTTTTAAGAAGTCATGGAGAACAGGCCCACCATGAACCTGAATATTTGGTTCTGAGTTTATAGCCATTGTCTAGTAAATACTGTTTAAGGGTTATTAGCACACAATGATCATAAAATCTTGTAATACTTTTAAGAGGTGTAAGAAATTGAAGTCACCTGAGAATACCTCCTTCTGATTTTACAGTGGAGAAATAAAGGAATCAGAGTGTTTAAGTGACTTGCCTAAGACCTGTCTGGGCCACCACTTTAGGGATTGTTTTTTAATCCATCATCATGCTGGATTTGTTACTGAGCGATAAAATGGTACAGAAGGTAGTCACATAGAGAATTTAGGAAATAAAATACTCATTTGTTCAAATACTTCTCAGGAGGTTGAGATATATCTATGGGTAGAAGATTTAGAGGTTATTTAAGAGAAATTAGGATTGTCTAGGGTCCACCCCTTACCGTGGGGATTCTGAAGGGCAGTGTCTTATGAGAGAAGAGAGATCAAGTTACTTGGTGAGTGAGATGTTCTAGGTGCTCAGTCCAAGGGCTGGCCGGATGGCTAGCACTGAACTTGTGTGGATGTTTGTTCAAACTAATCAGCCTACGATTGGTTTGTTCCTAAGAATGATAAAACTTTGTTCTAGTTTTTTAAATTGTAATAATAATTCTGTAAGCATTTAAGAAGAATGCTTTCTTTAATGTTGACTTTTTTTTTTTTTTGAGACAGAGTCTTGCTCTGTCTCCCGGGCTGGAGTGCAGTGGCATGATCTCGGCTCACTGCAACCTCTGCCTCCGGGTTGAAGTGATTCTGCTGCCTCAGCCTCCAGAGTAGCTGGGACTACAGGCGCCCGCCACCACGCCAGGCTAATTTTTGTATCTTTAGTAGAGACGGGGTTTCACCATGTTGGCCAGGATGGTCTCGATCTCCTGACCTTGTGATCCGCCCGCCTTGGCCCGCCAAAGTGCTGGGATTGCAGGTGTAAGCCACTGCGCCCGGCCTAATGTTGACATTTTTTACTCCTACACGAAGCTGTTATGTTTTTACTTATTCTTTTCTAGTCTTTATCGATAATGTATAAATATGTACTGTATTATGTAATTTTAATTGCTGGATACATATACCTGTCTTCTTAAACTTTTTTATTCTATTTTAATAGAGTCTTTGTAATAATCATTTTTGAATGTAGTATTTAGTTGTGTTAATTTATTTTATTTTTCTTAAGTAATCTATGATAGAATAAGCTATTTCTGTTTTTACAGAATATTGTAGGGAACCTTTAAAAACACACAATTAGCATTTTTCTGCTGCTAATTGCTTTATTAGGATGAATGCATAGATTTACTGTGTCAAAGGTTATAACCAATTTTATGACCTTTAGTATGTAATTCTGGAAAATTAAACAGAAACTTAAGTCACAAATGGCCTTAAACATTGGCAGGAAGCTGCTGATTTCCTGACTGTTGTACAGGCAACCCACTGGCAAGTAACATGTCAAATACGGACCATTATAATTCCTTATCATAAAGGCAGATACAGTTTTCTTCAAAGGACATGAAAATAATTTATTTGCTTTTGATGCCTTTTCTCACTGGGAAATGATATTCTGTAAGTGCACAATGTGCACTTGAATGTGAAGTTGTAGTGAGGATTTTTATTTTTATTTTTGTACAACTGGGTTATAATAAAGGAAACAAACTTTATGTCACTTCTAGGCTGATGAAATACCCTAGTAAATGCAGTACATTTTTGCATGACTAATAGGAGTAGGGGCGGGGCTTTGACTTTTACATCAGTCAGGTTAAAATCACCTGTTTGCTGGTTTCCCTAAGACAGTGATGTATTGCCCTTTGCTTAACTTTTTGTTAGTTGGGAAATGTATTCTACTTTGATGACTGGTGTTTTTCTGCTTAGTGGGGATATTTTCTGTGAAGCCAGGATAAACAATTCTATAATGCAAATCTGAACACATCACTGCCTTGCTTAAAATCTTTCACTAGCTGCCCTTTGCTGTTAGGATTAAGTCTATCCAAACTCCTTAGCATGGTATGAAGAGCCTCTCATGGTCACAGCCTTCCTTTCCTTCCATTCCCTTTCTTGCAGTCAGCACTCCAGCCCTTCTGACCGTTTTTGTTTCTTAAATATATTGTGATCTCTCTTACTTCTAGGACAGTAAGTTCTGTAGATTCCTTGGTGAATATACAGCCTTAGAGACTGCAAGAATTCTGAGCAGTATTTCTAAGGGTTAGATTTCCCTCCAAGTACCATTAACATTCTGGGCTGCCACATTTCAAGATTTACTCTGGAGATGTGAGGTGGAAGCCATGTTAAATGGCTGGAAGATAGTCCTGTGGGAGAGATAAGCTTTATCATTTTATTTTTACCAGGTGTGTTGCAGTGAGTGTTGAAAAGCCTTCCACAAAAAATAGAGTCTTCTTTTTTCCCCTGTTATGATTAAATTACTGGCTGCTAATCTTTCATGATGAAGAGAGAAGCCCAAAAGCAATTTCAGAACATGGATCTCATGCTGATTAGTGGTTATAATGATTTCACATGGATAGTATTCCTTGTGTTTGAAAGTTATTTTATTGGTGAGATCTGCGAAATCAACAAGGCTAGTTTATCTTTGCAAAAACTTGTGACAAGCTTATAGCTACACTCCTTGGGGAACACAGTTCACATTTAAGATTTTGCCTCAGGCACCTCTGTTCAGCTTTATGCTGTGTCTTTCAGATTCTAGATATGAAACTGGTTTGACATTAATACCTAGCATGATAGCTTTTTAGATACACTCTTTGCTTGCATTAAGTCAGACAAAATCTGCAGAGCCTAGCACTATGCTCAGTATATGAGCTGCTTTGTCTGTGTATCTTGGTTCATACGAGAGTCAGTATACCTAGGCAGTCAGTAAACAGTCATTGATTAGATTTGGATTTAATAAATTTAAGCCTGGCCAATAATTAGTGGGAACCAAACCAAGGCAACCTATAGTAAATGGAGCATTGCATCGAAGATCTCAGTTCTTCAAATAAGGCACAGATAAAGGATCTCTATGTATTACCCTCCTGTTCTTGGATTTAATTGTTCAAATGTTTCACCCAAAACCTCAATTTCAGGCTAATATTTAGGCATTCTCTTCTATGTTATACCTCAGGTAATTTGGAAACATTTGTATTTCTAAATCTATTTCTGTATAAACTTTCTATGAATTGTATATCTCTCCCTCTCTATATTATATAGTATAGATTTAAATTGAAAAATTCATTGTTCCCTTCAGAGGTATAAGAGTATTCTGGCCCAGCTGGAAATGTTATGTTAAATTTGAAATTCTACTACCTAAATTTTGGACTTGTGTACTACTGTTTTAGTAGAGCTATATGATACTGCAGATAAAGTTCCAAAACAATCTGTGGTGAAAAAATTCTTGTTCAGGGACCTGTTGTTCAGTGAAACTGCTTTTCTGTTGGGTACCTGTATTCTTTTTTGGTTAAGTTAAAAAAAAAAAAGGATTTATTGGCCTATGTCTTAAGGGGGTTGGGGGAGGACCCATGGTTCATGGACTCCAAGGATATAAAGGCATTCCCCTTCTCAGTAAGAATCCTGCTATTCTGCTTCCTGTTCATTGGTCTTATGTTCTGCCACAATGAGGTTTTATCCACATGATTTGAATAGAGAACAGTTGGCTGCTCCAAGATGATGTCTGTTTATCAAATCTCCCTGAAAGACTTGTGTTTGTGTCACCCTTGGTCTGGAAGGTGGACAGTGCAGGCATGGATGGGGGTCAGGTGGGACACTGTGATCTGTAGTGTTAACAGAATCACCTGGTATGAGAAGTTTCTAGAGAGATAAAAACAGATGTCAGCTGTAATATATTGAACTGGCAGTTAAAAAATTTTTTTTAAGTTGTGGAAAATAAACAACATAAAATTTACCATGTGAGCCATTTTTAAGCTTACAGTTCAGTAGTGTTAAGTACATTCACGTTGTTTTACATCTAATCTCCAGAACTCTTTTCATCTTGCAAAACTGAAACTCTGTACCCAGTAGATAATAACTACCCATTGCTTTTTCCTGCTAGCTCCTGCCAACTACCATTCTACTTTTTCTATCTATGGATTTGACTACTCTGGCTACTTCTTATAAGTGGAATTGTCCATAATGTCCTTTTTCACTAGCATGTTTCACTTAGCATAATGTCCTCAAGGTTTATCCATGTTTTTGCATATGATGGAATTTCCTTCCTTTTAAAGGCTGAATAATATTCCATTGTATGTATATACAACATTTTGTTTATCCATCTATGTTGTTGGATGCTTGGGTGGCTTCTACCTTTTGACTGTTGTGAATGATATTTCTATGAACATGGGTTTGCAAATATCTCGTTGAGACCCTGCTTTCAGTTGTTTTGTGAACTGCCACTTTTTTGGATAACTCTCATTTGAAACTATGTTCATCTTTTTTTCCTTAAAAACTGCCCGTAATTAACTCTTTTTGGTGCCCAGTAAGTGGAAAATTCAGAACAGCAAAATGTTTGCTTTATTCAACAAACACCTTCTCAAAATCTAGAAAACAAAGAACATTAGAGAACACTGTGGAAGTAAGTATGATTGTGGGTAGCTGGCTGACGTAGAAGATTTTAATTTTTACTATGATGCATAAATATGTACCTTTGCAAGTTTTAGCAGACAAGAGCATGAGGTCCGATCATAGACCTATGACTTTGGGGAAGTTACCTAAAGCCTTGCCAGCCACCATTTACTTATTTGCAGAGAGGGGGTTGGTTATACCTGCTAGGGTTAATTAGACTATTAAATGAGATAACATGTGCAGAACACATAGCCAGTGGTAGGTGGTCAGTAAGTGGTTTCCTCTCTCCTGTATTCTTCCAGGGGAATAGAAGACGACCACTGTGTGAGGATCTCTGTATTGTTCAGCTCTGATGCTCCTCCTACTGTGGGTGGTAGATCTCCCTCTTAACAAGGCTTTCTTGGCAAGCATTTTTAAACTTTACATTTTCTTATTTTTTTATTATTGTTATTGATATTTTGTTTGGCATAGGTACTGTATTGACATGGTTCAGAAAGCAAACCAGGGCCGGGTGCCGTGGCTCATGCCTGTAATCCCAGCACACTGGAAGGCCGAGGTGGGTGGATCACTTGAGGTCAGGAGTTAAAGACCAGCTGGCCAACATGGTGAAACCTTATCCCTACTAAAAATACAAAAATTAGCTGGGCGTGGTGGCAGGCGCCTGTACTCAGGAGTATCCCAGCTACTCAGGAGGCTGAGGCCAGAGGATGGCTTGAACCCTGGAGGTGGAGGTTGTAGTGAGCTGAGATCACACCACTGCACTCCAGCCTGGGCGACAGAGCAAGACTCTGTGTCAAAGAAAAAAAAAAAGAAAGCAAACCAGTATAACAGGGTACAAATTGAGAAGGTTTGCTCCCATTTTTGTTTGTCCGTCAACTTCGTTCCCTGTTTCCTTAAGTGCTCTTCTCATCTCTAGGACCTATTAATGTAAGTATATATTCGTATTCTTTTTTTTATTGTACATAAGGTAAATATATACTATATACTATTCCACCCTTTGCTTTTTTCATTTTACCATATATCCTCCTCTCTTTCCTTATTAGTACATCAAGTATTTTCTCGTGTGAATAGACCATGACTTATTTAACCAGTCCCCATGTAAGGGACATTTTGTTTGCTTCTGCACTTTTGCTGTTATAAATAGTGCTATTTGTGTAACTTTGTATGTAGAAGGTCAGATAAATTCCCAGAAGTGGAATTGCTGGGTTAAAAGATAATTGCATTAATAATTTTTATTAATATTCTCAATTGCTCCCCATGGGGTTAGTACCTTTTTCCATGCCTTGAAATTTACATATTTTTGTGCATTGCAGACACCTCTCACCCCTTGCTGTATACCTTCTTTTGAACTGCCATCTTGTTAACATGGAGAGAACTGGCAAGTGCAGGCGATTCCTTCTTGTGTTTCGTAAGGGCTAGTGGACTGTTGGAGTGCTTTCCAAGCAGGTGCCAGGGTTTGAGATTGTAGTGTGATATGCGACTAGGGGTTCTGCCCATCCCGATGTGCTCCTGTTCCCGTCTCAGGACCTGAGGATGGAATGGCTGAGTGTGTTGTGAGCCCAAGGTGCCAAGTGCTTCTCGGGGGAGAATCAGTTGCTCTGTGCATTAAAGCAGTATTGGCTGCTGCCTCCCTTCCTTGGAAGTTTTTGTTCTGTTTTTTTAATTTCATAACTTTTTACAAAAGTTATTCCTATTTATTGAAGACTTAGAATCCAGAGAAAAGACAAAAATCACTTGGACTCTCACAACCTTTGTTAATATTTTCACGAATATCCTCTCAATCGTGTGTGTATCCCCAACATAAATGGTGGTTATATACTGCATAATGTTTCATAACCTTTTTTTCCATTTGCTAGTGTATCATGACTATTGTAACATCTTTCAGTAGTGATATACCCCTGCCCCCAACACATGCACATGTTTTGTGTAGATTTCTATTGGGTGGCTTCACCGTGATTCTGTGTTCCTGGATGAACATTTATGTTTGTCTTGTTAGTCAACAACCCTACGATGAAAATCCTTCTGGCTAAATCTTGTATGTTATTATTGTTTGCTTAGAATACATTTCTAGAATTAGCAAACAATAATAACATACAGGAATTAGAACTTCTAGGTCAAAAGACATGTACACATTGCTCTCCAAAAGTGACATATTATTTATATTCCTAAATGAGAGTACCACTGTCATCATACTCAATTTGTGGATATAATAATTTTTTAAAAATTTCCAATTTATTAGTAAAAAGTGATAAATCTATCTTTTACTCTGTAGATATTTAATTACTGGTACATTTAAACTTTTTTTTTTTTTTTTTTTTTTGAGACAGAGTCTTGCACTGTTGCCCAGGCTGGAGTGCAATGGTGCGATCTCGGCTCACTGCAAGCTCCGCCTCCTGGGTTCATGCCATTCTCCTGCCTCAGCCTCCCAAGTAGCTGGGACTACAGGCACCTGCCACCACACCCGGCTAATTTTTTGTACTTTTAGTAGAGACGGGATTTCACTGTGTTAGCCAGCATGGTCTTGATCTCCTGACCTCGTGATCCGCCTACCTCGGCCTCCCAAAGTGCTGGGATTACAGGCGTGAGCCACTGCGCCTGGCCTAAACTTTTTTTTTTCAAGTTTGAGAACTCATTTTTTTGATGTGGATTGCCTAGTCAAGCCCTTTGCTCATTTTATTACTGGCGTGTTTGTCTTTTTTTTTTTTATTTATTAAAGCTACATATGTTAAGGATATTAGTTTTCTGTCACATATGGTACAAATATTTTTCCTCAAGTTTACTTATATATTAAGAACCTTTTGTTATAGAAGTTTTATATTTTCATGAACTCACATCAATCACTCATTTCTTTATAAAGGCTTCTGCTTTTGGTGTCATGTTTGAGAGACCTTTTGATGCCTCTAATTCTACAAATATTTAACTCTTAGACTTAATATTTGGTATATTTGTCATTTGAAATGATAGGATGTTTATTTTAGTCTATGATGTAAGAGGGATTCTAATTTTATTATTTTCTCTGACTATCCAGTTGTCCTACCACAAAAAATCATCATCTCCCCACTAACTTGAAATCCATGTTTTTACAAATTGCTTTTTTGTTTTTTAACACATTCGAAAATTTACACTAAAACTCTATAAAAAGGGCATTAGAGTCACAAGGTCCTATCCCTGGACTGTTTTCAGGCAGTTGATGCCAGTGAGACATTGAAGAGGTGGTCTAACCTCTTCTTAGACTTGGTTTCTTCTGGGGATTCACACCTGACCACCAATCAGGGTGTTATGGTCATCTGATGAGGTAATAGGTATCAATTCTGAACCATTATATGGGAAGTAATCTTTATAGTGCTACTAATTAGGAGAGCCCAGGTATTCCTGAGGAACTATAACCATAGTCAAAATTTGATATAATAAAGTTTAGTTATTGTCTTTTGGAAGAATTAGGAAAACTAAAGAAATAACTTCTCTGACTTTTGAGTTATTTCCCATTAGCCAAATAGGGCCTAATTGTAAATAATAAAAATGGGCCTGTTTTAATTATTTATCTTGACATGGATTAAATATAGTATTTAATTTCCTTAATGATTAAATATAGACAGCAAATGTAATGCTGTACTTTTCACATGACGCAATTCATTTGGCCTTTTTCTTTTTTTAAAAAAATTAAGACAGTTACTTTATTTAGAACAGGAAAGTGGTGTAAGCAACTGAGAGTGTGCCCTGTAATATGAGAGGTTCTTCCCTCGTTCTACTTCCCACCTTAAAATATAATTTTAGGAGAAAAAAGTATCTTATATTTGGTTAATTATGTTATCTACGATTACACCTTTTGCTAAGGCAGGCATGGCATTTGCTGATGTTTGGCTTGAAGTCTAAGAATATTGTCCAGATAGAACATGCTAAATTGTTACATTTGAGTTAATGTTGAATACTTGAACTAACATAGGGATGCCAGACCACTACTCTTGATTTAATTAGAGATTTGTACACATTTTCAGTTTTTTCCATGTAAGATCAGTTTTATTGTTCCTTTAAAAATATTCTGATGAAATAATCTTGCAAAGGAAAGATAACCTAGCATCAAGTCTGCGATATAAAAACAAAAATAAAATGATTTTCTGATCAGTTATCATGTTTATTACCTTTACAAATAGTGTATTAGTCCTTTAGAGAGCCCCACTATGCTGCCTGTGCCAAAAGTGTCATGTATTGTCCTTGAGTATCAAAGTGGTTCATACCGGTTATCTAGCAAAGGGCCAGATTGTCTCTGCATAGTACTTTTCATCCAGAGTGAAATGATGATAAATTCCCACACGAAGTATATGTATATCTTTTTCTCCCTGGCAATTCAGATCCATGTGTCCTCTATATCTTTTATGTCAAAATACCTACTTCCATCCAAGATATATCGAATTTCATCATTCAAATGTAAATGTTTCTCATAAGACATCATCTTTTCCTCTAATTTGGTAATTTATCTTTGCATATTGTTATTATGTTCATCCAGGAGTAGTTTCTCTCTCTTTGGATTTTTATATAATTCTGGATCGTTCTTGTATTTGTCAGGAACAACCAAGCTGACACAGTCGCTCCAGGCCGACTGGGCTCCAGTCGGTAGGGCTTTCTCTAGGGCTTTCTCTGGGGATCTGTAGTGTAAACCACACCTGCCTAATCTTCCCTGCTTCTCCTAGAGAACACTGGAAAGTCCCAGGGGACACTGGCCTGACCTCAGGCTTTTCCTTTGGTCTTTAGATTCAGACATTTCCACTAAACTTAGAGAGTCAAGTACCTGGATTCATGTTGAAAATCTGATAGTAGTTGACTTTGAGACCCAGGTTTAG
Organism: Homo sapiens; assembly: GCF_000001405.40. Classification (NCBI taxonomy): domain Eukaryota; kingdom Metazoa; phylum Chordata; class Mammalia; order Primates; family Hominidae; genus Homo; species Homo sapiens. Next base: position 64,941,703 of record NC_000001.11, on the reverse strand, counting down.
TCATGTCATGTGCTGAGCTTTGGTTTCTTCATTTTCAAAATGTAGGCCGTTTGTGGGAGTTTGAATGTAACATCACAGCTCTGAGGTTCCCTTTCCATCCCCAGTTTCTCTGATAGAGCAGAGGACTCTGAAAGGAGGCCAGTTTTTTTATTCTAACCATGGGAAATTTGAAATAATTGTTGACTTCTTTTGCTTATTTTTTTTGGTCCCTAAAATATTTGATTGGTCAAGATAAATCATCTTTGTTTTATTTTTCATTTCTGATAATTATCAGAATAATAACTGGATAAGTCCCAGTGAAAGCCCCAACTGAAAGAATTTGTAGTCATGTTGTCACATTTTATATTTAAAAGTGTTTCTCTAGAGTTAAGGAATGAATTTTTTTTTTCCCAGATGTGGATGCAAGTTACAATAAATTCTTGGCCCTTTTGAACCATTAGGGATTAATCATTTTGGGTTAACCATTTTCTAGATGGTGAGAATTTATTCTTATAATAACCACAAAACTTCAACTACTTTATTTTATTTTTATTATTATTATTTTTGAGTTGGAGTCCATAGCCCAGGCTGGAGTGCAGTGGCACGATCTTTGGCTCACTGCAACCCCTGCCTTGCATGTTCAGGTGATTCTCCTGCCTCAGCCTTCCAAGTAGCTGGGATTACAGGTATGCGCCACCACGCCTGGCTAATTTTGTATTTTTAGTAGAGACAGGGTTTTGCCATGTTGCTCAGGTGTGTCTTGAACTCCTGACCTCAGGTTGTCCACCCATCTCAGCCTCCCAAAATGCTGAGATTACAAGCGTGAGTGACTGACTGCGCCTGGCCAAAACTTTAACTACTTTAATGAAAAAATCCGAAAATATATTTTTTCTGTTCTTGAACTGAAGCGACTGAATACAGTTTATTTTCTCTTTATTAATCATGTTCAGCTACAAATGTAATTTGTGTTGAGCACTGTGTTTATGGAGCATAGCATAAATTGGAGTAGAAAGACCTGGGTTTAAATTTCACCACCTACTGACTCTTGCCTACGAACAGTAAACCCGTCTTAACCTCATTTTCTTCATTTTTTAAGAAATTGAAATTGAGCCAGGTGCAGTGGCTTATGCCTGTAACCCCAGCAGTTTGGGAGGCCGAGGTGGGCAGATCACTTGAGCCCCAGAATTGGAGACCAGCCTGGCCAACATGGTGAAACTCCATCTCTACTAAAAATACAAAAATTAGCCAGGTGTGGTGGCACACACCTGTAATCCCAGCTAATCGGGAGGCTGAGGCAAAAGAATCGGTTGAACCTGAGAGGCAGAGGTTGCAGTGAGTGGAGATTGTGCCACTGCACTCCAGCCTGGGCAACAGAGTGAGACTATCTCAAAAAAAAAAAAAAAAGAAATTGAAATTGGTATAAGCTAGGTCTTCTGTAAATGATGACTCTTACAATAGGGATTCCCTGCAGGTCTGTTGAGTTATGTGTATTTGCATGCACATGTACACACACGGTGTATTTGTTCCATAGTAACTAGCTTTGGACTTCCTGTTGTGCCTTCTATTGTTTTTCTGTCAACTTACCGGTTTTCTCTCCTTGAAGCTATCAGTATGCCTGTGTGTAGTGCCTGCTCTCATAGGATTTATAGGTTTGTTGACATCTAGTTACTTGTATTTTATACACAGCTCTAAGTGAGAAGGCTTGGCAATATGTAATGTTCGTGAATATTTGTATGAAATTCAGCAGCATTTACTTTGGGGAACTCATATTTTATGTGTGCTTCAAAACAATGAAACTTAGCACTATTACAACACAGGAGTATATTTGCATCCTGGTCTTTATTTATAAAGAAATAGTATTGAGCCACCCAGTTGGGGGATACACAGTCTAAGTAGTTATTCTCTTATTTTGTTTCTGGTTCCCACTTTTATTGACTTATATAGCACACATACAGTAGTGGCATAATACCAGCTGGATTTCAGAGTGCAGAATGAAACCATGTGGTTTTCTGTGAGATTTTTTAGGCCTTATATAGGAATTATATGCATGACTAGGACCTTATAAATTATGTATCTACTATGTGCCCAGCTCCTAGTATATACCTAATTTAATCCTTGAACAACTCTTTTGTGTTACATGGTATTATCCCTGTTTAAAGATGAAGAAACCAATATTTGGATAAATTAAATACCTTATTTTATAAATGAGTAAGTCTTTTCTGACTTCAGAGTTCATGCATTTTACCAGTAAGCCATGCTTTCCGCTTACTGCAAACTAGTGACTCCAAACTTCTGCAAACTGTGAAACTATTGTGAACTTGTGTGAATGTATGGAAGTTGGCACTGATTAGACGTTTGAACTTCTTTCCTTGTCCTGTGTTATGCATGGTAATCTGCCATTTGCTGTTCCTAGCTGTATGGTCACCCTTAGAGGTATGAGTTGTGCTTATATGTATATGTTCATGCCTAGATCTGTTGCTCACAGAATCATCTGACATCCCCATTTCGTTGAATCTAGGCAGCAGGGTTGATGGCAGCCAGAAAAGTGTGCCCTGGGGGCAAGAATGTCTTTAGGGAAAAATATGTTATTGTCTTTCAGATAGTAGTTCTCCAAACAGTTGCTCCAACAGTTCCTATGAAAAGATTGCTTGAGCCCAGGAGTTCAAGGCAGCAGTGAGCCATGGTCATGCCATTGCACTCCAGCCTGGACAACAAAGTGAGACCCTGTCTCAAGAGAAAAGAAAAGAAAAAAATGCTAGGTGGATCTTCAGTTTAGTTCAGTTAATTAAGTATTTTAATTATTAACTATTAATTATAACATTAAGAATGCCAGGGGAGGATAGAGACCCGTGATTCTGTTTTGGGGGGCACTAGAAAACAGTTCCTGAGACACTGGTGCTGCCATCTACCTCTACCCACATCATATCCTTATGTAGACATAAAATATTAAGAGAGACTTCATGAGGAGGCATTTCTCAGTTTCTTTTGTAATGAACTCTACTTTTAGTTGAGAAACATGAAAGTGTATGGTTTGGTGTTGGAGAACGAGTTTACTTACTAGTTTGATTTACAGTGAATACTGTTCTTGGGATTTATAAATGGTTTTAGTATTGAGAAGTAGAGGAGATAAATAGTTCTGGTGTCAAGGGAAGCGGAGCAATAAAATGAAGCTGAAACATGACCATTAAGCCCAAGCCAATCAGATCATCTGTGTGCCTTAATAGAAGGCTGATGATCTTGGTTCAGGTCTTCACTTAGTTCATGTAATAACATGGAATCAAGAGTTCAGACAAGTATAAATGCTTCTGGGTCTTGTTTCCTAACTAGGCTTAGTTTATAGGCCAGAAAGATTCTGCTACTATCCTGTTATTACTGGGGCAGTCATTGAAAAGAGCCTTTCTATTATAGTGGACTGAAGACATAAAATCACACAGTACATCTAAAAGGTTTCATCAAAGTTGTTCTTTACGAAAGAGTATTTTTTTATATCTTTGTATAATTGAACTTTTTTTTAAAAAAAACTTTTTTTTTTCAGCCATGAAATTACATTCTTTCTTAGCCTTAAAGACTTTGACATTCTCCTTTGGGAGGCCGAGGTGGGCAGATCACGAGGTCAGGAGATCGAGACCATCCTGGCTAACACAGTGAAACCCCGTCTCTACTGAAAAATACAAAAAATTAGCTGGGTGTGGTGGCGGGCACCTGTAGTCATAGCTACTTGGGAGGCTGAGGCAGGAGAATGGCATGAACCCGGGAGGCAGATGTTGCACTGAGCCGAGATCGCGCCACTGCACTCCAGCCTGGGCGACAGAGTGAGACTCCCTCTCAAAAAAAAAAGAAGATTTTGACATTCTCTGTTCAAGAAACTTTTACAGTGAGAGTAATTTAGTGTATCTCAGACAATGTTGGAGTGATCGATGGTTGGGTTTCCTTGTTCCAAGGTAGAATATCAAATGTTCAGTTGACTTGTTGATGGATCAGTTTGACCTCGCTTTAAGGATATGTCTGAAAAACTGAAATAATGAGGTCAACATTTTCCAGGTTTTTTTTTGTCATTCTATGATCGACTAAGTCTGCTTTGGTTTTCAGTTACTAATCAGTGTTCCACTAATGCCTATTTAGAAACTTTATTTTGAAATAATTATAGATTGACAAGAAGTTGTAACAGAGGGCCTGTGTTGTATAATTGAAGTTTAACAGTGATACGCTCCTTTCTTTCTAGAAAGGCTTTCAATTTATGGAAAAATTAGCAAAGGTAAAAGATGCTCGGCGTTGGACCTTTGAAACTTCTTTCGGAATTAGTATTTTGAATGACTCCATACAACTAGAATAATGGCTGAAATTTCTATGGTGCTGGTCAGGACTGTGACTGTGGCCCGAGCATGAGATGATTTTCCTGGAAACCAAAAGTACTACTAGAAGGAGAAGAATGCTGTGGAGCTCTCTGGGGGTTGGAGCTTATGCCTCTGGAGACTTTGAGTTTTCTGTGGGTGTAAGTTTTGCAAATGGTCCTGGTAGCCCTGAAGCTAGAGTTGTCAAAGTAACAGGTGGTAGCTGGGAGCCAGCTTGGCAGTGGATCAGCTACCCAAATAGCCAAAGTTGCTCAATCTACATGAGGTCCTGTAGACCAAACTGGGGGTGGGGAGGATTAGCCCCATACAAATAGTTGATCCTTTTTTTTTTTTTTTTAAACAGTCATTTGAAATATTTTCTGTAAAAGGCCTAAGCTTTAGGCATTTAGGATGATTGTAAATGCACTGCTTTGTATTCTTTTTCACATATATTTGATTTATTAATATAAAATTGCCATTTTTGTACATAAAAATGGTCAAATATTGGCAGTTTCATATGGTACAACCTACTGTTTTCTGCTGTCACATTGGAAATTCTCACCAACGTGGGATACCATGTTTCAAAGAAACGTTGGCTTAGCCTCTTCATTTATGGAAGAAATATAGCACTTATGGTGTTCTAAGTAGATTAACTAACTTAATCTTTTTACAAGCAAATGAGGTAGGTAGGTCCTAGTGTTTTCCTGCTTTTTAGGATCACAGAGCTAGTAAGTGGTGGAGCTGGGCTTACACCCTGGCTACTGGTCACAGGGCTGTGCTGTTTCTCAGCTCTTGTGTTTGGCCTCACCTCTCCAGTCATACTTGTGAAAGTCCTGGGTGTCTAGACAGGTGATGGGTGAGTGACATAAGGTACCTCTCTTTGTCTTCATGGGAGAAATAACTGGATTTCCCCAAGAATGAATTAATTCTTCCACAATACAAGAGTCTTAGAGGTTTAACAAGGATACTTCTTTCAAGGTGCCCACCAATTCCTACCTTGCATTGGAGGGTGCACTGTGTCAAATTTGTATTTTTATCTTAAATACCAAATACTCTTAGAGTCCATCCATGGGCCTGTGGAGTTGAGGGTAAATGTAGAGGCTTATTTGGCCTAATAATGAAAGTATGGATAGTTATTGCCATGGAGGAGGAGGGTGAATGTTTTGTAGAGTCCATTCCAACCTTGAAATCCTGATTCTCTGATAAACTTCCACCTCTCCTCTGTTGCTTAATCTTTGATCTTGAGCCTGGAAGGAGAGGAGGCAACTCAGTCAATGAAGGAGTTTTATTTAGTAATTGCACATTGGCCTCTTCCTGCCGGATCCCATATTGACACTGGAGTAAGGCTAGAGGCTGGGAGACAAGGCCCCATGGGAGCTTTGTGAAATGGGGAGGGGCAAGGGTGTGTCCCTGGACCGTCTGTTTGTGGGGCAGCTGTCCTAGGTGTTGAGACACACACCGGTCTGTTCTAAGATGTTCCTACTGGATCCTGTCAGTTCGCCCTCCAGCATTCCTGGATTTATTGTGCACCATTTATGGCTCCACAGTCCACTAGATGAAATTGTAAAGACTCAATATGGTGGCTCTCCAGGGACTTTCCCTTTTCTTCTCCCTTAGCATCAGAGATGACCCGTCAGCGTTGCAAGCAGTTCTGTGGTAGCACATCAAGTATTCTGTCACAGCAGGAAAGGCTGGATAAACATCAAGGGACTGCCAAGACCAGACTTCTCATTCAGTCTGAGTAGGAGGAAAGAGGACAGGTTGTTGGAGAGTTGGTTTAAAGATGAATTATGGGCTGGGTGCGGTGGCTCACGCCTGTAATCTCAGCACTTTGGGAGGCCGAGGCAGGCAGATCACGAGGTCAGGAGAGTTCGAGACCAGCCTGACCAACATGGCGAAACCCCATCTCTACTAAAAAATACAAAAATTAGCTGGGCGTGGTGGCACACGCCTGTAATCCCAGCTACTCAGGAGGCTGAGGCAGGAGAATCGCTTGAACCCGGGAGGCGGAGGTTGCAGTGAGCCCTGATCACGCCATTGCACTCTAGCCTGGGCAACAAGAGTGAAACTCTGTCTCAAACAAACAAAAAAAAGAGTTATGACTGGTCTTTCTCATTTCATCTGCTGATGGGTAGAGGAGGGAAAGGGTCAGAAATATTTCTTTTAATACCCTCTCAGTATGAATGAATGATTTTGACCTAGTTTAGGTTTTGGTCTGGTGGATGTGAGATTGGAATATAATTTGTTTGGCAGGGTCATCCCCAAGGATGTCTGATGCATCTGCGTTCTTGTTCCCATGGCTAGAATGGAATCAAGGGAGAAGCTTCCTCATTCCTATTTCAGAGGGAGCAGGGAGAGTAGTGGTGCATATCCCCACAGCCAGAAATAGATTGGTCCTCAAGTAAATTGGTTTGATAAGTTGATTATGAATCTTCCTGAAAACTGCTGTGGCCTTAGGAACTCTGGAGGGTCCTACTAGTGGACCCTCATCATTCATCTGATGAGCACTTACTATGTTCTAGGCACTGACTGTGAGAAATACAAATGAGTAAAATATAATCATAGCCCCCAGGATAGTCTGGTGGGTGACATTTACAATACAATGTAAGCTAAGGTTGTAATTAATGTGTTTAACAAAGTACTGTGGCAGCACAGAGAAGAGAGTGACTACGTTTGGAGTCCACAGGACTTCACCGGAAAGATGAGGCATCTGACCTGGACTTTGAGAGGATGAACCAGAACTCTGTAGGTCCAGTAGATGGAAGGTTTTCAAAGAATGCAGGCAGACAGAGCCTTGGGAACAGTCAAGGTTGAGGGGGCACTCTTGTGGGTCCACAACCCGAGCTTCTCGCCCCTCTCATTTCGTAATGGCTGCCAAGCTCTTCCTTCACTGTTGTTTTTCTTTACTGCTCTGTGGATTCATCCTGATGAGTCACGACAACCTCTGCTTGCAGTGATGCCACGTCTCCCAGTTAGGAAACGACCCTGCTCTTCACTGCCTGGTTCCTTGGTGTGGCTGCCTCCAGCCTTCAGTCTCCCCTTCTCAGAGCTGTGACAAGAGGTTCTTACAGCCTTAAAAATAAAAAGCAGCTTCATATGTTTTGCCTTTGTGTTATTTATTGCATCATTTGTTGAGCAAGTTTCCCAGGACTGGAGCCGGAGGTCATTTGAGAGATGTCTCCTGGGATTCCACTGAAACTCTTTTCCACTGATCCCAATTGGTGACCAGGAACAGGAGTTGCTTTTGGTCCTTTACATCTCTCCATGTTTTCCAGCTTCCTAAGATACCCTGTCCCCTCCTGCATTTTGGTCAGCACTTATCTTTCCTTCTGCTTTGTGCTTCTAGTGGTTCTGGGTCACTTTCTGTCAGCTCCCAAATTCCAGAGGTGGACCTGGGTTAGGCCATTGGCTGTATGTCTTTTAGTGTGTATTGCTTGAGAATGCTCATATTTATGTAGTATATTCCGTAGTGCCTGAAAATTCTAAGGACCACAGCGATTTTGAATGATTCAAAGTTAGTCACTTCAGTATGAAACAGTGTGAATTTAAAGGCAAACCCAGGATTCTTTGAAAGCAAAAACTTTCTTTAGAGCAGCGGCGTGCTTGGTGAGGCAAATAGATTGCATTTTGTGGTGCCAGAAATAGACAGTTCCCTTTTTATACGCTACATCTTTGTCATGTAGTCAGAGACATGCAGATCCTTTGAAGTGAATTCTGGCACCACAATTTTGTAGAGACAGTCAGTGTAGTACAGCATGAGAAGGGCATACGATGTGTCATTTGAATAACTTCTGTTGAAGAGCAGGCGTCAGCCCATGGCAGAGATTGCTGAGGGGATGGTGCAGACGAGAGGCAGGTAGTATTGGGGCATTGTGAAAACATGCGTGAAAGGCCTTTTGGAATCCTGCTTTTTGGCAGTGTTGTGCAAGTCCCTCAGAAATTTTGTCACTTCCCTTGGAAACATGTACAACAGGGATACGTCACTTAGGCAGAGACTACTCAAGGGCTGAAAAATGCTACACTCATGAATAGTTTCGCTGAGCTGGAGATTGGTCACATCTGATGTCTGGATGGTGGCCATTGTTGTTAAAAATAGCTTAGAAGTTCAAAACGGGGGTAGGAGCCTTGTGTTCTTTTTTCTTCCCTGGAAAGGGAAGTGTTTTTGAGCTGTGGAACTTCGAGTAAAACCTAACTTCTTTGTACCTTGTTTTGCTCATCTGTAAATGGGGATAACAGTGGTACCCACCTTATGGGATGTTCAGGATTCAATGAATATAAAACATTTGGCATGATGCCTGGCACGTATAGCTACCACTGGTGTAGTGTTTAATTATATTTATTATTTTTTCTCATTGTTACTGTTCTTTTCTATTTGAGATTTCTCGGAGGTTCTGTACTTGTTTTAAAAGTATAATTCTTTCCATGGCTTTACTTCCCGTTAGCAGTGGCTTAATTCTAACTGGGAGAAAAAACCTTTGATTTGTGGTAATTTTCTTAATTCCCTTGTCTTACCTTTGGGATGGTGGAGTTGGGAGGGCAGTGCAGAGTCAGATGTCAGTGGGGAACAGAGATTGTGGGCAGTCCCAGGCAGAGGCAGGTGCCAGCTGGGACTGTCTAGTGCCCTCTCAATTATTTGATGGTGGAATGGATGATTATTGCAGTTTGTCAATAAAAAAAAACAAACCATAGCGTTAGTGTTAGGAGTAGCTGAGTGAAAGTATATGGGAATTCTGTGTACTATCTTTGCAGGTCTTGAGTAAATCTAAAATTATTTCAAAATGAAAATTAAAGCCCCAGCAACAAAGCAGGATGTAGCACCATGCTGACACTAGTAAATGCTTAATAAACGTTTGTTGGATGCAAGAGTGAGTGAGTGAGTTAGGTTTGAACCCAACCTCGACACTTATTAGCTAGATTACCTTTGGTTAATTACTGCTTTTATGAATCTCAGATTTCTTATTTATTTATTTAATTATTTTTTTGAGACAGAGTCTCGCTCTGTCGCCAGGCTGTAGTACAGTGGCGCGATCTCGGCTCACTGCAACATCCGACTCCCTGGTTCAAGCGATTCTCCTGCCTCAGCCTCCCAAGTAGCTGGGATTACAGGCATGTGCCACCACACCCAGCTAATTTTTGTAATTTTAGTAGAGACAGGGTTTCGCCATGTTGGCCAGGCTGGTCTCAATCTCCTGAACTCGTGATCCCCCCACCTCGGCCCCCCAACGTTCTGGGATTACAGGCGTGAGCAACCACACCTGGCCCAGATTTCTTATTTATAAAGTGCCATGATGTCTACCTCACAGTGTTGGTATGAGCGTTAAATGAGATGTAAAGAACCTGATCAGAGGATCCAGTTATATGGTAAGTAGTCTAAAGTGTAGGTATTATTATTGTTAAAGATATTGTGGGCACTTTGTTGATTGAATATCCCCCCCCCTCCTTTTTTAGAGCCAAAATCCATTTAAAAAATACATTTAGGTTTCTTGCAGTTTTTTGCTGTTATGAACAACACTTCCATTAATAGGATTAATAGCTGTATAGCTAGATCTCTGTGTGTGTACATTATGTATTCTTAGGATACATTTCTGAGAGTCACATGGGTTCCTATTTTTTGGCTCTTTTTATTCCCTTACCAGAGTGCCTCCCGATAGTTTGTAATTTTGTAACAATTTACCATTAAAGAACAGAGTTTTGATAGGCAGAGATGGGAGAGTAGGAGAGAGGGAGTAGCCTGTACACAAAAGGATTGCCTCCTTTACCCCAAAGGTTGAGGCCTCTGAATGCTGGTCTGAGCTCCTAGGGATGATGCCCCTGGAGCGTAGTAATTGCCTAGGATACAACCACTCAGCCTTGTGCCACCATGGTAGGACACCCACCATGCTGGGTGTCCTACTGCCATGGTTGGGGAGGGCTGAATGTTTTCACCCTGTTGCTGGGGGAGGTGGGGACTTGGATGAGTGACACCCGGCGTGGACAGCTACCACCTGCCCATGGTAGATGAAACCTTACTTTCGATGGGAATGGCCCTCCCTTCTTATGGGAGTTGTAGTCTGCATGGAGTGCGGTTGAACAAGGATGAGCAGGTAATCCAGGTGTACTTAGAATTTGCTTCCTCTGAATATTAGAACGTGAAGAGGACTTTGAGGGAATCCAGCATGGTGGTTTTGACTCTTTGAAAATCAAGGAACCCTATTTCATATCAAGTCCGATGTGGAATCTCAGTGTACTAAAGAGTTTATTTTTTTTATTATACATTAAGTTCTGGGATACATGTGCAGAACGTGCAGGTTTGTTACATAGGTATACACGTGCCATGGTGGTTTGCTGCACCCATCAACCTGTCATCTACATTAGGTATTTCTCCTAATGCCATCCCACCCCTAGTCCCCCACCCCCTGACTGGCCCTGGTGTGTGATGTTCCCCTCCCTGCATCCATGTGTTCTCATTGTTCAACTCCCACTTATGAGTGAGAACATGTGGTGTTTGGTTTTTGGTTCCTGTGTTAGTTTGCTGAGAATGATGATTTCCAGCTTCATCCATGTCCCTGCAAAAGACATGAACTCATCCTTTTTTATGGCTGCATAGTATTCCATGGTGTATATGTGCCACATTTTCTATATCCAGTCTATCATTGATGGGCATTTGGGTTGGATCCAAGTATTTGCTATGGTGAACAGTGCTGCAATAAACATATATGTGCATGTGTCTTTATAGTAGAATGATTTATAATCATTTGGGTATATACCCAGTAATGGGATTGCTGGGTCAAATGGTATTTCTAGTTCTAGATCCTTGAGGAATTGCCACACTGTCTTCCACAATGGTTGAACTAATTTATACTCCCACCAACAGCATAAAGTGTTCCTATTTCTCACATCCTTTCCAGCATCTGTTGTTTCCTGACTTTTTAATGATCGCCATTCTGACTGGCATGAGATGGTATCTCATCGTGGTTTTGATTTGCGTTTCTCTAATGAACAGTGATGATGAGCTTTTTTCCCCTATGTTTGTTGGCCACATAAATGTCTTCTTTTGAGAAATGTCTGTTCATTTCCTTTGCCCGCTGTTTGATGGGGTTGTTTTTTCCTTATAAATTTGTTTAAGTTTTTTGTAGATTCTGGATATTAGCCCTTTGTCAGATGGATAGATTGCAAAATTTTTCTCCCATTCTGTAGATTGCCTCTTCACTCTGATGATAGTTTCTTTTGCCGTGCAGAAGCTCTTTAGTTTAATTAGATCCCATTTGTCAATTTTGGCTTTTGTTGCCATTGCTTTTGGTGTTATAATCATGAAGTCTTTGCCCATGCCTGTGTCCTGATTATGGTTTTAGGTCTTAACGTTTAAGTCTTTAATCCGTCTTGAGTTAATTTTTGTATAAGGTGTAAGGAAGGTGTCCAGTTTCAGTTTTCTGCATATGGCTAGCCAGTTTTCCCAACACCATTTATTAAATAGGGAATCCTTTCCCCATTGCTTGTTTAGGTCAGATTCGTCAAAGATCAGATGGTTGTAGATGTGTGGTGTTATTTCTGAGGCCTTTGTTCTGTTCCACTTGTCTATATGTCTGTTTTGGTAATAGTACCATGCCGTTTTGGTTACTGTAGCCTTGTAGTATAGTTTGAAGTCAGGTAGTGTGATGCCTCCAGCTTTGTTCTTTTTGCAAGAGATTAATCTTATAAGTTCAGACTTGTAGGTATCATAACTTATAAGAATCATCCATTTACTTACCCTAAATAAATGGATTTACAAGAGATTAATTTTATATGTTCAGACTTGTAGGTATCATAACTTACAAGAATCATCCATTTACTTATGGTAAAGTCAAGAGAACAATGAAGCTGCTGTAGTGAGCACTGAATTTTAACTTGGGTTCTGAGTGGCAGTCCCAGTCAAATGCCAGTTTCATTACCCAGGTTCCATCTGGATTTAATTTTGTTTGCAGTATAGAAAAGTCTGATTTGCATGGATAAGTAATTGCAGATAAGAATAGTTTGCTAATACCTTGCAATTTCAGGATACTCTTTAATTAAATTGATCCAGAAGCCTGAAAGATGAATAGGGGGAACTTTGGTCTCCAAGGAGAATCACACTGTTTAACAAATACTTTCATTCTTTATTACAAACTGCAAGACAGATGATAATGTATGGTCACTCTTTTTATTACAATGCAGCCTGTTATGAATTCATTTGCTTTTGCATAACTGACTATTCCCCTGTGATAAGAGCATAAGCCAGCAGATGTGCCTGAGATTTACCTGGCATTTAACTGAACATACTGCAGGTGTGCTATAGCAGTATACTTGCTTGAACAGTTTTAAGGCACCAGACAAGTACAGGCCTGAATTTTTAAAAAGATAATTCCAGTTTCCTTCAGAATCAGTGACATATTTACAAGATACTAATATAAGCTTAGAATTGGCAAGAGCAGCTTTATTCTGAGGTCTACAGGAAGATAATGTGAACACATTTGTCATCATCAGTGTGCTAAAATTTCCAATAAAATTTGAATCTGTGGGAGTTTATTATAATCTCTAAAATCATTAATATATTACCTTAAAAATAAAATTGAATACTTTTTTTGCAGAGTTTTTTTTTTTTGTTTTTTTTTTTTTTTTTTGCAGAGTTTTATAGCACTCAGAACCTTTTGGTTGCTCAGAACATAGCTTGAAAATCCTGATCTTTCACATATTGCAGCCTCAGTCCTTTTATAAATGATGAGATTCAGGTCTTGGGGGTGAAGTGACTTTCCAAATGTAATTCCAGAAGTTACTGGGAAAGCCAAGAGGAAGAGTTCTTGGGTCTCTTTATGCTCCTCTAAGCTATTTTTCTCTGCTGAGCAGTTAGGACTCCTGGAGGGGGCAGGAAGCTGTGTGCTCAAGTGACATCCTTTCTTTAGTTTTGTGTGTGCATATTTGTGTAGGCACATGAATGCACTCTTGTATACCTACTAGGTGCAGTGAGAGCTGGCTTCAGGGAGAAAGGGAAATGCGTGATTTTGGGGTCCCCAGCCTGAGCCTACTTTTTCTCGCAGTATTCTTTGTTCTGGAATCTTTCTCATCACCTTTTATTGCATGGAAACTTAATCTATTCAGGTCCCAACTTTCAGGCTTCTCTGCTCTGACAAGTACTAGAGGCCAATATGATAGACTAGTCTGAGTTAAAAGGTGGCAGTGAAGGAACCAGCTACCCCTCCCTGTTTTTGTATTATCATAAGCACCTCATGGCATAGAATGCTTTCACCCCAAGCGGCTGTTTCAGGGGCACTGGCAGGTTTGGAGGGGCATTGTGTTTTGAATAGTCAGTGCCTTTTGTGCCATTAAACTCCCATGGTAGAGAGACCCAGCCTTAAGAAATAAGACTGACCCTCCATAGGGCTGCTGCTAGTCTATATATTGTCTTTGTGAAAATTAGAAAACAGCATCTTGTCTGAGTGGGGTAGCCCTGCACCAGAGAGTGTGGCCTGGCTAGTAAAAGGCAGATTGGATTTCAGCCATCACTTTCTTACCTCAGTTGGGCATTCTTGGCAGTGCCCAACCTGCCCAACCATATGCTGTAGTCCTGATTCTACCTGCTATCTTCCAGCCAAATACAGGGGCTTTGTATTCTTTTGCATTATACAGATGTGTTCATTGTGGCTGCTTAATAGACGTTTGAGTTGATCGATACTCATCGTTGACCAAATAGAGAGAATGGCACTTTGCAGGATGTTTATTTCCTGCTGTCCCCATAGCAGCAGCAACCATCAGCAACCTGTTACCTTAAGGATTCTATAGTTCATTCATTTATTAATTCAACAGCTACTTCTTAAATACCTATAATGTAAAAGGAGACAGGGTACCAAGCTACAAAGAGCACCATCTTTGGAGTCAAATCTGGGTTTGAAGTTTGTCTTTTCTGTTGATTGTCTGTGTAATATTTGACAAATTATTAAACTTTCTGAGCCTCATTTATTCGTTCATTTGCCCACTTATTCAACAGATATTTATTGAGCATTTCCCTTGGCTGGATGAAGATGGAAAAAAAAGGAAGACAGACGCAGTTCTTTCCCTCATCTCTAGTGAGGATGTGGACACAAAACAAATACATGGATCAACACATAACAATTCTAGGCTGTCATAAGTGCCCTGAGGAAAAGAAACAAGGATGTGCTAAAATGAATAGGACCTGGGGAGTGGGGGGAGGGGACACGGGAGACCGTGCCAGAGAGACAGAGCTCTTTCTTAATAGGGTCGTCAGGGTACGCCCATCAGAGGTGAGCACATAAGCAGACCCAAAGAATGGTGAGGACCTGGCCTGCAGAGAGCAGTCAGGGCTGAAGAGTCAGCTTGGACAAAGGTGGGAAGTAGTTGGTATATTTGAGGACATAAAAATATGGACTTGGGGCATAATGGAAGACAAGGTTGGAAACAGTGATGATGATAACAGTAGCAAGCACTTGTTTAGTTCCTGCTATGTCCAGACACTGTGCTGAGTGCCTTCACATACATTAACTCTTCTAATGCTGACCAAAATACTACGGAGCATGTGTTACGATCATTGTTTTACAGATGAAGAAATTGAGGCACAGATGGGATAAATAACTTACCCAGGATTTCCCAGCTGGCACGTGGTAGAGCTGGGATTCAAACACACGTGTTCTGGTTCCAGACTGTGCTTATATCTGCTATGCTGTAGTGCCAGTGAAGGCTGGGTCATGCCAGACCTCAGTTTCGTCATCAGTAAAATGGAACTAATATGTGGATTAAACAAAATGTGTATAGAATGGCAGCCACATCAAGTCATAAGCATTCATCAGGTGGACTGTATATCTAGTGGTGGTGGTGGTTGTGGTCAGCATTGTAGGAAAATACAGGGGTGCATTAGGAAGTAACCCTCTAGGGAAGGGCCGTGTATACTGATAATCGTTAATGTAAGGAGGACAGGGGTAAGGGCCCTGAGGAAAGTGTGTGCATGAACAGTGCTGCGATGGCTCTGAAGTGGGTCAGTTTGTTCCACCTGGGCAGTGTGGAGCCACTTGGGGGTGGGGGGAGGGGATCCTGCTGTTGAGTCTGGAAAAATGGGCAGGAGTCACATATACTGGAGCAGGTAGGAGGAGCATTTCCTCTGCACCATCAGGTGAGCAAAGATCTAGTGTGTACTCAGAGTTGGAAAGTGGGGTCTGGAGACAATAGCACTGGCCGTAGGAGAGAGGCAGGAACTGGAGTGAAGATAGGTTAGAGCCAGCACTCACTGGGGCTTGATGCCATTGCGAAGCTTTCAGTTTATGCATCAGGGAATGTGTGGTCCTGGGGTCCACAGCTTGGTTTAAAGATCTAATTTGGGTATCTTCTCAGCTTTCTGTGACTCTGGCTGAGCAGCAGAGAGGAATTTTGTTTTGGCTTTTATTTGATATGCTATCTGTCATCTACCTAAAGGAGCCTGCCCACCTCCTGGGTTCATACAGAGGAGAGGTACCACTATAGTGGGAAGCTTTATGACCCCACTCCTCCAGACAGGTGGTTTTATAGGTGATTGCAAATAACTGGCACAGGCTTGGAGCTAGACAGATCTGGGCTGTATAATCTGGGCTTTAACAGCATTTGACCTTGGGTCTTGTGTTTGGGCCTCATTTAGTTCCCTGTAAAGTAGGGATTTATACCATGTCTCATTGTTATATAAAGGTCAAATAAGTGCATGACACTATGTGCCTGAAGAACATGGTAAGTGCTCAGATGATGTTAGTCGGAATTACTAGATTGCATGGTGTGGAAGGCCCAGTTACCCACAGGAAGTCAGTTTGAACCGACTAATTGTCTTCTCCCATATTTTTGAGGTCAGGAAGCCTAATCAGTTGGCAGGACTCATTGGAGCCACATTGAGATGGATTTTAAAGTCATTCCCAGGCTCTGTGGGACATCAGGCCATGATGTATACACAGTTTTCTTCTTCTTGTTTTATTTTTCCTTAAGGCTTTATTTTCTTAAAGCAGTTTTAGGTTTAGAGCAAAAATTTTTTTTTTTGAGACAGAGTTTCCCTCTTGTCTCCCAGGCTGGTGTGCAATGGTGCAATCTTGGCTCACTTCCTGGGTTCAAGCGATTCCTCTGCCTCAGACTCCTAAGTAGCTGGCATTACAGGTGTGCGCCACCACACCCTGCTAACTTTTTGTATTTTTTTTTTTTTTTAGTAGAGATGGTGTTTCACTGTGTTAGTCAGGCTGGTCTTGAACTCTTGACCTCAGGTGATCCGCCCGCCTCAGCCTCCCAAAGTGCTGGGATTACAGGCATGAGCCACTGCGCCCAGCCTAGAGCAAAATTAAGAGGAAGGTACAGATCTCACACTTGCATAACCTCCCTCATAACCAACATTTCCCACCAGAATGGTACATTTGTTGCACTTGATGAACCTACACTGACATCATTATCACCCAAAGTCCATAGTTTAGATTAGGGTCCACTCTTGGAGTTGTGCATTCTATGGGTTTGGACAAATGTATGATGACATGTACCCATCATTGTATCACACAGAGTATTTTCACTGCCCTAAAAATCCTCTGTGCTTTGCCTGTTCAGCCCCTGCTGACCATGTGTATTTGCTGTCCTGGTTTTAGATCATCATTATGGGGTTGGAAAAATAGCATCCTATAAAGGTGTTTGTGGCTTTAAGTGAATGTCAGCAGTTCTACAGTCCTGTCCAGTAGATGCCATCTTTCAATTTGCTGAAGATACTGATTCTGTTTTTCTGTTACTTCAGAACAAACAGAGGAATTTTAGAAGAACTACCACCCACTTCCTCAGACTTACTGAGCACCTGCTTAGGAGCCACACATAGTTCTAAGGTTGATGCATGACATACAAAGACAAGACCCTACTTGGCCTCATAGCAGAGCACAGCTGGGGCAGTGGACCCTTGTTGTTTGTCTCTTTGATGCCGGGCTGGGTACCTTTGACATTTAGGAGGTCATGGCTAGGAATACTAGGAATCCTATAATGTGCACAGCAATAGTCCTGTGGATAGAAGAATTTTTCTATAGCCTGCATGACTTTCAAATGTCTCCCCAGACATTCTTGCAGGGAAAAAGCCTGTTCATAATTTTCTGAACCTAGAACCTGTAATTCCATTTTATGTAACGGACTTTTTGCATTGTTTTGATATACCCTTAATTTTCTAGGAATGCCACTACTTTGTAAATTGATACGATATACTATATAAGATACTACACTATTTTGTTTGTAACTTTGCCAAAAGCTGTTTACCATTTTTATAAATCACTTGCCAATGTTGGTGTGCATGTATTTGTGTCATCAAGAATAATATGCAAGTATCTGACTGCATTTATAGTTATTGCATTCAGAGTTGTTCTGTTGTTGTATTAGACTACTTCATTATGTCTTCTGATGTACTCGTGACAGAGCAATTACTATTGAAATATATATTCTTACAGATATCTTTAAATTCTTTATTTATAGTTAGGACATTATATTATGTTGAAATTGTATATAGTTTATATTATTTTTGATTTTCATTTCAGGGTAGTAAAGGGAGAGCATTATGACATAAATGTTTTAAAAAGCAGCAGGAGTCGGGGTGGGAGGCGTTGGGAACCGTTGGTCTGATGCACTGGAACCATATCAGTAAGACCTGGCAAAGTGCAGAGAAATCTGTGGGGGAAAGAGTTTAAGCTTCATTTTGTTTTAAGTCATGGCATGTGTGGCCTTGATTCTAAACTCTGTGTTTGAATAAAGTTGTTTTTGGCTGGTGGTTTCGAAGTTTTAGAAAATGGGAGTGTATGAGTAGATGTGAAGTGGTTACAGTGGTTTAGTCACAGCACCCTGGGCCTGAGAATCTTAGCCAGAGGGACTCTAATTTGTGACATAGTCACCACAGCAACCAATGGAAATGTCCCCATGTGATCTGAACCAAAGTGGTTTTGGAGTGTTAAAAAATGTGTGTTTAATAAGCTAAAATTATCTGTTAACTGTTCCAAGGGTGATTTTTGTATTTTCAAGCATGCACAATTCTAATTAAATGGCATTGTGTAATCACTTGTGGTCTCAGTGTAGTTTATAATGAGTTAGAATAATGAAGGGGTAGTGAGACTGGAAGTTAGAGACGCAGAGAGCCTTTCTGCTTAAGGTATCCTTAAACAGATAGGTGTTAGGACCAGCAAATAGTGATCCCAGAAACACAATACAATATTTAATGAAGTGCTAATTATGTTGCGTGTCAGTCATTGTAGGCTGCAATTGATGGAGCTAGGTGGTGGAGGAGGAGGAGGTTGGATTGGGATGGGCCTTGAAGGGTAGTAAGTAGAATGTTAATGGAAAGAACCTGCAATTGTTTCCTACCCCAACTTTCCAAGTTATTATTATCCACAGAGTCACATTGGCTTGTATTCCAAATTTACTTTATAGTAGCTAATAAGTATCTTTTTTATTTAGTACCTAACGTATGATTTCCACTGTGGTTGGTCCTTGACAACAGTTAGGTGAGAGCGAATTGATACTAGAGATGCAGAAATGTAAGGCTTAGAAGCTCAAGTGTCCAGGACCACACAGAGCTCATAAGTGGCAGAGCCAGGATTTAAACTCAGGTTTGACTGATGTCAAAGCCACTCCTTATGGTCTTTTTGATATTTTTGCTCTAGAGATGGTGTTCATGATTAGCTTGTTTACTTACCAACCATTTTCTATTCAGATTATAAAGCAGATCTCATTTGGCCGAGACTTGGAGATTTAAGTTTTTGATATGTAATCTATGATTGAATTTAAATGAGGTATGGTTAGAAAGTTCCAGCCCAGTTAGTAATTTAGCACCTTAAAGCATTCAACAAGCATGGTTAACCAAAAACCTAAATCATACTAAATGTTTGAAGTGGTGAACAGGAGGGAATATTTTTATATTGTTACTAGTCAGCTTTAAAAAAAAATGTGTTTATAAACTGAGAAGTCTAGGTACATGACATTTATACTCCTGATGTTTGACTGGCTTTGGAAATTCCCACGTTGTGACTTCTTGTAAGCTTGGCTGAATGAACTGACAGGGGATTCCAGCCCTTACTGTATAATTAAAGGTAAAGATACAGAATGCATCTCTCTACCTCCAACTATTGTGTAGTTAGTTGTAGCTACCAATGAAATTATCAGGTCAATGCAAAAAAACCCTTGTTTTTATTTATACAGGGTACAGGGATGGTCTGATTAGTTGTTCTCAAGTAACTAACTGGGGGGTGGGGGGCATTTAGTAGTGTTGTTGTTGTGGTTTTTTTTTTCCATAAGAACAATCAAATGAGGAAACTAATAGCACTGTGGGCTGCTTAGGGAATTTTTGTCACTGAAAGAACTGCTGCAAGCCCTGTGTCTCAGGAAGGGTGATGGAATGTCTAAATGTCCATCTGTCGGGAGAAGATTGAAGTCCCTATGCCGATCTACTCTGCTTGTGCAACTTTGTGATTTGCAGCCAGTTACTTAATCTCTCTTTACTGTTGTTGACTGAAGTCATGCTATAGCTGGTATTTCATATTACAAGGACAGAGTTCAAGAATTATCTTCTTGGTTGGAAATGGAAAGGAGGTATATCTGGAGTCAAGTCCAAATGGGTAAGCCATCTCACTCTAGAAACTCACTGTACAAAGGGACTAAGAAGGGAATAGAGAAGCTGCCTTGTTTATAAAAGGTTGATCCACTCCCAATAGTATAATCACAACAATTTCTAAGAGGTTTTATTTCAACCACTTATTTTCTTATCCCTAGGTTACACATCAGTTTGGTGAGAAGAGCTCAGTTTTTGGTTTTAGATGAGCTGAGTGCTTGTCTCAGTTCAGCCACTTGCTAGCTGCATAGCCTTATGCAAGGCACTTAAATTCTCTGAATCTCTGTTTCTTTATCTGTAAAATGATTTCCAGTGACCTACTATATACTCTAGTAGGTCACTGGAAATCAGTTAAGTTAATAGATGTGAAAGTGCTTTGTACACTTCAAAGGGCTGTCTAAATGTCTGTATGAGCCTGAAGGATAGTTGTTATGCTTTCAGTTATCAGTAGTCTAGGTGGCTGTGCAGAAAGGGAGAGGCGAGGGAGTCATATTTTTGACAACTAACTTGGGGTCCTATGATCGAAAGCCCAGAAATCCTCACTTAGATTTTTTCCCTAATGCAGCAGTCTTGTGCTGGATTTTGGAGTGTGGTAGAAACATATGCTACACTTATTAAAGGGGTTTGGCACTCTGTAATGTGGGATTACTGGCATAGAAGATGAAATGATAAAGGAACATCTCATCATATTCAGATGTGTGAGTCATGCACGCTTATGAGTTACTCTGAAAAATGGAATTATAATAGAAATGGGCATGAGTTCAACTTACATTATTTTCCTTGGCTTTAGCAGTTTTCAGGTTAAAAGTCACTGGATACATTTAACTGTCTTAAAGCATAGCATTTATAAAAAGCTTTTAGAACTTAGACTGTACAAAAGCACCTGAATTGGAAACTGTGTCTCTTATTTTTTCTATCAGTAGGATATTAGGGACAGTTTTGCACTGGACCTGTTCCTGTGTACTGCCTTGATACTTAACTCAGTCAGTGAATCAGTAAGCAGGAATATATGGACTCCTATAACCCTATTGGCCTTCAGGGAGCTTCATGGTCATTTATTCTGCCTGCCTGTTTTACAGTGGGGAAAACTGAGGGCCAGAAGGGTTCCTTGAATTATCCAAGGCCCAAGGTTAGGTTCTGGCAGAGGCAGGGTTAGAACTCATTCAGTCCACACCATGCTGTCTCCAGTGTATATGTGCTGGATGAGAAATTTTCCACTGCCAGCATTAATTTAATTTAATTTAATTTTAGTTTGGTCTAGTGTAGTCTAGTCTTGGATTAGTTTAAGACAGAGTCTTGCTGTGTCGCCCAGGCAGGAGTGCAGTGGCATGATCTCGACTCTTTCCAATCTCTGCTTCCTAGGCTTAAGCAATTCTCGTGTAGTTCTCAGCCTCCCAAGTAGCTGGGACTACAGGTATGTGCCACCACACCCAGCTAATTTTTATGTTTTATGTAGAGATGAGGTCTCGCCATGTTGCCCAGGCTGGTCTTGAATTCCTGGGCTCAAGTGATCCACCTGCCTTGGCCTCCCAAAGTGCTAGGATGACACATGTGCCACCACACTTGTCCTGTTTATTCCATTTAAATTACAGTTCATTTTGTGTAAGCCACTTTTCCCTGTTTCCGTCAATTTCAGATTTGGAAATACTTTTCAAGGATTATCCTTAATACTACATCTCCTCTTTATGCTTAAAAATTTTGTTTGATTCTTTAACCAGAAATGATCATAGTGATTTTTAACTTTCAATAGGGAGCTACTTTTTCATTAATTACTTGGGTCATATTTGTCACTTGATTCTTAGCACTTTTTTCTTTTGATGTCGTTTATTATTTATTGAGAAACATTTGAGTTCTTACTCTGTGCCAGGCCCTGTGCTTAGCAGGTGCTGGAGGTGAGAAGGCACTAAGTGATGGAAGGACCTCATCCAAGAACCCGACTCTGTCCTGAGAGGATCTAGGGTGTCCGTCAGGCCCCACCCCATTTGACTTAGGACCATTATTGTTTTTATAGTAGCTACTTGAAAGACTCATTAGGAAAAGTCATGCTTTTGTTCATTTCTGTTTTCAACCTAGCTAAGGAGACATATATTACAAGTAAATAATGGCACAAATTGGCAAATGATGAAAGTCCAGGGGATTATTGCCTAGGTAGAATTTTAGAAAGATGATGTGGAGAAATAGGAACACTTTTACACTGTTGGTGAGACTAAACTAGTTCAACCATTGTGGAAGACAGTGTGGCGATTCCTCAGGGATCTAGAACTAGAAATATCATTTGACCCAGCCATCCCATTACTGGGTATATACCCAAAGGAATATAAATCATGCTGCTATAAAGACACATGCACACGTATGTTTATAGCGGCACTATTCACAATAGCAAAGACTTGGAACCAACCCAAATGTCCATCAATGATAGACTGGATTAAGAAACTGTGGCACATATACACCATGGAATACTATGCAACCATAAAAAACGATGAGTTCATGTCCTTTGTAGGGACATGGATGAAGCTGGAAACCGTCACTCTCAGCAAACTGTCGCAAGGACAAAAAACCAAACACCGCATGTTCTGACTCATAGGTGGGAATTGAACAATGAGAACACTTGGACACAGGAAGAGCAACATCACACACCAGGGCCTGTTGTGGGGTGGGGGAAGTGGGGAGGGATAGCGTTAGGAGATATACTTAATGTAAATGACAAGTTAACAGGTGCAGCACACCAACATGGCACATATATACCTATGTAACAAACCTGCACGTTGTGCACATGTACCCTAGAACTTAAAGTATAATAATAAAAAAAAAGGTAAAAGGAGCCAGGTGAAATTAATATCCTATTTCAACATGTAATCAATATGAGAATTGTTTATGAGATACTTATAAATTTTTCTTCTTCGAAAAAAAAGTTGCTGCCATTCAAGATGGTCTTTAAAGAAGCGTAGTATTTGATTACTGGAGAGGATAAGGTAATTGATTTTTTTTCAAGTTTCAGTTATTTGTTAATGTAATCTCCAACACATTATATCAACATGATTTCATGTATCTAAAGGAGAAATATTTCCTAGTTAAGTGGAAAATAGTGCAGCTAGCTTCTGGAAGATCTTCATTCTAAGCAGCTTTATAGTGAAACATTTCATTTAGAAATCTGGACCATCTTTCTTCAGTTTACTGTAATCCACATTCACTGAGTAGAACTTGTATTGCTCATTGGAACCCAGTTTATTCCAGGGCCCTGGGTCATTCTTTCTGGCCCAACTAACATCTGGATTGAAATGCCAGATGCAAGACATACAGTGCTGCTCTGGTACCTCTAGCTCCATTAAATACAAAGAGGGGGATCAAACTCAGTTCCTTGGCCTGACCAAGGACCTGGTGGAGCATGTTTTCAGCAAGGGCATCTGATTTAAAAGGAGAGAACTAGCTTAGCTGCCAGGCCCTTGACTAAGTAGTATCTCAGAATAAAGTAATTGAAAATTAATGAGTATCTACTTAGGGTCTCTAAATATATTTAATTTTCTATGGAGGGAACTTTTTAAATTGAAAAATGTATCAACATAGAGAAGACTATGTAAACAGTATGTGTATAGTTAGAGAAAAATACCTATGTATCCACCATTCAGGTTAAGAAAGAGAACATTACTGGTATCTTAGAAATCACCTGGTAGTCCCCTCCACTGCACTTCCCTCAGAGGTAACAGTCACCCCCACTTTGGTATTAATCATGCCCTTTCTACCAGTGTATATGTCCCCAGAGCAAGCATAAACCTAGGTGTATAAGGAAAGGGCAGTGATGCCATCTCTAGATGAAGGCTCCCAGGAGAAGAGCTTCATGGTCTCTGGTTGAATTCATTACCCCTGTGTCTGAACAGAAACTCTGGGTCAAGTCTGGATCCAGAGTTGAGAGGTTGCAGGGACCCTTTTGGGAAAGTCAGTGGAAAAGATCATGAATGAGTTGTGGGAAACAGGGCTTCTCATAGTTGGAGGTACCTAGAAGACTGCAGTGGGCCCAGCTGTTGGGAGCCTGGGAGGAGTGGAGTCAAGAGGAATGTGCTGCTCCACCCTGGCTTATGTCCAGCTCTCAGGAATAGGCCAAATGGAATACTTCTGCGGGGTGAAATAGTCTTCTGCTGATTCAGGCAGCAGGACACAGCAGGGGAACAGGAATTTCATCAGTGCATGATTAAGAAAAACCAAATTCCATTAGGAATTTGGTCCAGGCTCACCCAGGCATTCTACCCTCAATGCAGTCTACGGGGATCTTGGCAGTGACTGCCCTCAACATAAGTATCCCTCAAGTTGCCCTGCTCACATGGGGATTGGTCATCCTCTGAGGCTGGCCACAGCTTTTGTGTTGAGACCGCTCTGTTCTGTGCTCCTGGGAGTTCCCTTCACTTCCTCTTTGTTTAATCTTTATTTCCTGTGTTGGAGCCTGTCTCCTGTTATTTTCAGAAGGATGCATAGCAGTTTGTTTTTTGAGATCTTTGATGTCTAACTGTATCTTGATTCTTCCTTCATACTTCGTTGATAATTTGGCTGGTTATAGACTTCTGGGTTGGAAGTTGTTTCCCTTCAGAATTTTGCAGGCATTGGGTGCCTGTCTCTTTCCTTGGTGCAGCTGTTAAAAAGCCTGAGAATATTCTCAATTTTTGATCTTTTGAATGTAGCCTGTTTTATTCTCTTTTGGAAGCTTTATAGACCCTTGTTTCCAATGTTATGAAATTTCCCAGGAATGCCCCAAACAGGTCTTTTTCTCCATTGTTTTGATGGGCCTTTCCAACCTGGCAACTGGTAGCCTTTGGTTCTGGGAAATCTTTCTCAAATGGTTTTGCTGATGATTTTCTCCCCTCCACTTTCTTTGTCTTTTCTTTAGGAATTCAGACATGTGACTGTCTGGATTGCCCCCTTTAATTTTCTTATCTCTTTTCTCCTATTTTCAAACTGTTCTTTTCTAACCTATTTCCTAAACTTTTTTTTTTTTTTTTGAGAAAGGGTCTCACTCTGTCACCCAGGCTGGATGGAGTTCAGCGGCAGAATCTCGGCTCACTGCAACCTCTGCCTCCCGGTTCAAGCGATTCTCCCACCTCAGCCTCCTCAGTAGCTGGGACTACAGATGCATGCCACCACACCTGGCTAATTTTTGTATTTTTAGCAGAGACAGGGTTTCACTATGTTGGTCAGGGTGATCTTGAACTCCAGACCTCAAGAGATCCCCCTGCCTCAGCCTCCCAAAATGCTGGGATTATAGTCATGAGCCACTGCGCCTGGCCTTTTCCTAAACATTATCTTCCAACCTTTTTAGCTTTTGAAAATTAAGATATTATTTACCTACAGCAAAGCTTATCAATGCTAAGTGTTCCTTTGGCTGTTTTGACAATCATATAGGCTTGTGCAGTTACCACCCTAAACAAAATATAGAACATTTCTATCAACCTAGAAGTTCCGTAGGGCCCTTTCCCAGCTGTGTTTTCATTTCTGTTATTATCTTTTTAATATTCGAGAGCTCCTTTTTTCTCTGAAATGTTACTTTAAAAAAGAAACATTTTATTCTTGATTCACAAATAAAAGGTATTCTTTTATCTTTCTGAAGACATTAATTTTTAAAGTTTTCTCTCTGTGTAATGTTTTCTCTGAGTTGCTTTTTTCTATCTCCATGTCTGCATTAGAGGCTTTCCTCAGACATATGTTTACCTTGGCTGTTTGTTTATGATTAAACTTGGAGGAAGGCTGAGCATGTGCCTCGGGCTTGTGAACTTTGAACGTCACTAAGAGTGAGCCATTCATTGGGGAACTCCCAGCCTCTGTGTCTTTAGGTCAGTCCTGGTGAGATGGTCACATTCCTCAGAAGACAGTATTCCAGTCTCTCACCTGGAGGGCTAGGGACTGGCTGCCAGCATTTCTGGAGCTGCAGGGAAGAGGGTGAAGGCTGTAGCATCCTGGCCCCCAGCACTCAGCATGTGTGCAGATGCCGTCTTTCTGCGTGCCCAGAGGTTCCCATGCTTCACCTGACATCTCTAGTTACAGGACCCTTTGTCTTATCCTTTCCAGAAACTAAACCTCTAGATATGTGTTTCCTTATAATAAAATAGTCACTAGCCACATGGTAGCCACTTAAATTTAAATTAACATTTAATAAAATTAAGAAATCGGTTTCTCAGTTACAGTAGCCATCTTTTAAATGCCTGGTAGCCACATGTGACTGGCTGCCGTACTGGACACAGCACAGATACAAAACGTTTCCATTATTGTGGACCATTTTACTGGACAGTGCTGGTCTAGACTTTTGCTGGGGCAGAGGAGTGGCCAACGGGATTCTTTTTCTCAAACACCTTTCTCTGGCCCTCTTTCTTCACCCCAGTTACTGGTGCTTCCTTCCAGTTCCTGTGACTTTGGAGACTTCTGTGGTATACGTTAATTTGGTTATCAGCTTTTGCCATTGTCAGCTTGGGATTCAGTATTTGTGGATTATCGAAGTCAATTTTTTTTTTACATATCCAACTACTTTCCAGTTTCCAAAGTTGTAGTTTTCTCCTCTTCTTTTCCCCTTACATATTTGTGAATTTGGTCTTAAACAGAAAAGCCATGCTGTATTTATTATACTACTTTATATATTTTAAAAATATGTACTATATTTTAGTGGAGTTTCAGAAGGGAGTGAAATTGGGTATTTCTGTTCAATCTGCCATTTTAGCTGGGAATCCTGCCTCATTTACCTTCACAATCCTATAAGGTATATATGTGGTTATTCTCATTTTATAGTGAAGAGAGGCAGGTAAAATAATTGACTCAAGGTCACATAGCTAGTAAGTGGGATTTGAAGTTGGATCAGACTTAAAAAATCAGAGAGCTTTTTTTATTAAATAGTGTTGTGCCTTATCTTGTATTGAGGAAAGACCCACCCATCACACGTTCCCCAAGTTGCAATACTATAGTTATAGTTGTGTTTTAAATACCATGTGTTTGGCTGGGCACAGTGGCTCATGCCTGTAATCCTAGCACTTTGGGAGGCAGAGATGGGTGGATCACTTGAGGTCAGGAGTTCAAGACCAGCCTGGCCAACATGGTGAAACCCCATCTCTACTAAAAATACAAAAATTAGCCGGGCATGGTGGTGCACACCTGTAATCCCAGCTACTCAGGAGACTGAGGCAGGAGAATCACTTGAACCCCAGAGGCAGAGGTTGCAGTGAGCTGAGATCACGCCACTGCGCTCCAGCCTGGGTGACAGATGAGACTCTGTCTCAAAAAAACAAAACAAAACCATGTATTTGCCCAGATACTTCCCAGTTATCCTTACAACCACTTAATAAAAGAGGTCAGCCTTGGATAGTTCTGTCTCAGAAAGGTTCTTTTCTCCTCAGCTGTTTATTTCGTTGTTTTGGGACTTTACAACCTCTAAACTTTGTGTTAGCTTTTTCTTTAGCAGTTCTCAAAGTGTTTAGAGTCAGAAGCATTCCATTGTTTAACTTAAACCTTTTATTTGAAGCATCTATGGTCATTCTCTTATATTAAAATTGTTCCCTCTTCATTTAACCTCACTTTCCATAAGGCAGCGAGTAGATCGTGTTTATTTTTGAATCCCTAGTGCCTGGCCCCTTGTCTGAGGTAGGGGATTCATAGTGTTTGGTTCAACATCATCTTTTATTTGGACCATTGCAGTTGCTTCCAAACTGCTGGTCTCTGCCTTCTGTCAGCTGCTCTCAAAATGACCTGACATTGGTCTTTCTCAAAATCAACAATCACTGGCCTCCTCTAACCTGCATTGTAGAGTCTTGGCTACTCAGCATGGTCTAGAGGGTTGACCACGCCTGCCTCTGTCCACTGCTGTAGCCCCATGTCTGGCCACTCACCCCCCAACGCACCCTCCAGTGCACCAATGTGCACTTTGTGAAAGGACCACTACATGCTCTCAAACTTGTGCTCTTATTTCTGCCAGAAATGTGCTATCTCCAGTCCCACCTATTTCTGTTATTTAATATCTATTTTTCTGCAAATCCCAGCCCCAGGACATTCTCTGTGAAACCTCGTCTGATCCACCCTTATATGGAGTTAGAAGATTATTTTTGCTCCCACACACTTCCTTTCAATTCCTCCCTCCCTCCCTCCCTCCCTCCCTCCCTTCTTTCCTTCCTTCCTTCCTTCCTTCCTTCCTTCCTTCCTTCCTTCCTTCTTTCCTTCCTTCCTCCCTTCCTCCCTCCCTCCCTCCCAAATGGAATCTTGCCATATGTATTATTCTGCAGTTTGATTTTTCTCCTTAATACGAAGCTTATCATGTTGTAACTATTGAATGATTAGTCAGTTCTATTAGTGTCTGGTTCATAGGAATTATTATCATTGTATGACCAATTTCTAGCACAGAGGCTGGCACATTGTAGGCACACAAAAATTATTTATTGAGTGAAATTGAGCCATGGTGTTGAGTGAGTCCATGGCAGTTCACTTGCCATTTATTGTCTTTGAATTCTGCTGTCAGTAGGGTGGTCATATGTTCCAGTATATGCCTATTCCTATTTTCCCAGCATAGTTATGAATAGTTCCTGATGTTTTAATATCTCCTAGTTGGTACAGTAAATTATATGGACACCCCAGCCTGGGCAATAAGGCGAGACCCTGTCTCTACAAAAAAATAGAAAAATTAGCCAGGCGTGATGGTGTGCACGCCTGTAGTCTCGGCTATTCTGGACGTTGAGGTGGGAGGATTCAGCATTGAGCCTGGGAGGCCAAGATTGCAGTGAGCCAAGATTGTGCCACTGCACTCCAGCTTGGGTGACAGAGTGAGACCTGTCTCAAAAAAACTTATATATAATTTTTATATGTATATGGCCACCCTACCAATTAAACAGATCTAAGTGGAAGCTCATTTTACCTTATCCAGTGGAACAGCTAGAGAGTAATAAATATTTGGGGTATGAGGTTGCATTTGAAACATTGAATCCAGTTTCTTTCCAGCCAGCCAATCAGCAAAGCCCCAAATCACACACTGGAAAAAATTACCTTTGATGCATCTTCAAAGCCTAAATGTTTCATGTTCCAGAAGGACTGCTGATTCCTTTTAGAAGTACTTTTACAAGAAGTGGTTTACCTTTCAGAAATGGACCTTTTTTTGTTGTTCTGCCGCTTCCCAGCAGTATGACCTTGGCAAAGTTCTCCCGGAATGTAAAATGGGGATGAGAGTAGTCCTGCTTTACAGGGTTAATGTGGCAATTGAGATCATTCATGTAGAGTGATTAGCATTGTTAGTGGCATAGTAAGTGCTTAGCAAATATCAGCTTTTATTATTGGTGTTATGATCGTGACCATTACTATCTTTTGACATAGACTAGTTTAGAAGACGTTGGTTATGGTCTTGAAAGGAGTGACTAGGATCTGCCCCACAGCTTTCTGATTGCAATGTGTATGCCCTTAACTGCCTGTCAATGCAGGATGCTACTGCACTGTAGAGGATGGAAAAAGAAAATCAGTAAGAAGAAATCATGTGTGGGTTGCAAAGGAGAGAGTAGAATGACATAACTGTGGTTGCTAGTGAGTCAGGGGCTAGCTGTGTCTACCTTGGAAATCTTGGGTGGGTCAGATTTGGATTGACATTAGAACAGATGGGCCTCAGAATCACCTGGAGAGTTCAAAAAATTGTCTACTCTGGGTTCCAGCCTCGGAGACCCTGATGGATGTAGGGTAAGGATTGGAATTCATATATTTTTAAAAAGCTCCCAGGTAATTCTGATACACAGCTGGGTTTGAGAATTACTCGATGGAGTGACCATTTATTACCTAATAATTCTGTAAAGCATTTCCTGATCATTTGCTATTTAATGTAAGGCAGATGATGACATAGGGGTCAGAAAACAGAGGAAGATTATTGGAGAGCCTGAATTAATGGAATTAAATTTTATGAGAGTTTTGAATTTAAGCCTGTCATGAATCTGTGTTGTTGTTGTCTAGGATCCTTGCCTATATTTAGATCATTTGAAATGAAATAACAGAAAATTGTGAAATCAGGAACAAAGTCCTGTTAGAAATGTAAAATAATCAAAATATGAACCTAGCTATGCTTGGATTTAAAACTGAAAGGTAGATATTTTCTCCTGACATTTGAAAATGTTTTCAACTTTTATTGCTCTTACTGGAAAGGAGAAAGAACTTAGCTAGGTGCATATCATGGATACTTGACTGGGTCCAGGTCATTACTTAGATGATTTAATGGAAGGGCATTGGGTTAGGAGTCAGTAGACCTGCGTGGAGTCTCAGCTCAGATACTTCTCTTTGCAAAACCTGAGTTAGTTACTTCAGTCATCTTTTTGGCATGTATTTACATATCTGTAAAACGGAGACAATGTTATTGGCCTCTATCCGGCATGATATTGTTGGGGGTGTAATGAGGACATGTATGTGATAGGAATGTAAAGCTGTGATGAACACAGAGAGTGACCATATGTCTCTGTTTGCCTGGGGCAGCCCCAGTTTACACCTGTTGTTGGGTATAATTATTGATAGCACACTCTTTAACTCTCAGGTATCCCAGTTTGGCTGATAAATTATATGGTCACCCTGTATTCATAACACCCATCTATTGTTTACTATTAATCTTTCGAAGTAGGAAGGTTTTCTGGCCTCATTCCTGTGGCCCCAAATCCCTCACCAAATAAGTATTTCTTAGATGCTTTCTGGTAGTTTTCTTCAATTTTATGTGAATTTCATCTCTCCAACTACATTGGTCAGTAGATAATAATTGTTTTTTTTTTTCACTCCTGAATAATTTTCTTGTTTATCATGGTATTAGCATTTTAAACATTCTAATTGCCCATTTTGGTTGGTGCATCTTAAGAAAGTAAATTTGAAGTGCAGGCAGAGGACAGAGGAACCCCAGCGGGAAATGGCTTTGTGGAAGTACACTAAAAATGAAGAGTACAGTTTGTTTGCTGATGTTCTGACTTGGTGTTTTGGAATCTAAATGCCCTATGTTGATTTTTTTTTTTTTTTTTTTTGAGACAGAGTCTTGCTTTGTCATCCAGGCTGGAGTGCAGTGGCGCAATCTCGACTCAGTGCAACCTCTGCCTCCCAGGTTCAAACTATTCTCCTGCGTCAGTCTCCTACTGTAATCTCAGTAGCTGGGACTACAGGCGCTCGCCACCATGCCTGGCTAATTTTTGTATTTTCAGTAGAGACAAGGTTTCGCCATGTTGGCCAGGCTGGTCACGAACTCCTGACCTCAAGTGATCAGCCCGCCTTAGCCTCCCAAAGTGCTGGGATTCCAGGCGTGAGCCACCACACCTGGCCATATGTTGATATTTCTAAGTACAGCGTTAACTCTTCAAAGTAATTGGGAAGACCACAAAAGCTCTAGATGAAATTTCAAATCTCCCTCTTCCCCCGGAGAAATTTAAGAACTACCATCAGAAAAACTTTTCATTCCTCAAATAACATTTTCTTTTCCCTTTTTTGACAACGAGAGCAATGCATTTGATCATGTTTCTCCCCTGCTTTTTTTTTGACCCCTAGGAAACTCAAAGCCAAATTCGTAGCCCATCCTTAATGTCTATGTGGAAAGCAGTAGACTACAAATAACTTTCCACTAGCCTTGACTTTTTGTCCCGTATTACAATCTCCTTAGTCCTGGATTTTAAAAATACGTATTTCTGTTTTATTCAATGTGTTCTTATAAACTGCCTTGGAATCTTGTGGGTTAAGTTAAAGATTAAATAAATAACGAATATAAAGATGGTATCATAGTTTCAACATTATTTTCATGAAATTGTTTGAAATTTAGAAGGCACAAGCTTTTGTGGTACAGAGACCTATACTGCCTGAGAGTCAATAAAGAATATACTCTGGTCTACCATCCCACTGAGGAGGTCACCTCCCACCAGAACAGGGCTAAAGAGAGCAAATTACCTCCATATGTTGCCTATTAACCTCTTGGACAAATGATTGGTAACACTTAGTGTATGCAGGTGGGAATAAGAGCAAGCGCCTGTCTTATTTTTTTGAGACCCTGTCTTATTTTTTTGTGTGATGGTCTCACTGTTGTCCAGGCTGGAGTGCAGAGGTGCTGTCACAGCTCATTGCAGCCTCGACCTCCCAGGCTCAGGTGATCCTCCCACTTCAGCCTCCCAAGTAGCTGGGACTACAGGCATGTGCCACCACACCTGGCTAAATTTTTTTTTTTTTTTTGGAGAGAGGGGGTTTCACTATGTTGCCTAGGCTGGTCTTGAACTCCTGGCCTCAAGAGATCCTCTTGCCTCATCCTTCCAAAGTGCTGGGATTACAAGCGGGAGCCACTGTGCCTGGCCTAGAAGATCTGTTTTCTTTTCTCTGAATAATTCTTGTGACACTGTCTCTCCCTCCATCTCTTTCTGTTTCTTTGTCATTTTTCCCAGCTATCCTTTTTTCCTTGTCTTGTCCTCTTCTCCCCTCCATCCTAAAACCTTTGATCACAAGCTAGTTTCCTTTCCACATCATCTGCTCCCCTCTACTAAACGCTATTTCGCCCCCACCTGCTTTCAGCTGTGCTTGCCTCTGAGCCCCTCTTTCACCACGGCCCAGATGGGGTGCACGTGCCAGCTTCCCTGTCAGCAGCTCTTGTGAGCAGCAACTGCTGCTAACAAGCTTCCCGAAAACTAGGAAAAGAGATACACCATTAAATACCAAGCAGTAATTTGGAGACAAAAGAAAACATCACATCTGATTGGAATGCCTTACGTTGCATCCAGATAGTTTGGTAGGAAGGAGAAATAAAAATGTGGCGGATAGCTAGCATAATGCTAGATAGCAGTAGCAGTAGAATCTCAGTTCTTCTGTCTTTTTGTAATTAGCTCGTTCGTTCGTTCATTCATTCATTCATTCTTTCACTCAGCAACCACTTATCTGTGTCTGTTATATTGCCAGTAGTGTTTTCTTGGGTCTGGGCTTTTTGATGATAGAGCTTTCTGAGACCTGGGACCTGGCCTGGGAATTTAGTATTCGCTTGCTTTCTGGGCTGGAGAAAGACTGCCTCTAATTATACAGTTTCTCCTATGCATAGAGGTTATATTCATAAATACAGTGTACACTGAATCTTTATTTTAACAAGGGGTGTGTGTGTGTGTGTGTATGTTTGCCATGAACATACACACAGTATATTCTAAAAATTGTGGGCATATGCTTCCATTTTAACAAGCTTGAAATACAGCAATTTGAATATCTGATTAAGATTATTCAAATACTATTTTACTAGTAAAAGGAATAAAAACCTGAAGACTAGGCAAGATAGAAGACTTAACCATCTGCTTCTGCTCTGGGGTTTTTGGGACCTTCTCCCAAAAGCACTAATTTAAGTAAAACATAATTAATATATATATTTTTCAATCTACGTAGTAAAACTTTTACTAATTGGAACAAATGAGAAGGAAGACTTGCCTGAACATATTGAAAGCTGCACAGTAGAATATGTAAAAAGGAATGGCACAAGTGGAAATGGTGGCTCAGTAGAGAGCCCCATATCATGTTGAGATGAATAAGGATAGAGCTGAATAGATGCATCATTTTGAGAGGGTCACTGCCGTGAGAGTAAGTACCAGAAAAACTAGCCTTATAAGCCTTATATATGGCTTAATAGAGGTTTAATGTTTAAGAATTTGATAAGAATTACTTGTGATTAGTGCATTAAAGTTCTAACCTGAGCAGTACTGACTTGACTTCTCTTTATATTACCAATACTATTTAGAGATAAATGGGTATTCCTAAAGTGTCTGAAATGTTCTGTCTGTTAAGGAGGTCAGTAGTCTACTTTGTCACTTTTTTTTCTTTACCAGTTTCATTTTTGGACAGATGGTACAATGCTCTATACACTTGTGAGCATGTCTCAAGTTCCATATTCGAAAAATATGATTTAAAAGTGTTTAGGCTAGTGAGAATAACAGAGTTAAGAGTCATAATTGTATTTCAATTAATGAATACAGTTTTGGTGTGAGCTGGGTCTACTTTGCTTTTTAGTAGTCCATATTACTTGATAGTAAAGAGACATGTGCGTTTCAGTAGTATGTGTTTTATTACACTTGGAGGTAACTTCTGTGTCCTTTCAGGGGCTCCACCTATAAAATTAGGGAGATCCTGGCATGTCAGGGCTGAGGGTACACTCATAACACATCTTGTTTTTTTTAACTTTAAGTTCAGGGGTACATGTGCAGGTTTGTTATATAGGTAAACTTGTGCCATGCATGTTTGTTGTACATATTATTTCATCACCCAGGTATTAAGCCTAGCACCCATTAGTTATTTTTCCTGATCCTCTCCCTCCTCCCACCCTTCACCCTCCAATTGGCCCCAGTGTGTGATGTTCCCCGCTGTGTGTCCAAACATATCTTATTTGTATGTCTTATTGAACCTGGGCTCAGGGAGGTGAAAGGATTTATTATGGCAGAGCCTTTAACGGGTCCAGCACTTTTTCTAAATTCTACTTTGCTGTAGGTCTGAGAAAAGCCCAGAAGTTTATTGTGCTAGAACAATGTTATTCTCTCTTTCAGAATCAAAACCTTTCAGAACCCAGCCTTTTCATTTTCTAATAGCTATTCCTCCCTAAAGGATGCCAGGAGGAATATGTAAGTATATTTAGATAGAACGTATGCATACATCTCCATGTCTTAGAAACACCTCCACTTCCAACCCCATGTACTGTTATTTTCATTTCAGAACTGGAATTAGGCTGTGGAAGCATCTGAATTGTTCCCCTCCCTATCATCTTTTCTCTTTTTACAAATACAGTTTTACCAAAACAAACCCAGTTATAAAGGCATTACTGGAAAGTTTACTGTACTTTGGATCCATAAATATTCTTTTTTTTTTTTTTGTGCTTCTCCTCACTGTTAAGAGAAGTCTGCTGGACAAGGAGTTTTGAGTATGTGCATTTAGTGGGTAGATAGTGGTAAAAGGAAAAAGAAAAACATGCACTGGCATGAAAGGTAGTAGTATACACTCCTCCGTTTTTCCTTTAAAGCTTTAAGAGGTAGTGTGGAATAGCAGAAACAGTCCTTCCCTATATTTCTAAAGATCTGGGTTCAAGACCTGGCTTTTGCCATTTACTTGCTCTATGAGTCATATCACCTCTCTGTGTCAATATTTATGTATTCACTCACCACTTATTGAGCTTTGTCTGTCATACACTGCAGATACAACAAAACTGTCACAGCCCTGCCTTCTTGATGCTTATGTTAAGACAATGATAGTGACTGAGAATGGCGTAGTAGCAGTGTAGGTGGCGAGAAATCGTGGGATATGGGACATATTTTGAAGCTAAAGCTGATAGAATTGGTGATGGTTTAGATGTGGGATGTGAGAGAAAGATGTGTCAAGACTGACTGCTGGGGGGTTTTGCTTCTACAACATGGTGAATACTGGCATTTACTGAGAGAGTGAATGCTGGGGAGGAGGGAGGAGGTGTGTGTTGATGGTGTGGGAATTCCAGGTTGCTTTTTATATAGATGATGGTTTGGATGCCTGTTAACTTCCAAGTAGAGATGCTGAAGAGGTAGTTGGGATTTTTTTTTTTTTTTCTTTTTTGAGATGGAGTTTTGCTTTTGTTGCCCAGGCTGGAGAGCAATGGTGTAGTCTTGGCTTACTGCAGCTCCCGCCTCCCAGGTTCAAACAATTCTGCTGCCTCAGCCTCCCAAGTAACTGGGATTACAGGCATGCACCACCACGCCCAGCTAATTTTGTATTTTTAGTAGAGATGGGGTTTCACTGTGTTGGTCAGGCTGATCTTGAACTCCTGACCTCAAGTGATCCACTCACCTTGGCCTCCCAAGGTAGTTGGATATTTGAGATCGGAGTTCTGAGATAGAAATTTGGACATTGTTGGCATGCATGTGGCATTTGAACCATGCAACAGGGTGAGATCACTTCAGTAGATAGAGAAAAAGTGAAGATTGAGGCCTGAGTCCTTGGGCCACCGACATTTGGAGACTGAGAAGTGGGGGAGCTCCCTCTGGCCTCTGAGAATGAGAATGCTGGAACCTGACCTCTTTTCCTCATTTAGGTTGTTTGTAGGGATCATGTGAGATAGGTACACATAAACACACATCAAAAACAACTTAGTGCTTAATTGCATGACTAAATATAGGAGTAAGGGAGGTTACATGGATAAATCACTTTTTCACTTGATTTTTCTTCTGAAAGTCTATTTTATGGGATTGGGTGAGGTGCGTGCAAATTTGTTATATGGCAGAGGTTCCCAATGTGTAGATGTGTAAATGTGGGATTTAAGGGAGTGAAGACAGGGAGGGTATTTGGGAAATTTTACAGGGGGCCTACTGTACAATATCTGCTTTCAATACGATTATTTCTTTCTTTATTAGTCCAGAAATATATATAGCAGTAGGATCCATGAGCTATTACCTTTAACAGGATTCTCATACTAAAAAAATTTAACACTGATATTTGACATATGTAGAGCTATGTACATTTATAAAAACATGTATGCATTCTAAATGTGAATCGGATACAGTTGACGTTGTCTGCTTTTGTGGACAGATATCTGCTTGGATTCCCAGGTTTTCGTAAGCTGTTTGAACTTGTTTCATCTCAGTCTGCTCTGCCCCTTCTCTGTCACCGTCCTCGCACTGGAGATGAGGCAGGGTTTCCTGAACTGTGGGCTCTGTTCTGGGAAGACCCTGTAGCCAGCTCCTAGAGAAGACTTGCAGAAAGATGTGGGATGAGAACAGGAAGATCAAGTGGGTTGAAGGGGAAAAAACAAGAAGGCCGAGGCAAATAAAGGCAGAGGATCATTTGGGAGGGAGTTGAGGAAAGGGGCCTCCACTGTTCCCTAGGTGACCATATTTTCTCTCCCTCTTTGGGTTATTTTCTTTGTGCCTACCTGTTTTATCAGAATTGCAAGGATTTTTCCCAGGTGTTTGGGTTGTTGAGTAGTAGGTAAATATAACTTTTTCCGGGCATTACCTTCTGGAATATCTGCTTGAAGGTAAAATTGCAAAAATGGCTCATTCTCCCCTACTTTTATGAACACTGTTTTAGTCTAATCTTATTATATTGAAATCTTAGATTTTATCCCATGCTTGTGTTTATCCAATTTTATAGGGTGTGTGTGTGTGTATATATGTGTGTGGGGAATGTGAATATATGTGAATGAATGCCTTTTCTAGAGAATCTGGTATATTAAGTCATCTACCCAAGAAGAAAAGTCTTCTGAGATTGATGCTGTCAGATAAATCTATAGAATTTGAGAAATGAAAGAGAGCATAGAGAACATCTGATCCGGACTTTTCCAAATGTATATTCCATTAAAAAAGAAGTGCCTTGGTCTGATGATTTTTTTGGGAGTTGGAGACTCACTGCATTTATTAACTATGAAAGGCTTAAGAGCTCTTGCT
Source organism: Homo sapiens (assembly GCF_000001405.40). Taxonomy (NCBI): domain Eukaryota; kingdom Metazoa; phylum Chordata; class Mammalia; order Primates; family Hominidae; genus Homo; species Homo sapiens. Next base: position 64,904,468 of record NC_000001.11, on the reverse strand, counting down.
GTTAAAAATATTATTTAACTATGTTTAACCAGTGTTTCTCCAATTTTTTCACTATGGACCCTCATTTTCCTTCTCTCTCTTTTTAGAAGGATATGTACATAGAACAGTTACTATCATTGCACAGAAGTACAAGATTCCAGAAAACATAATTTGGGAATGCTAATTTAATTCTTACCTTCAAATTGAATGCGATACTTCATTTCTGTTGGTTTGTGTTCCCATATGTAGTATGAGCAGGTTGAATGAATTAATCAATTACTGTGTCACTCCTGACTGTGACATTTTCTGGTTCTGATTCGTTAAATCAATATTTAAAAATTATATCTGTTTCTATATTAAAGAACCTTGTCTTTTTTGTTCCTTACTAGAACCATAGTGTCTAATACAGTGCCTGACACATAGTAGTGTCTCAGTAAATGTTACTGAACAAATATATACCTGTTAGATTCAGAGCACTGAACTAGCTATGTCTTGAGGCTGCAGAGAGAATGATCTTGTTTTTGCTCTCAAGGAACTTGTAGTCAAGTCATTAACTTTCCTAAGAGCATGGAATGTGCCATGGAGAGGTCCCAAATTAGAGCTTGATTGTGATAATCTATAGGACAAAGATAGATTGGACATTATTTCTGACCCTGTGTCAGATGTGTGGATTACAACACAGCTGGGTTATGTTAACATAACTTTCATGACAAGAAGTGTCTTTCAGTAATAGTCACTGCAGCAGCCACATAGTCGTTTTATCCCTGGCAAAGACTTTATGATGCTATCAGCACTAAGAGATTGGAGCTAGTATTATTCCCATTTTAGTAGATAAAAGAGCTAAGGCTCAGAGATTTAGAGACATGTCTAAGTTGACATACCTCCTGACTGAAAAGCCAGAATTAGGACCCAGGTATGTGATTCTAAACCTTGTGCACTTATCCACTAGGCTTCCTGTCCTCTCACCAATACTAGTATCTTTCATTGTCTCATTTGTATTAGAAGCTCACCTTGAACAGGCTCAGAGAATTACACATTTCCAGTCTTCATTGTGTCCCTGCTCTGCTCCCTCTGTCCCCATGCCATGAGGGCTGCTTTCTTTACAGCTGATGTGCTAGCTAGGGTGAGTTTTGGAGCAGGTAATAAAAAGTTTACAGACTTTGGGCCAGATGCGGTGGCTTACACCTGTAGTCCCAGCACTTTGGGAGGCCGAGGCCGGTGGATCACCTGAGGTCAGGAGTTCGAGACCAGCATGGCCAACATGGTGAAACCCCGTCTCTACTAAAAATGCAAAAATTAACCAGGCGTGGTGGTGCATGCCTGTAATCCCAGCTACTCGGAAGGCTGAGGCAGGAGAATCGCTTGAACCTGGGAGGTGGAGGTTGCAGTGAGCTGAGATCATGCCATTGCACTCCAGCCTGGGTGACAAGAGCAAAACTCTGTCTCTTTGTCCTTACCAACCATGTTGGCAGCATCCATATTCTAGGCTGCAGATAGGAGAAGGAATTAAGAAAACGGGGCAAAGACCTTACAGTGGTCTCCAGGGTAGAAGCTGCCACACAGTACTTTTGCTTTTATCCTGTTGGCCAAACTTACTCACATGGTCATATCTTGCCGCAAAGGAAGCTGGCAATTGTAGTCACTATTGTGAGCATTCTTGTGCACAGCTAAAAATTACTGTTGAAGAAGAGGAAGGACAATGGCATACAATCAGCTGTCTCTTCCACCACTGCGTATTGGGGTCTGGTGCCCATTCACTCCCCTCTTCTGACTTTTGGCTAGTAGCTAATCCTTTTCCCTGTCCTTACCTTTATCCTTTAACTCCCTTCTTCCTATTATTTAAATGTTCTCAAGTCTCTTCCATCTTAACATGCCATAACACACACACACACACACACACACACACTCTCTCTCTCTCTCTCTCTCTCTCTCTCTCTCACAAATTCATGAGTAAAGGCACCATGTCCCCAGTGCTCATGTTATATACTCAGATCCTTGTGCAGGGCATAGTACATAGGGGTTTTTCAACAACTCTTTGTTGAGAGAGCAAGTGGGTGAGTGAAGGGTTGAAACATTTCCCTCTATCCTTTATCCTCGGATTGACAGAGAGATGCTGCTGTCTGTCTTAACATCTATGGCACAAATGACAGGACTGATGATTTTACTCCCTTTAGTGCTGAGGAGGCTGTTTGGGACCATGAAGTAGTTCTAGAAATGTATCGTGCTGAGAAGAGCACTAAAGGGAGTAAAATACACATCAGTTCTGGTTTTGTTGCTTACTAGCTACAATGACATTTGGCAAATTATGTAATGTCTTTGAGCCTCAGTTTCCTCATTTGAGGAAGTGAAGACTCCATTGACCTCACAATGATTAAATTAGAAAACTGTGATAAAGAATACACCCCTGATAATATTATTTTGGCTTCTTATGGTGATTTTTAAGATTAAGGAGTATCATCATCCCTATTTTATTTCTCTAAAATAATATTTAAAAAAACGTAAATGCCCTATACAATAGAGTATTATTTGGTCACAAAAAGAATGAAGCACTGGTGCATGCTACAGCATGGATCCCCTGAGGACATTGTGTAGGTGAAAGAAGCCAGACACACACATTATATGATTCAATTTCTATGAAATGTCTAGACTAGGCTAATAGACCAGTGGTTGCTAGGGGATGCGATAGGGGAGAATGGAGAGTGACATGGGGTTTCTTTTTGGGGTGGTGAAATGTTCTGGAAGTAGATAGTGATGATGGTTGCACTCTTTTGAGATTACACTAAGAACCACTGAATTGTGCACCTAAAAAATAAGTTAAAAATTTAAATGTCATTATAGGGCATTATAATTATAAGTAAGAGAATACTTTTAAAACTGTGTCTAAGTTTTGGTTCACAGTTTGTCAATGATTCTTCTGTAACAGAAACCAACATCTGGTTGGTTTTTTGAGTTTTTTCACCTGCTGGCTGACCTTACTTGACATACTGTATTAGACTTTCTTTATCTTTCCAGGCCTACGCAACTCTCAGCACACTGGGAAATCTCAGGGCATGGTGTTCCATTAGAAAGAAGAGTAAGCATGTGGGCTTCTTCGTGGGTACCATGATGGGAGAGAATAGAAAATAAGAAGTTAAATAATTCCTCGCAATTCTGTTAGGCATATAAACTACACATTTAATATTATAAAACAGTTTTATAAATGCACTTGGTCTATGGTGTCTGCATGGATTAGGTGAGTACTTCTGGAAGGAGGTGGGGATAGTCAGAGAAGGCATGCTGGGGAAGGAAATGTTTAAACATTTGCTTCTTACACAGACATTTATTGAATATCTGGCATGCCTTAGGCATTGTTATTTGGTGTTGTATGTACCCAGATAACAGCTGCAGTCCCTGCCCTCAGGGTGCTCAAAGACAGCGAAGACAGATGATTCTACAGACAGTTAGGGAGCAGGATGTAAGTGCTACTCCAAAGGTAAGCACAGGACTCTCTGAACGCCTCACTTGGGAAATGGGAGAAGTCAGGGAAACCTTGATGGAGATGATTCCTGAGCTAGGAACTGAAGGATGAGTGGGGACAGCAAAGGCTTGGAGGACAAAGTCATGCTGGATTACAGGAACTGCAGGTAACTCAGTACGTTTGGAGTTCAGGGCACAAATGGGGATGAGCCATGAGAAGTTGATTACAAGTAGCCTTGTAAGCCATGTCACCTAAGAGAGTAAGAAATAAAAGAGTTTTAGAGCATGATACTTCCAGATTAGCAGTCTAGAAATAAGACTGGCTGCATTGTAGAGACTTGGAATAGAAGCGGACGAGAATGAAGGCAGAAACTTTCAGGAGATTGTTGCAGTAATTTGGGAGATAAGTGGGTAGAGACAACAGAGTTAGAACAGAGACAACAGAGTTAGAACGATTAGGGCTTGCTCCCCAAGTGGATATGGTCGCAGTTCCTAGGACTCCAAGATCTCTGTCCACTTCGCTGTCTCACTTCATGTCAGTCTGACCCCAGCCTGCCTTCTAAGTCTTGTTTTCTTCTCTTCATGAAATGCTTAAGTCTTGTGCTTACTGTCCCCAGAACTCGCTTGGTGATTTAATGTCTGTTACCTTTGATTACACCTTTATCTTCACCTAGAATGGAGCTCATCTGTTCCCTTTACCTTCTTAGATCTCTGACTTATGAATCCTTTGGAATAATTCCATGCTAGAATGATCTCTTTGTCCTCTGAAGTCATAGCACTTAATATCTCTATCAGTCAATGACAAATAATTATGTTTTGCCTTGTCACATCTCTTAATTGCTTTGAATTGCTAGTCAATCTTGAGCCATTGCAGCAGGTAGAGAGGTGAATTGGCTCTCCTGAATTCCTACTCCCAGCCCTAATTTCCTGTATAACCCAGGGGGAATGACTTTTCTCCCCTCATTAGTGTAGTAACACATATTTGATGCAGAACACTTAGAAAATCTCTAAAAGTGTGCAAAATGAAGTAACTACTATCACAAACACCTTGGAATACTCACAGGTAATTATTCTTGTAATGTCCTCCCCATCCATTTTGTCACCGTTTCTTTAGGATTACATGTGTGCGTCTATGCATCATAGCTAGGATCATCCTATACATGCTGTTTTTCAATTTGATTTTTTCATTACCATATTGTAAGATTCTTGTGTCAAAACATAGGAGAATCTTCAAGTCCAAATTGAAAGTGGAGCTAAATTGTTCTCAGGGAGAGTTGTACAGATGAGTATCCCCTATCTGAAATGCTTGAGACCAGACAATTTTCAGATTTCAGATTTTTGGGATTTTATAATATTAGCACTATGCTTACCCATTGAGCATCCCAAATCTGAAAATTCAAAATCCTCCAATGAGCATTTCCTTCAAGAAATGTGGTAGTCAAAAAGTCATATTTTGGAGCATTTCAGACTTCAGATTTTTTGATTTGGGTTGCTCAGCCTTACCAAAAACTGAATAGTGACTATCTCTGGGAGGAGGGAGGGGAACTTTGGCTTTTCAGTGATATCTTTCTATAATGTTGAATGTGTGCATTTATGATGAGTCTAAATGATTTTTAGAGTTGTCACCCATAGTTTATAGGTGACAGTAATTTATACTTCTACCTAATCCAGGCTTATATTTACATTTAAAAAGAAGTATAACACCAACTTTACTGACTAGATAGATAAACAATTTTAATTTACTGAAATTTCACCTTTTCACCATGATTATAGGTCCTTTTTCCATTAGTTGTTTCCATTTCCTTTGCTGTCTAATGACTTAGATTTGAGTCCTAGGTAATAAATACATGTGATCTTTCACAAGTCACTTAGTGTTTCTAAGCTTTAGTTTGCTTATGAGTAGAATAAGAGGAATGATACTTCAAATTATTGTGAGGATTGAGATCAAGTATTGAAAGTGCTTTGTAAATTGTAAAAAGTATATAATTATTGATTTTTTATTGATTTTTATATTAGTCAATGGTCATGAGCAGTTAAGCCAACTTTGCTTTTTTAAAAATTCATTTGGAGAAAGACTAAAAAGGCAGAGGTGCCTTCATTAATATTTATTTTGGTGCAATGTGGGATCCATGAGATTTGGGTTTGTGCCACATTTCTGCTGCTAATTATTAGCTATATATACAGCTGAAATGCACTGAACAAGCACAGTTTTGGCCAGGCCCAGAAATGTTCAGGGAGCACCTGGCTGGACATACATCAGAGAGCTTGGTGACCTGATAAAGCATTCATGCAAGCTCCTGGAGACTGTTTAACTGGATGACAGTAGAAGGAAACTATTTATGCAAATTTTGCTAACTGAAGTTCTCCCACACCCTTGAGTCCACATTTCACAGGCTTGTGAGATGGAAATGGGTCAAAATCAGGTTCTAATAATCTCTTTGTCATCTGCAGTCATGCCTGAGAAGGTCTGATATGGTCTTCTGAATCATCAAGGGAAGGTAGAATTTCATCCAACATGACTTTTGTGCATTTGCTGTATTCAGCTCCCTGGAAACATAGGTGCCTTAATTTTATCAGTTATCCAGAACACTGAATTCTGGATAATAGAGGAACAGGGCTGTGTAAACAACTCTGCTGAGTAATAGATGGCCTCCTGGCCTCTGGTTTCTGACTCTGTATTCCCTTTTATCCAAGGACAAGATGTTACAAAAATAATTCAGAGTGACTCCCAAGGGCAGCCCCGTGAACTTGCTGGTCCCTCCGACTGTGCTAGCAGAGGAGGATGAGTCACCAGCAGCAGAATGTTGACTCTCCCAGTGCTATTAGTGGATGTCCCAGCCAGACGCGACAACCAGGAAGACAAGCTTTGGGAAAGTTCTTTCTGACTCATTAACATCATGATTTACACAAGAAAACCTCTAGCTTCTCATTTTATTTTATTTTTTAAAGAAGTTTCCTTTTTGTATGTGTGTATAGCGAGGTGGGGCAAAGGTATGGATCCCTCAAATGAATATTCAAATTAGCTCTTACCCATAGCAGTATTTGAACTGTTTGCTCAGTTAAATTTTATTGTCCTTTCTCAATGTACAGTGCCTATATATCCATCAAAGAGTAGCAGATTCATTAAGAATCTTTAAAAAGAAGGACATTATTTTTACACAGTTGAATTTCAGGTGTCCTATGCCCATGCCTTTCCCATCATTTCCTATGTGTGAGAACCCCCACCCCACGTAGCACACCTTCACATACTGGGGACTTTCCACTTGAGGAATTCACATGAATCTGGGGATCTGCATTCTCCTTGGGTAGTATCCCCTCAGAAGAAAATCCAGACTCCTTAGGGGGCATTTGTAGCCTGGGCCCAGTTTTCCTCCTTACCTCATCTTTTTTGGTTCTACACAAACCTGTTTAGTCTTCAGTCAAGTGCCTTACCCTCCGGCTTTCCTCCTCCTCCTCCTCCTCCTCCTCCTCCTCCTCCTCCTCCTCCTCCTCCTCCTCCTCCTCCCTCCCCCTCCCCCTCCCCCTCCCCCCTCCTCCTCCCCCCCTCCCCCTCCCCCCCTCCTCCTCCCTCGTCCTCCTGCTCCTCTTCTTTTTTTTTCTCTTTTTCTTTTGGGATGCAGTCTTGCTCTGTTGCCCAGGCTGGAGTGCAGTGGCACAGCTCACTGCAACCTCCACCTTCTGGTTTAAGCGATTCTCCTGCCTCAGCCTCCCAAGTAGCTGGGACTACAGGTGCTCACCACCACACCTGGCTAATTTTTGTATTTTTAGTAGGGACAGGGTTTCACCATGTTGGCCAGGCTGGTCTCAAAGTCCTGACCTCAAGTGATCCACCCGCCTCGGCCTTCCAAAGGGCTGAGATTGCAGGCGTGAGCCATCGTGCCCAACCCCACTTTCCTTCTTTTGCTATTTCTTCATGTTTCCCTTATTTGGAATGTTGTCCTCACTCAGCTCCTGTTTTCATCCTGTTTGTATCCCACCTTCTTCGTAGTGATAGTAGTAGTATTGCATGCCTGCTGTGAGCCAGTTTTCCTACTGTGTTTATGTATATATTTTTCCAAGAGTTTAAAATAAGCCTGTAAAATAATTATGATTATCCTTATTTGCAAATGAGAAAACAGTCATAGAAAGTTAAAAATTATTCAAAGCCAGCTACTAAGTGGCAGGGCTGAGGTTTTCCTGAGCCTGAACATTCAACCCCACCATGCTGGTTTTCCCTGCCGTCCTCTGGATCCGATCAAACTCACTACACCAGCCCCACTCTTAGACCTTCTCCAGACGTGCTCTTTTCGCTTGGTCGGGTGTGTCCTGTGTTTGGCAATCAGTCATGTATTATTACCTTGCTATGTGCTTGGGTTGCTAATTCTTCTTTGGCGATATATCTTTTGTTGTTTTCTTTTCTTCTTACTGAGCTGTGCATCGCAGGCTTTACACAATGCGTTTTTGTTGATTTTACTTAATTAATGATGTCCTGGAACAAGTGAGTTATTTCTCCTAGTTATATTTAGCCCAATTAGTTATTTACATCCTACCATAATATTTGCCTCCACTAATTGCTAAGTAGTCTTGCAAATTATCCTTCAGTCTTCTTTTTCTATGCTTTTATTCCTGGGAAGGAAAGACAAAAGAAGCTCCGTGGCTGGAGTCTGTAGTGTATCCCATCCCCTGCAAAGAAACCAACAGAAAAATTAAGTGGAATGACCAGGCATTGCCACTAAATAGTTTGATACTTTGAAATGGATGCCAGTTTGGCTAAATTCAAGTGTTGTCTGTTAGACAAGGGCTATTCGTAAAAGAATTGTGAATGTAAGCATGCTCTGGACTGTGCTTCAAGGATGCAAAAAAGTGTCATTGAGACTGCCTTCCTATGTGCAGAGTGGGAAAAGGAGCATTTATCTTGAGAAAGAATAACTGCATCTGATCACCGTTTTCAATTCATTGATAGGGAAATACAATTAAAGATTCCTAACCTATTTCAGGATACCCATCTACCATCTAAATCTCCAAGACTTGGATAGCTTCCCCGTTCCCGAGTAGTTCCCCATTGACAGGCATGCACTGAACTCTTCATTTACGATAACCGTTGTTTCCATGAAATACACTGAAAATTTTGCACAGTTGCAAGGTACACAGAATGGATTTTGAATTCTTTTGGTTGTACGAAGCATCCCTAGATGTGATCATGAAGTTAGACACCTGGGACTGTGAGAAAATAAGTCATGTGTAAGAAGAGTGGTTTGGCAGAATTTTAAAAATAGACCTTCCATGCTTTGTGGGTATAGTTTCTACATATTCTAGATCTTTGTGGTACCATTATATGGCTGTAGGAGGTAACCAACTGAAGAGCTTTCTGGGAGGAGAAGCTTATTGTGAAATGAAGACTGTGCATATGCGTTGTATGGGTCTCAGTCCAGCTGTTTGTATTGAAACATCATAGGCTATACATTGTGAGAAAAGAGAAGTAATCTTGTGGTAACCAAAGAAGTTTGAGGTGAAATATGTCTCACTGTTTCATATTCAGCTGGGGAATGTCTCACTGTTTTATATTCACTTTCTTATATTTGCTGAAATAAAAACAAAAATAAGGTAAATTTGATTAGTAGTAACCTTGTTGGGTCCTTTAAAACAGTGTTTTTCAAACTGTAGTCTGTTAATCTTTACTGGGCTGTGAAATCTGTTTTGTGGGTCTTGTTTAGCATTTAAAAATGTATTAAATATAAGAAAATGTAGAATAGAAGGTAGAGGGAATGGCACATAGTAAGGATCAATATCTTTTTGTGAAACTTGTATGTCATATACACACATGTGTACTACAAAATATATTTTTTACGGTGGATCATGGTCAAAAAAGACTGCAAAGCTGTTTTAAGCATGGCTGTCAGCATAGGTTCCTAGGATATCAGACAATGATGTGTAACCCTAGCTGGATTCTTGGCTGAATGCTAGGGGAAACTGGGGCAGACTGGGGAGGAGTGAGAGGTGGCACAGTGGCTCCAGAGGCGCTGTGGTGACCTGCCGATCCTGCTCTGCCCTGATGCTGCTGCCGCCTTGGTGAAGACTAAGTGCATTACTCATTATATGGATAGGGTTCGCTGAGAGCTCTGCCAGCAGTTTAAGATTGGAGTCTTTGTTGGCAGGGCAGTTTCAAAGCTGAACATAAAAACTGGTTACAGTTTTTTGGTTGAGGGGGCCAAGTGTAGGGGGGCCATGTAGAGAAAGATTTTTCTTGAGATTTCCTGGTTTTTTTTTGTTTGTTTTTTGAGACGTAGTCTTGCTCTGACACCTAGGCTAGAGTGCAGCAGCATGATCTTTGCTCTCTGCACCCTCTGCCTCCCGGGTTCAAGCGATTCTCCTGCCTCAGCCTCCTGAGTAGCTGGGATTACAGGCACCCACCACCACGCCCGGCTAACCTTTTTTGTTTTTTGTTTTTTGTTTTTTTTAGTAGAGACGGGGTTTCACCATATTGGCCAGGCTGGTTTCGAACTCCTGACCTCAAGTGATCCGCCCACCTTGGCGTCCCAAAGTGCTGGGATTACAGGCGTGAGCCATTGTGCCCCGCCTCGTTTTGTTTTGTTTTCTCTCCTAACTTACATTTTGAGGCAATAGCTGAGTACCTTTGGTGCATAGACTGAAATGGACATTTGCCATTTGGGGGGTTGTCTAGCATTGGAACCCCCTTTGTTTCTAGAGTGGTCTCCCATTGTTGCTGTGGAAGCTGAAGGAGGTGCAGACACATAACTGAGGGCAAACTAGGTTCAACCTCTTCGATTCCTCCTCGTCAGGACTTTGAATCTGGAGGGAGTGGTGCAAACATACAGAGGTGGCTTGAGATCATTCATGGAAGCAGCAGAGTTGGGAGTCCAGTCCTGGTGATGGCTGGTGACCGGTGGAGGCTGTGCGAGCAGTGGTGTCCTTATCAGGCTGTTCCTCTGTCCTTCTGTCTTTCCCTTAAACTCATTTTACCCTTAGGTAAGCAGAGCTGGTTTCTGTTGATTGTACCCAAGAACACTGAGTGGATATAGGAAGCATGTTAGATTTGTGTCTGCCCTAAATGAACTTAGTATGTGACAGGTGAGAAGAAGTAGGTGAATGCTTGGTAGACACAAATAGTAAAATTTAGCAAGGGGTGGAAGGATTCAGGGTTGTTTTCCTTTGTATTCCTTTAAATTATGGGTACCTTCAAGCTTTGTCAGATGACTTATCAGCAGGAGATTCTATGTCTTTACATTGTGACATTTTGGAAATACATGTTAATAAAAAATGAGCTATGTTAGGTGCAGTACAAAATGGTTTCAAACTTTTATAAGTTAGGGTTTGTTTTATTTGTTTCTTTTTTCAGTTTTAAGCTTTTTAAAAGCCTTGCGCATACTCACAGAAAACTGATTTCCTAATGGGTGTGAGCATTTTATTTTAGCATTAAGAGATTTAGGGAAATCTTGAATCATCATCACAACAACCCTGTAAAGTAGATACTTCTATTATTCTGAGGAAACAAACTCAACAGAGGTTAAGAAACTGGCCTAAGGTCTCAGACAGTGGGTGTTAGAGCTGGGATCTGGACCCAGGTTAGGGTGACTCCAAGAGCAGGCTTTTAACTGCTTCTATAAGGAACTTTGGAGGGCATCCAATACTTTTTCATTATGCAGGGTTTGAGCTCAGAGAGGTTAAGAGGCTTGCTCAACACCAGGCAGGTCCTAGTGGATCTGGGCTGGAACATGGGCCTCTTTCTGACTGGTGGGAAGAAGCTCTCGCACAAGCTCTGTTCCTCTTGCACCCTCCCCTCCTTTCCTTGCTGTCTGCCTTTTTCCTGCAAGATTCTTCCTGTCTGCATACTCTTTCCTGCACAATTGTGCTTGTGATTTTCCTTCTTCCTGGCCTTTATTTTTATTTTTTTTAAAGAACAGCTGTACCTTTCCTCTCTCTTTTTCAGTCTTCTCCATTTCTGAAAACTGAGAGCAGATTCCTCTCTCCTTAATCCCCTCTCAGCCCAAAGCATGGCCCTTGTGTCCTCTGTTTTTGACTCCCATGGTTCTCAGTGTCTGTCTCTCAGCATGCCCTCACAGCCTCTTCCCTGGGGTTCCCGTGTATATGTTAGTCTTGCCAGCTGTCAGTAGATTGTAAGATTTTTGGCATGCTCAGATGTATTTGTGTTACTTCTTTGGATTCCCCTGAAGTCCCACACCTTGCCCAAGGCAGAGTGGTAAATGGAAAGGGGAGTGAGGCTACAGCTGAGAAATGTGTTTGAGACCTATCTCACCTCTCACTGGCCAGTTGACTGTGGGAACGCCTTAGCCGAGTCTTCCCATCTGAAGGGGCTGTGAAACTCGAATGTGGTTTAGATGTGAAAGCCCTTTTTAAGCCATAAAGTGCTATATAAATGCAAGGTTTTATTGTGATGGCACAAGTGCTTCAGAAGTATTTTTGGGATAAATGATTAAAAAGCACATATTGTGCCTGGGTGAGTTGGTTCATGCCTGTAACCTTAACAATTTGGGAGGCTGAGATGGGAGGATTGCTTGAGCCCAGGAGTATGAGACCACCTTGGGCACCATAGTGAGACCCCTTTCCCAAAAACAACAACAACAAAAATTAACTGAATGTGGTAGTGTGCACCTGTTATCCCACCTTCTTGGGAGGCTGAGGCAGGAGGTTCACTTGAACCCAGGAGGTCAAGGCTGCAGTGAGCCATGATTGTGCCACTATATTCCAGCGTGGGTGACAGAGCGAGATTCCATCCCCCTCCATCCCCCCCAAAAAAGCACATACTATGAAGACAAGCCATTCTCCCCACCCCGCCATGTTTTGAGTGTCCATTTGTGCCACCAAGTCTTTGACCCTGGGGTAAGGATATGGATGGCTTCACTAAATCTTATATTCATTGCTCTTTAATAAGATTATGGATGTGTTAGTGGTAATTAGTTTAAAAGAAGAAAAAGTTTTTTAGAAAAGGAAAAGTAACAAAGTCTCTTGGTACAATGTGGCTTTTAGAAAGACACTTACTGACTTTAAGCAAAGTACTGTATTTACTTTTATCAAAAACTGTCTCTCACTGAATGCAGGCTCCTTGGGAGCAGTGCGAAGCACCGAACCATTGAGCTGGCATTGATTATTTAATCATCCCTAGTTTATTGTAAATGAAGCAGCACTTACGGTTCTGGGGTATTCCTGGAATTGCTGCTATAGTTAGAAGTGAGTTATTCTGTGTGGCAGGAGTGGCATATAGAAAAGCCATAGTTCTGACTTCCTGACAGGAAAAATAGCAGATTTTGTATTTATATGATGTCGTCCTTTTGGCTGGAATCCATCAGCTTTACAGTATCTTGTGATGCTTTCATCAGAACTGTTATTCCACGTCTCAGCATAGCAGTGGGGTCCCAGTAGCAATAGATACAAGTCATTTTCGGTGGCTCTATGGGTGTGAAGCCACTGGCAGTTTCCCTGGCTTGTTGTGTAGGTTAGGCTGTTAGGAGGCTTCCTGTTCACATGTTGCTAGGACTTTCCTCTCACACTGTGGCAGTGGTGCCAGGGCAGAGCATTAGTAGTGGGCAGGAACACAGGGAAGGCTGGGGCCATGCAGTGATTTTTTAAATGACAGTCCTTTCAGTCTACAGAAGGAAGAGTGTTGGAGTAAGATCAGTCTCCTGGGTGGTTGTTAGACTATGAAAAGTACTAAAAAACCAGAGAAGACAGTGGTGTTGCTGATGGGGACAGTTTAGAGCAGTTCTTCCCCACTGTGGAACGAGCAGGGTCCTTAGAATCAGTAGTCACGTGTTTGACTCCTGGCACTCTCGCTGATTAGCGTAAAACCTCTCATGCTTTTTATGAGAATTAAGTGCGAGTGCCTAACTCCAGGCTCAAGATATTGAAATGCTTAGTAGATATTGTTTTTTTTTTCCTTGACTGGAACTGTATATTTCATCAAGCTGTAATCAGTTTAACAAATTATGGTCAAAATATGAGTGCTTACTGCATGCTAAACTCTGTTGGGCATTTTACATGCATTGACTGACTTAACTCTTAATAGCCCAGTGAGATAAATGCTATTTTTATCTCCCCACTTACACCAAGAACATTGAAGGTTAGGGATATTAACTAACTTGCCTAAGATTACAATAGCTAGTCGGTGGAGACGCCAGAATTCAAACCCAGGTTGCAATGACTCCAGCCCGTGCTCTTAACTGCTTTGCTGTGTCATCTGAGCTTTATGAAATGGGGTTTTGATTTGTATCTAGGCTTTTGCTCAGAATCCCTATTTAGACTTTGCTCTTCGAAGCAGATTCATAGCCCACTTTAGTCCTGTGCCATAAAGACTATTTTATATTGCGTCAATACCTTTTTGTACACTTACACATCTATAGCCTCTTGCAAAAAGGGCATTGTAGGTACTTGATGAAGAGTTTTTGAAAGTTGTTTGTTTTTAAAAAGAGACAACATCTTGCCATATTGCCCAGGCTGGACTCAAACTCCTGGGGCTTAAGCAGTTCTCCTGCCTCAACTTCTCACTGAAAGATATTTTTAATCCTTGTACCAACCCTCTAGGCAGGATGTTTCCTCTTAGGTTAATGGGTAGGGAAACTGGCTTAGATGAAAATGACTTGCTCATGGTCACACTTGCTAGTATAGAGTTAGTGGGAACCTACACACCTTGGATTACTGTGCTTTTTTTCATTGCATAATGTTGCTTACTTTGTACCTTCATCTTTCATTTACAGCTGTTACCGAACATACTTCTTGATCACCTAATTTGTGCTGAGGATAAAGCACTAAATACAAGACAAAAAAAAAAAATCCTGATCTTCCTGTAGTTTTCATTGTTGTGTTAGGTTTCCTTACCAACGTTAAGACTGCTGCCTGCTGAAATAGTTGATTAAGGCTTAAGATTTTTAGTCTTAAAATTTCTTAAGATATTAAGAAGCTGATTTCAGGGCATTTTCTAAATTACATATTTTTCTTTCAGTTTTTCTGAGTTCATACCTTAATTCATAAACATTTTAGTTGTATTTTCTACTTCAGAAATCAAAAGGTTTGATTCCTTTAAGGCAAACACAAAGTAATTCATTGTAGGTGTGATGGTTTCTTTTATATCCATAGTATTTTAATTCTTGTCATTGAGTTTCACTGTCAACCAGTCTGTTTTTAACGGTAAAAATCTGGCAGTGGCCCTTGGCCAAAGTGGTCTCATTCTGATGATCATATTTATGAACATTAAAATAGTCTATTTTTATTTCCTTGTCCACTATCCAAAATGTGTGTTCTTCCCTTGCGCAGATACCAGTCTTTCAAAAGATGCCCTTGAAAATTTAAGAGAGTTCCAGTTTTTTCAGATAGATTTCTGGAATTTTGCATCTTGGAAAAATTTCTGACATTTTATCTATTGCAGTGAGGCTTTGTTCCAACCCACAGAATTGTGTCTTGTTTCTTTTATTTTTTCCCTTGTTGAGAAAGTGTCAGATATACTTGTCTTTTTTATAAGACTGTGGTAAACTGAAGCAATTTGAGTAACCCACAAAATTTCCCTGATTTTTTTTTCATGTAAAACAGCACCTACAAAATTGAGCTACAAAAGTAATCCTCTGTCACCAAAAGAAAGGTATTTTCTTTCAAATCCTTGACAATTTTATAAATAAATTCGGGTGGAAGAATTCACTGCTATCACCAAAAACCTTCTGATTACTCTTCCTGGTCCTTCCTGTTTTCTAAGTGTCTTTATATTCATTTGAGTTGGGAATTGAACCCAGTGAATCATGTTCTTTTTAAAGGGTATTTTGTGATTGCTCCTGGTGAATCTTTCTAGCATTGATGATTTTTCCTTTTGTATATTGCAGCAAGAAACTTGAATTTATTTCTTGGAATTATCCAAAGTGTTTATTAATATAAACTGATCTTGCTCCTTTTCTACTTGCTCTAAAAATAATCAGCTAGATCACATTGTCTGGTTTATTTTAGAAGAAATATTATTTGGATGAAGCCATTACACAAATGCTGTAGCACACACACAAAAAAACCGCTTGTCATCCTGAATGAGGACAGTTGTCATTTCATATAAAGTGGATCAGCAGCCTTAGGTTTAAAGTGCTTAGAACAGTGCCTCCCATGTCTTCTAAGTGCTATGTGGGTGTTTTCTATTTTTATCATCAGAATGGCAATTCCCTGAGAGTAGAGATTTTGTTGTTATTGAATCGGCATTCAAAAGCATCACAGTTAATGCATATTGTCTTGAAATTCTGTTGCTGTTCTTGTTTTCTCGAAGAGTTTAATCTCTAGGCTAAGCATCACAAATCTATACCATTTTACTGTTGTGTTCAATAATACTGGAGGTCAGTTTGAAGATTAGGTATAATGTGATTGCAATGTAGTATTGCTTGCAGAAGAGACAGAATGATTGGAAAACCAAACTCCCCTTGATTACTGGTTTTTGTAGAATTCTAGTTCTAAAAGAATCTTAGTGATTTTAGTCAGATCCTTGAATCTTACATGAGGCTAAGAGAAGTTCCATGACTCCTAAGTTGAAGTAACACATGGTCTGATAGTGCATATTAAAAAACTTTTTAAGTTCTGGCCAGGTGTGGTGGCTCACGCCTGTAATCCCAGCACTTTGGGAGGCTGAGGCGGGCGGATCACGAGGTCAAGAGATCGAGACCATCCTGGCCAACATGGTGAAACCCTGTCTCTACTAAAAATACAAAAAATAGCTGGACGTAGTGGCGCATGCCTGTAGTCCCAGCTACTCGGGAGGCTGAGGCATGAGAATCACTTGAATCTGGGAGGCAGAGGTTGCAGTGAGCTGAGATCATGCCACTGCACTCCAGCCTGGCGACAGAGTGAGACTTAGGCTCAAACAAAACAAAACAAAACAACAACAGAAAAACACCTTTGTAAGTTCTAAAAAGGTTTATATGGTAGCCCTTCTGAATGGAGCCTGGGCCTGGTGGAACTTACAGTTCTCTTCCTGTCCTAAAAGGCTGAGTTGTGACCCTTTCCGGGTTTGAGGCATGCTTTTCAGTACTCCCCTCTGGTCAGTTTTCACTGATCCTTGGCAGCTGGTAACGGTATGCTGTGAGGAAACCTGGGGTAGACAGGCTCCAGACATGCAGTTAGCAAGCACTGCCTATGGACTGGCTAGTGCTGTTGGGTGCCCAAGTGTAAAAAGGAGTATTGTGAGGTTTTCCTGTTCAAGCAACGGGAGAGACAAGCCTAGCTCCTTTCTGCTATAGGACCTTTTTCCCCACACATGCTGATCCTTTTGCTGAGACTGCTATCTCCGTTTTGGCTTCATGCCCCACCTCCATGGACATCCATTGCATCTTAACTCAATGTCCCTTCCCTCCTGAGCCCCAGACCAGATCACATTCCCTCTATTTTATGTTCTCTACTTTTCCTTCATAGCATTTTAGCTCTTTGTAATGACCTCTTTCTGTACATCTTAGTTTGATTCCATTCTTCCCATTGACTGTAAGCTCCACGTAGGCAGGGACCGTATTGCCCTTGTCCTTTGAATTAGCTTAGTTTCTGCAGAGCTGTTTGAAAATACTTGTTGAAAGAGTGAATCTCTTCAACAAGTATAGCATCTGAAGTCCTGCTTATGAGCAGAAGCAAGGCATTAGCATGTAGCTAGTTTCTAAGTGCTGTTCTGAGGCAGGGCAGGGTGTTTATTCACATAATTAAAACAATTGATTATATTAATTTTTAAAAAACTTTTGTGCAGTGATTTTAATCTTGTTAAAATTGGCCATACCAAAATAGCCAAATCAAAGTCATCACAATCAAATTCATACTTGTCTCCCCTGCCGGGCTTTCCATCATTACTTTTACTTAAGTCTTACCCACTGCAGAAAGCCTTCCCAAGCCAGCCCTTGCCAGTGTCAGTCACCAGAGCTAACAACATCCTGACGCACTCACACTATTGATTTTAGGTTGCTTTTGTGTTTCCATTTGTGCTGTCTCCAACCTTCTATTGTAAGGCCCTGTGGGGATGCTGGCCTCGTGGCCTCAGAGGTAACCCATCTCCCTCTCCCCCTTCGCTGCTGCCCTGTAATGCCTGGGACTATGCTCTTCCTAAAACTGGATTCTGATAAAATGTGTTGAGTGGCCAGACAGAAAACTGAGGTGATAATCACTGTTAATTTGAGAACCAATTTTGAATCACCAAGGTTGGTAGCTTATTATTTGCAAAAATAATTGGATTCTACTGTTAAAGAATTTGTGAGAAGCAACAAGGAAAGCTGTTAAAATAATACAAAGCTCTGTGTGTGTGTGTGTGTGTGTGTGTGTGTGTGTGTGTGTGTAGACAAGGTTGGGGCGGGGTAATTCTAGAAGGAATGAGAAATTAAAGTGCGCGTTTTTGGGTGTCTTAAACTATTGTTCACACAATCAGGAGAGGGGCTGTTGATGGAAAAAGCACACAATCTTCATTTACATTGGACAGGACACTCCATATCGGGAAGCAAAAATCCCTGGCTTCCTTTCTTGATGCGGTGAAGTTAGTATCCTCTTTGATGTTTGCACCCTAAGATGTCTCTCTGTCCTCTCGATGTCCTAGGCCATTTTTTTGTTTTGTTTTGTTTTTTTCCTTCTTCCTCTCAAATGCTTTTTCTTGCCTGCTTATGGTTTGGGCTGCTTCCTTAATGAAAATGCCCTCTTATTTTCAGATGCAATTACCTCTGCCACTGATTTATTTATTTATTTTTGTCTTTAGCGCTTCTCTGAAGTAGCTTTGGAAAGTAGAGAAGAAAATCCAGTTTGCTTCTTGGAGAACACTGGACAGCTGAATAAATGCAGGTATGTAGATTTGCATATTTTTAAAAAAGGAAAATATCTGGCTTTAAAAAAATTGATGAAACCGTGTTCTTGAGGCTGTAGGGCTATTGGTGCTATTGCCTTTAATTTTTTGAAATTGATGTATTTATTCATTCCCAATGTTGAGTATGCTGGTTAAAAAAAACCTCAAATACAAAAGTATAGGAGGTACAGAGTAAAAGTTAAACTTCCCTTGTAATCTCTCCTAGATGTTCACCACTATTAAGAATTTATTGTACGTTCTTCTAGATTTTAATATGCATGTGCATAATCATATTATACATGTTGTGCATATGCATGATCATACTATCCATATTATGCTTTTTTCATTTTGCAGAATGTCCTGTGCATCTTTCTGTGTTGATTCATATGCAGCTTTATGTTATCCTTTTTGACAGCCACATAGTAGTCCTGCCTGTTTTGTTTAGTGAGTCCTCTCCTACTGGACATTGTCAGTTGGATTTTTTTCTTATTTCTTTTTTTTTTTTGAGTCGGACTCTTGCTCTGTCACCAGGCTGGAGTGCAGTGGTGTGATCTCGGCTCGCGGCAACCTCCGCTTTCCCAGGTTCAAGCAATTCTCCTGTCTCAGCCTCCCGAGTAGGTGGGATTACAGGCGCATGCCACCACGCCCAGCTAATTTTTCTATTTTTAGTGGAGACAGGGGTTTCACCATGTTGGTCAGGCTGGTCTCAATCTCGTGACCTCGTGATCCGCCCGCCTTGGCCTCCCAAAGTGCTGGGATTACAGGCATGAGCCACCACACCCAGCCGATTTTTTCATATTTCAAACAATGTGACATCCTGTAAATATATAATTACATGCATTTGCCTGTTTATTTCCTTAGAGTTAGAGGGTGCAACACTGTCTTTGGATTCTTCCCCTGTCACGTCTATAAAGACTCTCAAGGACAAAGGTTTATCTTACATTATGAAGCAGGCTTTTAGCTACTCTGTTTTCCATCACAGTTTTTCAATGTGGGATGGGGTTAGGGGTTCAGTGCTGGGTTTTCAAGTGGTCTTGCTTGTTGATCTGAATTTCAAGGTTAATTATGAACTAACTGTTTCAGGCTGGTTTCCAGAAGATTCTGGTCTTCAGATTTATTTGGAAATTAAACAGTTAAAATTGAATACCTCTCAGTTTGTAGCATTGAGGCATATCTGGTTAATGTCCCTCTTTTCAGAATCTCTCCTCACCAGGGGAGCTAATAGACCAAGCAAATGAATTTGGTGAAGAGAACTGTGACTGCTGTCTGCCCTGTATGACTTTTCTTGTTTGGGGGAGCCTCCTTGGGTCATTCTGCAAGCACCCATTATGTGTAAGCCTCTGTGCTTCTTACGGATATAGAGAAAAATGACTCAGTTCTTATCTCAAGGAACTCACAGCATGTGCATAAGATGCTTAAATTTCCTGTGGCTAGTGCAGTGGGATAAGTTTAGGAGCAAGAAGCGAGGGCCTTAGGGAATGGGATGGAGGTTCAGAGATGGCTTCCTGCAGGAGGCGATATCTGAGCTGAATTCTAAAGAAAGTTGAAGTTTGCCATGCAAGGGATAAGGTAGAAAGATATTCCTATAGAGGAATCAGTGTGAGTGAAGGCAGGAGGGTGAGAAGTAGCATTGGGTAGGGGAGGATACAGTAACACTGACAGCCTTGTGGGTTTCAAGCATGAAGCAAGAAGCTCAGAGTGATAGAAGATAAGGTGAGGAAGGCTGGCCGGCCAGATGATGGAGCAGGGCTCTGTTTCAGAGTCTCAGAATTGCTCTGTAGATTAATGGGAAGCCCTTGGAGGATCTGGTATGTGTTATGGAGAAATTACTTTAGGGGTTTAAGTGAAGGTTGGCTTGGCAGACAGGAAGAAAGTAGTAGGAGTGTGGGGTCAGCGAATTAGTTTGTAGCCCATTGGTATTGGGCAAGAAGAAGAAAGAATGTGTAGGGCTTTCCCTCATTTCTTTCCTCCTTTCTGGCCTTGCCCAAGGCTAAGTTGCTGAGGTTGGTTCTTTGGCCCTAGGTGCTCTCCCTTTGGAGGGTGCTTATGTGAATTACTTACTTACGCACTTTTCACCAGGGTTTTCTAACTGTTCCAAAGTAAGGCCTCCTCCTGCCCTCCTGGTGCTGCGTCAAAGTCCTGCCGCTCCTCCTGGGGTGGTAGGAACCAGGCTCCATTCATTAATTGTTATGGCCCTTCCATGTGACTTATGAACATGAATTGGTCATCATTTTGTGTGCAGTGTCTCAGGTGGGGATGTGAAGAGAGATAAGATACGGTTCATGCCCTCACCATGCTTGCTTTTTAGTGGGAGATGGACATGAAATTAAAATGCTGATTCTTGCCATAAGTCTGTTCAAAGCTTATGTGATTCCAGTAGAAACAGCAGCAGAATTTGTAACTAATAATCAGTCCTTTAACATTGTTGGTTCCAGAATGGGCTACATTTTTCAATTACAACTTGGGTGCAAATGGAGAAAATAAATTCAGGCCATGTCTAAAATTATTCTGATTTTTGAAAATATGGTCTGACCATATTTTCAAAAATACATAATTAATAAATTACAATTCATTAATTAGTATGCATAATTATTTTCCATGGTTTCATCTCTTATGAGATCTGACATGTTTGGTTTCCAGGAAGGGAAGGGGCAGGGGAGAGGTACGTATCCAATACCAACACCAAATGTTTCTGCTTTTTTACCTTCAGAACACTCCCTTTTGCCATAAGAACTTTTAGCACATAGAGTGACCACATAGTCTTGTTTTCCTTCCACAACAGTATCTAAATATAAAAGAGGACTGCAATGCCATGGCTTTCTGTGCTAAAATGAGGAGCTCCAAGAAGACTGAGGTGAACCTGGAGGCCCCTGAGCCAGGGGTGGAAGTGATCTTCTATCTGTCGGACAGGGAGCCCCTCCGGCTGGGCAGTGGAGAGTACACAGCAGAGGAACTGTGCATCAGGGCTGCACAGGCATGCCGTGAGTACTGGCAGCTGCCCAGGGCTGGGGGTTTCACCAACACACTAGTTCAGAAGATCTGGGGGTCTCTGCCCCTTGTAGCGCTGCTGGGCAGAAAGAGTTGTGGACTCTGGAGTCAGGTTCCTCCCTGCCTCTGCCACTGCCACTTGCACGTGACCTTAGGCCAGTGATTCTAATTCTGAGGGTTTCGCTTTTCACTTTCTTCATCTGCAGAGTGGCTTCTTTCTGCTCCGTCACTAATGAACTATAAGATACCAGGGGATGACGCTTGACTTCTGTGGATCCAGGCTCAGTTCTCATTTCCCCACATCTGTACAATTGGAATAATATCAGCACTAGATGAGGTGCTACGTAAAACACCTGGGACTAAGTCCCTGCTCAGCAAGTAGCGTATCTCAATATCTTAATAATTATTCGAAACTTCTCCTAAAAAGTTTGACCCCTCCTTCTGCTGCCGTGACTGCCCTCCCATGCGTGGTGCTGAGTTGAAGTGAGAAGCTGAGTGTTGCTTTGTGGCTTAGTCAAGTTCCCAAGTTGTGAAAAGGACGAGGCTCTCAACAACACAAGCTTTTTTTTCTCCTTTCAAGTGAGAGTTGTCTTAAAGTTAGCCTGTTGCCCTCAGAAGGTGGGAAACCAAAGTCCCTTTCATCCTTTGAACTTGAGGACATTGGCAGTTTTTGCTTGCCTGATTTTAAATGACAAGTTAAATCATAGAAATTAAGTTAAATCACAGATCTAATCCACTTGGATTGTGATGATGGTTGTACAACTGAGTAAATACACTAGAATCTGTTGAATTGTACACTTAAAAATTGGTGAATTTTATAATATGTAAATTATATCTCAAAGCTGTTTTAAAAAGGTTCT
The DNA here is from genome assembly GCF_000001405.40 of Homo sapiens. Lineage (NCBI taxonomy): Eukaryota > Metazoa > Chordata > Mammalia > Primates > Hominidae > Homo > Homo sapiens. The sequence continues at coordinate 64,882,409 of NC_000001.11, read as the reverse complement.
ATCAACTCGTTTTATGATGATGAAGTAGCCATTTATGATGCCGTACAGCCTGATCCCTACTTTACTTATCCCACCTTTAACCCTCAGAACAACTCTGAGGGGATAGGTTGGTTATTTTAAGAATTGCTTATCTTGTTAGTAGTACAGCTTGTTTAGAAAACCTACCTTCTTTCTGATATTTGTCTTTCTGCCTAAAATCTTCACACACCAGAGTTTCAGGAAAAGGGGAGAGGCTTATGGTATGGGGAAGAGCGTAGTAGGCTCTTACTGACTAAACCTGACACAGAATAAAATGGGCTGAGGTGTATAGATTATTAGTGGGAAAAATCCAGTAATATTGTCAAGTTATTTTGACTAGGCCGCAATGTGTACAAATAACCATCTTTAGACAGCAGCTTTAAGTGTGTTTGTAATTATCAGAACACCTAGATGTAAATCAGTGGTTCTAAAGTTTTTTTTAAGGCTTTGTTTTTTTGTTTTCTCCCTTTCCCCTTGAGATTTGGTTTATATTGTTTATTCTCTTCGCCAAGCTTCTTGCCATCAGCACAGCAGGTATAAACCTCACTCAGTTTGTAAGCAAAGGTCATTGTTGCAGAGTCATTGGGCTGCTGTTAATGAGGGACCAAGGAGCTGCTGGGAAAGAGATGAGAGGAGAGAGCCTGTGAGTCTGAGGATGGACACAGTCGCTGGACCTCCTATAACTCTGGGCTTAGGGTCAGCCAGTTTGGGGTGTCGGTTTCTAGCCTACCTTATAGAAAATGAGTGGTGTCTCTTCTGTAACTGGCTCAACAGAATATTGCAGAAACTCATCAATTTCAGAAATACATACTGAATGCCACAGGTTCTTGTAGCTCTCACTGTTACTACAGAAAGTGATGTTTGAGGGCAGTATTGTTTTCTTTCCTGTTTTTCACCTCTGTGGGGTAAAGTTTTGTTTAGTTCTCATTGATTCACCCCCTCAGTAGCTGTGTCTTGGTTTGATTCTCAGCTCTGCATTTTACTAGATGAGTAACCTTGAATCATACTAAATCTCAGGAGACCACAGATTCTTTGTCTGCAAGATGGTCAAAATAGTATTTACCTCATTAGATATTAGGAGGATTAAAGGGTAATACTTTTTTTTAAATTTAAAATTTTAATATTTTTTAGAGATGGGGTCTTGCTCTGTCCCCTAGACTGGAGTGCAGTGGTTCCATCATAGCTCACTATAACTGTGACCTCCTGGGCTCAAAAGGTCCTCCAGTCTTAGCCTCCCAAGTAACTATGACTACAGGCATGTGCCACCATGCCTGGCTCATTTTTATTATTTATGGAGGTCTTGATATGTTGCCCAGGCTGGTGTCGAACTCTTGACCTCAAGTGATCCTCCTGCTTTAGCCTCCTGAAGTTTTGGGATTACAGGTGTGAGCCACCAAACTCAGCCAAAAAATTATTTATTTATTTATTTATTTGTTTGTTTGTTTGTTTGAGACAGAGTCTTTCTCTGTCACCTAGGAGTGCAGTGGCATGATCTTGGCTCACTACTACCTCCACCTCCCAGGTTCAAGCGATTCTCCTGCCTTAGCCTCCCGAATAGCTGGGATTACAGGTGCACACCACCACGCCTGGCTGTGGGGTTTCACCATGTTGGCCAGGCTGGTCTTGAACTCCTGACTTCAAGCGATCTGCCTGCCTGGGCCTCCCACAGTGCTGAGAATATTATAGGCCTGAGCCACTTTGCCCGGCCAAGATAATAAATTTAGAGTCTGTTTGCCTGATGCCTGACACTTAGCCCTCAGTAAATGTTAGTATTATTGTTTTACTACTCAGTACTTTTATATAAAGAGATATGTCTTTGATCTTTCTGTTTATGGGTAGTAATACTGTTAGAATCAGACCTGTGTTAGAATTACAGACAGTTCCATGGTTAAAATAAGTTACACTTCAGATATGTAAGTGTTGGTGCACATTCAAATGTGGATATGCATAAAGAAAGGCTGGGTTTCCAGCCCAGTCCACAAAAGCCACTTTATGAATGAAAATCTATAGCATATTTGAATTATTTGTCCTAATAATACTGAATCCAAAAGCCATTTGCCTATGTTCCCAAGGAAAACTTCCCTTTACAGTTTAACTCCATATTCTCGGTTTATAAGAAAGACTATAACTTCTGAAGGGTAACTGTTCATATTGCTTGAGAAGCATGGATTGAGGTGTTCAGGAGAGCACTAGATAGCTGCCAAGGTATCTGTAGCTTCTTAACTCAGTGTCTGCGTTGGAGAGAGTCCCCGCCTGGGTGTGCTGGGCCAGGGAGGGGGCCCTGTCAGTGTCAGTCTCACTGCAGATGTCCGATTTGGGAAACAAGTGCCTATTACCTCATATTCTCCCAGGTTTTTTGTCATTTAAGTTTACCTCATCTTAGTTTGAGGCCTGGCTGCTTATGAAAATATCAGTAATAGCTGATTATTGGCAGTCATTCTCCCCCCAACCTGCCTATGTTTCAGGTTCATAAAATTTTAATCATGGGCGTAGAAGTGAGTGACTTCATAATCTCCCTGGTCTTTCCCATCATTCTCTTATTGACGGAGGCAACTGGTGGAGTGGAGAGGCAGGGGAGCACTGTTGGGCCAGCTTTGTGAAGCCATATATCTTCTTGCTAGTTGGTTACTAAATAAAAAATATTTGTGATAATCATACAGAGTACTTAAGAAGTATATTTATTATTAATGGTAATAGATTTTAATCACTGACAAAAATCACTTTGGTTATTATTTATTCTAATATGCATTTTGCATACTACTGCCAGGAATTTGTTTGCATGTCTGATGTATAATCACGAGCGTGTTAGAATTGTTTAAGTGCTTTCTGTAGGAAACAGATGGAAGATTTCCCCAACTCCCAGAGTGTTTCCGATTAGCAAAGTGCACATCAGGCAGGATCTGTGAACCTCTCAGATAGGGGTTTTTTTGAAGCTGGATTTGATAAGGCTCTGTGACGGATACCTGTAATGAGAAATATCATCAGAGTTTTATTTTTAAATGATCTAAATTTGGTTTGCCAGGAGCTACAGTGCATATTTCTGGGGAGTCATAGTTCTTGATGATTATGATCAAAACAGCCTGACCGAACCTGGTCGGAAGTCTGTTTGCCCTAAGAGGATATGAGTGACCCAGATTCTTTGTGGATGAGAGAGTTCCTTATCTTTGCATATATTGGGTTTAGAAACAGATGGCCAAATGTATCCGCCTTGATTTTCTGATGTGTTTTTTTACTTTTCCTCAGGTATCTCTCCTCTTTGTCACAACCTCTTTGCCCTGTATGACGAGAACACCAAGCTCTGGTATGCTCCAAATCGCACCATCACCGTTGATGACAAGATGTCCCTCCGGCTCCACTACCGGATGAGGTATGGGAAGTACTGACCTGGTACCTGCCTGGCTCCCTCTGCACTGAGGGACAGTGGTCAGCCTGGAGCCCTGAGTCACTTACCAAGAAGTATTGTAGTCATTTTTGTAATTTGTAACTTTTGTATTTGCTTGATGTGAGAAAGGACTTCTTCAGTATTTGGAATACAATTCAAGATGAGTTTGATCACCTTCCTCTGCCACATTTTAGAAAAGAAATCTTGATAAGGCAGAGGATATTTTGAATAGAATTAGTGTCCTACAGCAGAGTTTTTCAAATGGGTAATCATAGTTATGAATTTAATTTAGTGGATTCACAGTTATGAATTCAATTTAATTTAGTGAATTTAAGAAAAAGAAACAGGAGACGATACTATCAGCATATATACATAACCTAAGTATATTTTTTAAACTTTTGAGATATATATATATATATATATATATATATATATATATATATATATACACACTATATATATAAAGGTCATGATATAAAATATTTTTCTTACTAAAAGTTGCAACTAAAAAGCTCGAGAAACATTGCCTGAAGTGTTAACTAGAAATTCTAGGTTGGCCTTGCTCTCTGGGAGTGGATGTTTTGACTACTCCTTGAGGATTTTTGGCTGTGGAGCTGTAATTTTTCTTCTGATGGGCACCTGCCTTTTCTCCCATATTGCAGACTTTGAGAAATGTCACAGGTGACACAGACAGTCAGTACTTCAATAGCTGCAGTCTCCTGAGTTTGTAAACATATTTGTTCAGTAACTAGAATGGAAAATATGTTAGTTACATACTTGCTAAGCAGAAGTTAATGTGTGTTTAGCAGTGGAGATTATAAATAGGGTGGATCCTTTTTGAAAAGCAGGTTAACTTACAGAGGTATTAAAACAGTAGATAAGCTCAGATGCTAATAGAATGCAGGGATTTGCTAGAAAAGCCCTCTGAAATCTCGGAGACTTCACAGTATCATAGCTACTATTTTTGGGAGAATTTGGTGGAGTTGTCACCATTACACAATGACTGGGATGTTTTTCTCAGTGGACACTGAACCAGATCTAACTTTCTTTGATAATCATCCTAGGGCTGACTTTTTCCTCTTCTTTCTATGCTTAACCAAAGTCTCACCTGGAGAGGAAAGCTGTGTGCCGTGGAGATTTCAGGTCCCAGCTGAGCCTTCTGGCTATTGGCTTTGTTTTTCCACATGTAATCTTGCTTTTTGTGGCCTGGGGATTGGCTGTGTGATCAGCATTGAAATGGGTTGTTGCAGTTTGAAGTCTGGAAGGGGTATGTCCCTGGGTTCTAATTCTTTCCCTCTAGGTTTCTGTACTCAGCTCAGAGTCTAGAATGGTAGCTTTTAGGATTGGAAAAGACCAAAGTTACCTAATTCAACTCTTTCATTTTTTTTTCAGTGGAAAAACTAATACCCAGAAAAGGGAAGAGAGTTAACCCAAAAATTACATCTAGTGAATTGTCTGATTAGCTTTACAATTGAGGCATTGTAGAGCTCTTTGAGGCATTAGTCTTGGTTGTCTGAGTGCCTGGCTATTAAAGGCTGTCTTTGCCTGTTCCCTCTTTCTGTTAGCTGCCTGGAAGTGCAGGGTTGCTTCACTTTTAGCACCTTGACTCTGTACCTGACATGGTGCTTCAACAGGATATTGCTTTGTTACCACAGGCCCTTTGAACTTGGAAAAAAAAAATACCACCCTAAGCTAAAACATTTGCCTGATGACAAACTACAAAGATTTTGAAACCTCATAATCTCACCACTAAAGGAGGCGTAAATGAAAATAAATGTTGGTGATGATTTCAGTGGAGTACCAGTTTTACTTTGGGAAATATTCTTGTATTTCAATTATCGTTTTCTGTTTTTAGATAATGCTTTTGATAGTTGTTGGGTAATCATAGTTATCCTCAGGTATCTCTCCTCTTTGTCACAACCTCTTTGCCCCGTATGATGAGAACACCAAGCTCTTATATATATATCTTAGCATAAGACAACCATATTCTGTATTCCTTTTCAAAAAATATTTTCTTGCTTTTTTAAACAATTGAATTTCACAGTCCATTAAAACATTTTATAGAAGCCTAAAGAGAGTTTGTTGTGTATAATATCTGCATATAAACTTAAAATATGCAGTTATCTGTACATAATTTTCTCAAAAACTTGCAGTGCGTAGCTCTGATTGATGTCTATTTGTCTTTTTTTTCTTTCTCCTTTCTTCCTGCTTTGTTCCTCCACGTCATTTTGAAAAGGAATATAGGCAGGTATCATTCTACATTTATTGATGTCATTTTTAATTTTTTTTCCATTGGCATGCTATAGTATCTGGAATTTTTGTGTACCAGGTTTGATGAGCACCTTTATAATTAATTTTAAAAAGGTGTGTGGAATGTCTGTCTTCAGTGTGTCTTCAAGCTTGGTCTTATGGGTGATAGGGAGGGTACTGATTCTGGTAGTCATGGATTTAAAATTTTGTTAATATTTTTGACATCTTATTAAGGAGAAAGCTGCCGGCCTTATTTTAGGCTCCCTCATCTTCTGTTTACCTTTAGCCTTTGTTCCAGTGGAGAAGCTACACATTATGTTTGGTCTCCTCAGCCTGATGCTGTCTGAGTATCTGACCTAAAGGCTTCCAAGACAAAGATGGTCCCACAGGGCTCTCAGCAGCCTGGAAGAATATCGTTGTTCAGACCAGATTGAAGATTGTGTTCTGCCCAGAGGGAGTTTGTTGGGCCCTCATCTCTACCAGATCCAAGGACTGTTTCTCACAGAGACTCAGTAGGATGTGGAAGAAGAAGGCCGTGGCTCCGTTGGCTCAGGGAACATCTGCCTTTTCCCCTCCTGCCACCTCCCCTGGCAGTGGAGGGTGACCTGTCTCTCTCCTTGGCACCTCATCAGAGATTCTTCTCTCTTGGACAACACCCTCCATCCTCGGAACCCTTTTCTTTCCTTATCTCGGGAAACCTTCCATATTGTACCTACTTCTCATTCTCTTATTACTGCCTTCCTCCGCCATCAAACAGCATTTACCCCTCCTGTTGGCCATTCTGTCAGAACCCCTCTTTGAACCTCTGTAGCTGGTTCACTCCTTCCTTCCTGCTTGTCCCAGGGAGAGGATCGTGGCTAAGTTCTCCTGGGCACGTGTTCTGTTCTACCCTTGAAGAGCAGTGCCAGGCCTGGGTACAGCATGAGTGGCAGCCTCCCTGCCAGCTGATAGCCCTAGCTTTCCACTGTCACCAGCGGAGGGTAAGGGAACAGTCCAGCAGCTTCAGAGGCCTGACGTGGCTCATGCTGCCCGTGGCTCTGCAGATGTGTGATTCTTTCTGTGTGTGAGAGAGACACCAAAGCCCACAGTCAAATTCTCAGTCACTTTCGTAAATTACAAGGAAGATGGGCTGTATAGAATCATTGAAGATTATAAAAATGTTGGTTTTTACCTTTAAAGTAACTTCTTTGTTTATCCTTTCCATGTTAATTGCTACTCCCTGAGTTTATTCATCTTTTGTTTATCTATCAAGCATGTGTTCAGTAGCTGTTAGGTACCAGGCACTGGGATTCAGTGGTGAGCAGGACAGCTGCAGCCTTTGCTTCCGTGCACAGCTCACGGCATTGCTCGAATGATGCCACAGGCATCTGCTTCTCTCTGCCGCTTCCGTTTCTATCTTCCATGGGGCTTCCCTCCCAGGAGAGCGTGCCTCATATGTGCCTGGCTTTCGTTCTTTGCTCTGCCTGCTTTGCATGGTCCAGGCTCTGTAGCCTGGCATTTAATTATTCTGTTCCAGCTTCCCTTCCTTGGTGCTTTTTCCCCTCCTGCCACCTCCCCTGGCAATGGAGGGCGACCTGTCTCCTCGGCACCTCGCCAGAGACTGTCATATGTCCAAGGACAACTTATCCTTTAAGCACAGTGCCTAGAGCACACACTTGTTAGGGGCCCATAAAATGTCTAATTTCACTTAAAATCAGAAAACATAGTTGAGAAATATAACTTGTAATATTTTTTATGGAGGAAGGGAAAAGTGTTTAGGGCCTATGGAAGTCACAGTGTAGTCCTGCTTGTGATACGTGCCCCATTGTGTGTTGCTGGATAGTTGCTGCTGGACCTGACCGGTTGCTCCCAGAGACAGGAACTCACAGAGTACGAGAAACATGCCTGAGAGCCCTCCACATCTCAGGCCCTAACTCAGGGCCTGGCTTGTCTTAGGCTCTGCAAACATAGCACAGTGACAGTTGTTGAAGTGTAGCAGCAGCTTTTTGCAGGGAAAGAGGGAGTTGTATTTATTGCTTCTCCATGACATGGTTCTTTTCTCATTAGTTCATGGGCAAGTCAAGGGAAAGAGACCTAGGTAGCAGCTGAGTCTGTAGCCTACAGATGGCCTGGGCTGGCTTGGCTCAGTCACTTCCCTTAGTCACTTCCACACATTCCAGAAATTGTGTTTTTCTTACAGGTGACAGAGGAAGTTATATATGGAAGGTAGGGTTAGGGGCACCAACCCCCTGTGCAATTGACAATCCATGCATAACTTTGACCCTCCAAAACATAGCTAATAATAATAGCCCACTGTTGACTGGAAGCCTTACCAATAACATAAACAGACTAGTAACCTGTATATATCTTATGTATTCATGATGTACCTTTTTCTGAAATTAAAAAAAAAAAATTTCTGTGCTACACAGTTCGTCAGTTTTTTCAAACTGTTGCAAATCTCCAAAAAAATTTTCAATATACTTATTGAAAAAAAAATCTGTGTATGAATGGACTTCTGTGGTTCAAACCCATGCTGTTCAAGGGTCAACTGTAGTAGTTAAGAGAACAGGCTTTTGTAGTTTTAGGTCACCTAGCCTCTTGGAATCTCAGTTTTCCTCATCTGTAAAATGAATGAAACCTTCCTTGTAGAGTTGCTGTGAAGATTAAATAACATAATATATATAAAGTGCTTGTTAACTCGTTTCATGATGCCTGTAGTGGTGTTTGGGTAGCTCTCTTTTAAAATCCTATTCATCATGTAAGATACACCATCAGTTGAATAGCAGCAATCTGGGAAGTAGGAAACACTGCCACGTAAGCTGTATATCTTGATTGCGTGATGAAACTAAGTTGCAGGAATGTTAAAATGTCAATCAAATTGGTCTTGGATTCGAGGTAGAATGGGCTTAGCAGTGTGGCTGATGGTAAGCGTGCAGGGAGCTGTGGTCAGCATGGAGTTCCAGTCAGCAGGTGTTTCCCTATTCTGGAAGCATAGTGAGAAGTCAGAGGAGCTGTCTTTGTGATCTTCGGGAAGTCACTTTAGCTCCCTGAGTCATAGAGGAGGTGCTGATGGGACACTTCTCACGCAGCGCTAGTAAGAAGGAAAGAGATGGTGAGGGGCTACAAGGGGCAGGGTTGTCTGCCTGCTTCTCAGGGCACTTCAGCCTCCGGCACTGACCACTGTTGGTGAGCCAGGACGCCCTGCCCACATCTGGGTCCCCTTTGCCACAATTGGCATTCATTTTCCTGCCTTCCAGGTTCTATTTCACCAATTGGCATGGAACCAACGACAATGAGCAGTCAGTGTGGCGTCATTCTCCAAAGAAGCAGAAAAATGGCTACGAGAAAAAAAAGATTCCAGATGCAACCCCTCTCCTTGATGCCAGCTCACTGGAGTATCTGTTTGCTCAGGTAGGAAGTTTGGGCCCAGGAGAAGCTGGAGTTTGTGGGATGGGAGAGGCATTGTAGAGCTCAGACCCCCTGCTGCAGCTGAACTTGGTGGTGCTAGAGTGCTTTAAGGCCTGTTCTGGGTAAGTTCTTGCCACACCTGGACTTGCCCCAAGTGAGGAGAAAAAAGGCAGCATTTCAGCTTTCCAAGAGGCTGGTTATCCAGCTTGTGGGCTTTGGGGCTTCCTTTCTTTCCTATTCCTTTCCTTTTCCCCACCTCCTACCATTTTATTTTTCATCCGTATTAATAGCCTTATGTGCAGAGGTCAGAGGGAAGCTCTGCTTGTTAGAAGATGTAATTCAACAGGGCTGAAGAAGGCACTTCTCAGCAGCCGTAGTAATGTCTGGGGAGGAAGGAGATGGCCACTCTGTCACTGGTGGTAGGATAGAAAGATTAGACGCTAGAAAAAAAACAAAAGAGAAGGTAGAATCACCTGAAATTACATTTACTCTGAGATTGCTAAGATTTTTAGTAGTATGCTTCCTGATTTTAACATGCAAATTTAGATACTGTATAGATTTTGAAAATATTTTATGGTTCATTTTGTTTTGTAAACTGCTTTTTTATTCATCTGATTTTTTTTATTGTTTGTCCTTCAAATGTCAATTAAAATATTGATCTTCGTTGTTTTAATGACTTTGTAACAATTCATTTATTCAACAAATATTGACTGGATGTCTGCGTACTATTTGCCTCAGGCACTTGTACCTGCTAAGATGCTGGAGATGCTGGAGTGAACAAGACAGACATGGCCTCTGCATGCATCAGATGTACATCAAGTTAGAAAACAAGCAAATAAAATGATACATAGATAATACGTAAGAAATTATGGAAAGTACTGTGAAAGCAGAAGCTTGCAATAGAGAATATGGACAGGGGGGTTTGAATGGGAAGACCTAATTTAAATCATATGATCAGAGAAGGTCTCTCTAAGGAGGTAACATTTATAATGAATCCTGAAGAATAAAAAGGAATCTGCAATTCTAAGAGAGGGGTGGGGGACTATTTCTTCCATGTAGAGTGTCTCAGCAGCAGCACTACTGACCTTTTGGCCCAGATGATTCTTTGCTGTGATGGCCTGCCCTATGCATTGTAGGGTATTTACCAGCATCCCTGCCTCCACCCAGTAGATGCCAGTAGCACTCTCTCCTTAGCAGTGATGACCAAAAATGTCTTCAATATTGCCGACTCTCCTCTCAGCCTCAGTTGAAAAGATCTGATGTAGAGGGAACAGAATGGGGGAAGGCCCTGAGGGCCAGTAGAGCTGCAAGGAGAGACCATGTGGCTGCAGACCAGAGGAGGGTGATGGGGAACGAGGCTGGAGAGGCAGGTGGGGGCAGATTGCATACACAGAGCCTTGTAGGAGCTGGCAAGGGGTTATGCTTTAACCCTGAGTGTGGTGGGAAGCCATTTGGAAGGCTTCATTTTATGTATGTTTCAAGTCGATGATTCTTGTTACACGTGGAAAGCAGATTGTGCTGGGTCCAAGAGTACACTCGAAACATACAAGCTGAGAGTCTGCAGCAATGATCCTGGGAGAGAAAATGCTGGTTTGGCCTAGTGTAGCAACAGTGGCAGTGGAGCAAAATGAGTAGATCTGCTGTTCATCTTGAAGATAGAATTGATAGGATTTGCTGTTGAGTTGGATGTGGAAGCTGAGAGAATTTGAGGAATCAAAGATGATGACTGGGTTTCTGTTTTGGGTGATGTCGGATGGATAATGGAGTCATTCCCCACACAGGGAAGGTCTTGGGGGAAGAGGGTGGGGAAGGGGCAGAAATCAGGAGTCCTTTTTCGGAGATGCCTGTGAAACATACAAGTGGAGATTTCAAGTAGGAAATTGAGTAATGAGGCTGGAGTCCAGAGGAAAAGCCGTCATTTATTTAACTTAGTCACCCGTTCCTGGACATTTTCTGTTTTTCTCGTTTTCCCTTTTATGCTATTACTTTATAGTCTGTTGTGAACAACTGCATACGTAGGTGGTCCTGTACACGTTCTGTTTATTATTACCTTAGAGTATACCATTATGTGTGAGATCACACACGTATCAGTATATCTGTGTCAGAGTTATGTCCCACTGTAGGGCTTTAGTTACTAATTGTCCATTATCTCCATTCCATCTATGCCTTAGAACTGCCATAGAGACAACAGAGAAAGGGGACAGTGCACAGCCCCAGGCAGATACTGTGTGGAAAAAAAGAAAATGAACTGGCCATTTTTAGATGGTCTTTTTGGATTCAGCTTCCCAGTTTTGTGTATCCATAGCTGAGATTTATTCTTTACCTTTCCCGGGAGCAGAGGTGTAAAGGAAGAGTGTGCCATACTTGAAGAATAAGCATGGCGTTAGATTGACCTTTTGGAGGCTCAGGAATAAGTGACTTGAGGTAGCTGTACAGTGAATGTTTACAAAAAAACCACAGGCCAACAGGACAGTTTCAGGTTTTCCTTTGCTCTTCACACATTACTGGCATAGATCATTGTTCCTCAGAAGTTTTTGGAATGTCAGTGACCTTTCCTCACCTGAGAGAAACAAGATATCCCATGGTGAAAAGAAGAGAAACGGGAGCAGTGGGAGCCCTCCATCCAAAAACCATTAATCTGAAGTTCTTCAGGGAAAGAGAGCATCTCACATATGCAGGAACACTTCTCCCAGGCTTTGTGCCTGCCCTGCTCCAAGCTGGAGAAAGGCTTAAGAGTTCACACTTTAGTGTTCTATGTACTTTAAGTCATTTGATGAAAACCGAATGTGGCTGTAGCACGGCATTGAACAGTGGTCCTGGCCAGGTCTAGATTTAATCCCAGCCTACCACTTGCTAAGCCCTGGGCCCCCAGGGTACTCAATTCTTCTACTTGACTTGGGGTTTTATAACTGCCTGACGTTAGATACTCCTAGTCATTTATTCTTTTCTTTCTCCTTAGAGTGGAATCTCCAGGAGATCAGGAACGTGGTTTAGTTTATTGCTGTTTCCCTAGCACCTAGAATAACATCTAGCCCATAATTAGTTCTCAATAATTACCAAATGAAGGAGTGACTGAATAGGGGCTGTTTACTGTTTTGTGCCTTAGATTCCTCATCTGTTGGAGATGACGATGTTAACATCCACGTTGTAAGGTGTTATGAGGACTAAATAAAGGAGCCAAGCACTGTGTGGCAGCACTGAGGCAGGGTTTAATCAGTGGGAGCCGGCACTGGAATTATCGTTTTCACTCTGTACAAAGCTGGGCTGGGCACTGCTGGTTAGCCTTGTTTTAGTTTTTGTGTTTAAAGTTCCCGTTAGTTCTTAGAATGCTGTGCACCTCCATCAGTGGGGGGGTATATTTTGGTGACACATTTCACTATGGGAAACTCGAACGGTAGATGTGGGAAAATGTACATGTGGTGATGATGCACTGCGGAACGTTCCCCTTTCCCTAGAGCTACACCAGAATGGAGGGAGAGCCCCATCAACTCTGTACACCCAGCTCCTAGACAAGGCCATCTAAGCATGTTTGTGGAATTCATGCATGATCAGACCTCAGCCCAGTGTCACCTTCCCTTGCTCTGGCGCAGTCCAGGCCTAGTACACAGTGTTTGTCAGCGTCACTTCTATGGCGAAGGGACTTCGTATGTCTGTACTGTTCCCCAGTGCCTGGCATAGTGCTCAGTCAATGTTTTGTTAAATGAATGAGCGGGGGAGAACATCTCCTGAGCCCCTTCACACCCAACTCTGTTTAAAAGAGCTCTGATGCTAGAGAAACTGCCAATCTGATTCGTCTCGTTGCTGTGCTGCGTTTCTAGGCGGCCCCTCCCTGTGTAGTAGCCTTCTTGTCAAGATCAAAAACGGGTGGGCTCTCATGGTTTCTCCCCCTTGCTCCTAGGGACAGTATGATTTGGTGAAATGCCTGGCTCCTATTCGAGACCCCAAGACCGAGCAGGATGGACATGATATTGAGAACGAGTGTCTAGGGATGGCTGTCCTGGCCATCTCACACTATGCCATGATGAAGAAGATGCAGTTGCCAGAACTGCCCAAGGACATCAGGTAAAGCTTCCCACTGGCTGAAGAATTGATTGTGAGGATGGTGGTGTTTCTACATGTTCTTACACATTTCAGCTTAATTACTGCCAGGGTTTGGCTGACCTTTGCTCTCTATGAAACCCAGATCTTCCTTAGAATGTTTACTACATACACGTAGCCTAATTATAATTGTGTCTTGATTTTGGATGTTGGCTGCTAATCTCAGAAATTTGTGCTTGGGTGAAATTTCTGAGCTGAGGATGCCAATAAAATTAGTGGCCCCCAGGCCTTCTCCGTCCCCTCCTTGCCCATGGTGGACACTGTCGTCTATCACTGCATTTTTTCCTTTTGTTTTGGACCCATCTTAAAAATCCTTCTCAGTACAGTTCTGTAAGCAGCTACTACCATCCCAAGCCTGAACTCTGAACACGTTACAGTAGTTCACTACAGAGCTGTTAATTCTAATGTGAGAATTGATCAACTACTATTAAATATCTCAAGAAAATTGCATTTACTTAAAAATATCGTTTGAGATCAAGTCTCTGTGAAGGAATATTTAAGTTCTGTCCATCTATGACATCCAATAGTTTTTTTTCACCAGTGGGCTATTAGGATGGTCATAAATGAAGACAGTCTCATTTTGAAGAAGGGATTTCGTAGCTGCATTGTTTGTGATAGGCGGCGTGCGTCTTCTCATTAGGTTGCTGCTTGTTTCTCCTTGCGCTTGACCAGAGTCTAGAGCAGATCACAGCTTGCTCCTCAGTGATGCAGGGATTGAGTCGATACTGCTCAACTGCTGCTTTCTCTTTTTTCTGTGGCCTTCACTTTGGGTACTTCCTCTTTATTTTTTCATAAGCTAAATTGAAAAATGACAGTTCTTCTCTAATTCTGTTATATTACATTAATCTAAAAGAAAAATAACATTTGTTGAGGATGAATCCCAAACTTCACAATTTTCTACTGTTCTGAAGCCACTCCATGCGGCAGGGATGACCCGGGGCCAGGTGCTGTCTCAGTCCTGGGAGTAACAAGCAGATCAGTCTCCGCATTTGGCCCCCAGTGGACTTGTTCTTTGTTTCAGGGGTACTCAACGTTCTTCTTAACATTGACTCCCGTTCTAGCAGTATATCAGCTTGTTTAGATTCTGTTTGTTGTAGATACTCGCCCACTAGCACCTGGATAGGTAACTAATCTTTCAGCTTACCTGTTGATCTTTTAAATAATATATCTGATTCATATTCACATGGCAAACACTAAGTCTTTTGTATTAATTAGCTTTAGTATGTCTTTCTCTCTCTCTCTCTCACTCTCTCTCTCTCTCTCTTTTTTGTGGGGGTGCTTGGGGGGACGGAGTTTTGCTGTTGTTGCCCAGGCTGAAGTACAATGGCATGATCTTGGCTCACCGCAACTTTGGCCTCCCAGGTTCAAGCGATTCTCCTGCCTCAGCCTCCTGAGTAGCTGGGATTACAGGCATGTGCCACCATACCTGGCTACTTTTATATTTTTAGTACAGATGGGGTTTCTCCATGTTGGTCAAGCTGGTCTCTCACTCCCGACCTCAGATGATCCGCCCGCCTCGGCCTCCCAAAGTGCTGGGATTACAGGCGTGAGCCACCGCCCCCAGCCTTTCTTTCTCATTTTTAAAATAAAAAATGTGATCTGTTTAGAAAAGTTATAAATCAGACATGCAAATAGAACATACAAAGCATTTCTCATCACACAAAATGACAATTGCTCCTAACACCTTGCAGACCATTTTCTAACTGATGCTCAATCCTAGTAACAGTGTGTAGATGTGAGTACTAATGTGCACAAGAATGGTGAAGCTAGCAAGCAAAAATGTAGATGCCCTGCCTTGGTGACCCAGAAAATTGGGCAATACTTGTAGCAATTCCCATTTCAGTGAAATCTGTGGAGCATGTGCTTTGCTTTTCTTTCCCAGTTTCTATTCACCTGCATCTCCTTATGATGGTCATCTTCAGTGCTAACTCCATCTAACGTCCTCTGGGAATAGATCTCCCTTTCCCATTTGGCAACATGTGGATTCATGGACTTAGATTTGTTTCTAAACTATTTTCTCCTAACCTGTACATGAAAAGGAGATGTACTTTTCTACTGTCTTTTAGCTACAAGCGATATATTCCAGAAACATTGAATAAGTCCATCAGACAGAGGAACCTTCTCACCAGGATGCGGATAAATAATGTTTTCAAGGATTTCCTAAAGGAATTTAACAACAAGACCATTTGTGACAGCAGCGTGTCCACGCATGACCTGAAGGTGAAATACTTGGCTACCTTGGAAACTTTGACAAAACATTACGGTGCTGAAATATTTGAGACTTCCATGTTACTGATTTCATCAGAAAATGAGATGAATTGGTTTCATTCGAATGACGGTGGAAACGTTCTCTACTACGAAGTGATGGTGACTGGGAATCTTGGAATCCAGTGGAGGCATAAACCAAATGTAAGTGGCTGTTGGCAGTCGATCAAAGAGAACATTCCCGTGTCACATAGCGTATGCTGTTTATCCTTCTGGAGTCATCTGTCTGCATGTCCATCACTCCCATAGGCTGAGTTTATTTAGGAGACCATGTATCATTCATATTTTATTTCATCCCTGTAGCACAAGGTCTAAATAAGTATTTATTGAGTTATGTAGAGAAATATAACAACATGTATAATACGTAGTAGTATAATAATAATAGCAGATAGTTCCTGAGTGTTTACCATGTGCCAAGTACTTTTCTAAGTATTTTATAAGTATTAACTCATTTATTTCTAAAAATAAAAAAACCTTTGAGGGAAGTATTGCTATTATCTCCATTTTACGGATGAATACAAAGAGGCACAGAGAAGTTAAGAAATTTGCCCAAGGTCATAACTAATAAGCATTTGTGCCAAGAATTGAACTTAGGCCTCTGGCTCCGTGAAATTGACTAATTGATTTTGCTTTATGGGAGCTTCTTTATGAGATATTTATTGGATGAAGAAATAGAGCAGAGTGGCTTAAGAGCATGGGTTTTAGACCCACGTCGACGGGGTTCAGATCCTAGCTTCATGACTTATATGGCCTTAGGAGAGTTATTTCACCTTTATCAGCAGCTAAAAATTACTCCTCTGTTAAATGGAGGTACCTACTGTCTAACTCATAAGGTTGTGAAGAAACTAAACGGCATTTAGCACAAAGCCTGGCAATACAATAAATGTTGAATAAATTATTATAGCCGTTACAATTATTATTACTGTAATTAATAATATTAAAGTAAATGTGGGTGGGTGCAGTGGCTCACACCTGTAACCCCAGCACTTTGGGAGGCTGAGGCAGGCAGATCACTTGAGCCGAGGAGTTTGAGCCTAGCCTGGGCAACATGGTGAAACCCTATCTTTACAAAATATACCAAAATTAGCAGGATGTGGTGGCACGTGCCTGTGGTCCTAGCTACTTGGGAGGCTGAGTTGGGAGGATCGCCTGAGCCTGGGAGGTCAAGGCTACAGTGAGCCATGACCTTGCCACTGTGCTCCAGCCTGGGTGACAGCAAGACACTGTCTCAAAAAATTAAATAAATGAATAAAATATGAGACTCATTTTCTCCTCCTGTTTTATTCTCATGCTAAAACAATAATGCTTGATACTTACTGAGGGTTTTCTGTATAATAGGTATTATACTATGTTAGTTAGCACTTGTCTAATCTCAGAGAACCCTGTGAAGATGTAAGCTATTTCATGAATAAGGAAAATGAGGCTCAAAGAGATGATGTAACTAGTTAAGTAATTGGCAGAGGCAGGAACTTAACCTAGATCTCTGGTCTCCAGGGCTCATGCGACACAAAATATTTTCACTTGTGCAGATATATATTATTCAGTGTGTAGATTATTTCAAGCATGAAATTCGTGTCTTCTCTGGAAAATCCCGACTTGAGTACTGTTACAAAGTCAAGACGATTGGTGATAGGAGAAAGCTCATGTTCAGCTCAGTGGTAACTGGGAAGAGTATGTTATCTGTTTGTGTCAGAGCATGTGTAGTAGTCTGGAAGTGAGGAGACCTGAATGTAGATGCATGTCTAGTGAGCAGTGATTTCCCTTTCTGAGTTTCCGTGCACATTGCGTATTATATAGTTTAGACAGTGTGCTCATTAAGGTCTCTTCCAGATATGAAAGCCCAGGATTCCCTGATACAACCCAGTTCTTTGGTCCTAACCCTGCAGGTGCCAACTCCCCCAATCCTGCAAGTCCAGAAGAGCTGGCTTTCTCTTCCTTGGACCTAGGCCCTGCATAGGTTTCCCAGCAGCACTGACCTTTTACCAATAGAAAATGAAGAAAGCAACTTAACCCTGTCCCTTTTATGTATCTTATCAGGTTGTTTCTGTTGAAAAGGAAAAAAATAAACTGAAGCGGAAAAAACTGGAAAATAAACACAAGAAGGATGAGGAGAAAAACAAGATCCGGGAAGAGTGGAACAATTTTTCTTACTTCCCTGAAATCACTCACATTGTAATAAAGGAGTCTGTGGTCAGCATTAACAAGCAGGACAACAAGAAAATGGTAAGTTTGTCCCAGAAGCTCTTAAGTCTGGATCTGGTGATGAGAGGGAGAATTGCTGAGTTCCGTTCTGCAGCACATGATTTTCAGAGTTCCTGTCCTAAAGAGAAAACAGGATTTTCTTATTGAAGCCAAAAAGTTCCTATTACCAAGGCATTCTCAGTGTTTTAAAGTTACACCGATACATTCCAGTGCCTTTCTTTGGTCTCAGAAATGTGAATCTGCCTTAGGATTTGCTTCCCTCCCAAATACACCTCAGCATCAATATTTAATTCACAAAGCTAGTGGATTTGAAGGAAAAGAAAACCAGCGAATGTCAGTGTTTCCTCCCAAGGGTTCTGGCACGGCCTCTCTGCTGAGCTGAAGTGCAAAGCAGGAAGCCCCACGTTGCCCTCAGGCGAGCCTCGGCCACAGTGGCAGTCATCGATATGGTGTCAGGCACACCCCAGTGACTCTCGGACAGAGGAAAGGGTGTTTAATCTCACTTCCTCTTTTTTGGTATCACTTGAGGACATAATCTAAACAAGCAGGAAGTGGGAACTCTGCCAAAATAAACCTGTTTGTGTCAGGGGAAGTCACAGCCAACAACATGCAGAGAGAGCGGCTGGTGAGACAGCTAGCACTCTTAAGGTGAGTGGAGCCAACACCAGGAAAGGCCACATTCTGCCAAAATGTGGCAGATACTGTGTCACAATGATAACGCTCAGTGCTGAGGAAGAGCCTGGTGATACGGTTTAGGGCAGACAGTCACTCTCTTGTATTCAGAATAACTTGTCTTTCTGATATAACCTTTTGGAAAACAGTTTGGTAACCTGTTAAAAGCCTTGAAAATATTTATATATCCCTCTGTTCAGGAATCTAGAGAATGAATCTATCTTCCAGAAACAATGTGAGAGGCAGGTTATGGTTTATGAATAAGAATATTCATTCCAGTAGTAATTAAAGTGTCAAAATTCTGAAAATAACTTAAATATACAATAATAGGAGAATAGGAAAATAAATCACAATTTGCCTGAGAAGCAGAATATTAGAAAATCAGGTTGCTGAATTTTTTAATGACCTGGAAAAAAGGTCAGGGGAAAAAGCAGGATATAAAACTTTACCTATAGAATGGGACCAGTTTTGTTCAAAATATCAATAGGTATGCATGTATATACACATGCTCTTAGAAAAATAAATATTAACAGCTACTTATTTATGGTGGCATTATGAGTGGTTTTAATTTTCTTATTCTCCCCTCCTTTTTTTTTAAACAAAAAACTTACATTAATTTTATTAGAAAAATATAGTAAAAACAAAGTGAAGAGGGAGAAGTAGAAGAGCTCAGATGGATGTTAATGGAAAGATGCGAAATGGAGGGAGAAAAGAAGAAGTGCTGTTGATGGAGCACATCCTGGATATCAGGCCCCGTGTTATATGCTGCATCCTGGATATTAGGCCCCGTGTCATATGCTGCATCCTGGATATTAGGCCCCGTGTCATATGCTGCATCCTGGATATTAGGCCCCGTGTCATATGCTGCATCCTGGATTTTAGGCCCCGTGTCATATGCTGCATCCTGGATATTAGGCCCCCTGTCATATGCTGCATCCTGGATATTAGGCCCCGTGTCATATGCTGCATCCTGGATATTAGGCCCCGTGTTATATGCTGCATCCTGGGTATTAGGCCCCGTGTTATATGCTGCATCGTGGGTATTAGGCCCTGTGTTATATGCTGCATCCTGGGTATTAGGCCCCCTGTTATATGCTGCATCCTGGATATTAGGCCCCGTGTCACATGCTGCATCCTGGATATTAGGCCCCGTGTTATATGCTGTGCCTGTATCTTGGTCTGTCTTAGTCCTTGTAAGAACCTTAGGGGACTGAGCATCAGCTCTACTTGAAATGAGGAATCTGAGACTAATCAAGAGGCATGGGATCTTGCACAGGGTCACTCAGTGAGAAAGTGGCAGGCACTTGCCCAGCTCTGTCTGGTTCCTGCCTGTGCATTTTGCCTGTGTTGCTTTGGCTTCTAAGGCGTTATCATCCCCCAGAGACCCCGAAGGGAGTGAGGGAGAGGCTGACATGTCCATGATCTGGCTCTTCAACGTGGTGTATGCCTGGTGCACATTTTATGAGCCTGCCCCATCCTGTCCTGTCCTGGTTGACACAGTCAAGTCTAGCACCAACACAAGTTGGTGCACCCATCATCTAAGTCAGAGCTCACCCTGGCCACATGGGCCAATGACTCTATGCCAAGCCACAGTGCTGTGGAGGGAGCAGGAGGAGGGCAGGAAGAAAGAAATACTTGATTCCTCCATTAGTTTGTTTTTCTTTACCACGCTAGCCCTTACTGTGTGTCAGGTACTTCCTATTCTGAGCACTTCACAAATACCACCTATTTTAATTTTCATGTCAACCCTATGGGTGAGTATGATAAGGGGAAACTGAGGCACGAAGAGGTTAAGTAACCTGTCCAAGGTCACAGAGCTGTTAGGTTAAAGCATTTGAAATTGCCAATATTTGACCATTTTGACCTATAAAAATGATGATTCCATATGCATAACCCTACTAGCAGGTGGAGAGGCTGCGATTTGAACCCAGAGCAGCTGGCTCTAGAGCCTGAGCTGAGGGTTGACCACTGCTCCATGCTGCCAGTTTAGAATCTCATGCCCTCGTTGTCCCCTCCCAGCCATGGGATTCCCAAGCCCTTTAATCAGGCAGTGCTTTGAAGAAACCCTGATACCAGCATGTTGTCAAGTCAGACCTTCATGTATCACTTCTCTCTACATCTCCTTGGCATCCCTCATTTCTGTTTAGACTCCTGTTCTCAGGAAATGTAAGTGCAGATGTGGTCTTACTTATCATGTGGCTGGGTGAGGGGCTGCCCAGGCCAGCCTGCCCCTTGTTCAGAGCATCTTGAATTTGCTCTTCAGGGATATCCGCAGGTGGGTGCCTGGTCACACCCGCAAGGCAGTGTGCTCAGTGTGGTTTCTTTTTTCTGAAGTGCCATTCCTATGGTGACCCTGCCCTCTCCAGGCCTCCTTCCTCATAGCCCCAGGCATGCTTCCTTCGGCATTACAGCTGCACTAGGCCCCTGACCTCCCTCCTGCCGAGTGGCTTGTCTCCCCTGCTCCTTTTTCCCTTCACTGTCCTCTCATTTCTGCCACCTGCCTCTCCTTTCTACAGGGCTATGAAAGAGTCATTTTGCCCTTTTTTGAAGCCTCAGATGCTTTTTAATGTTTTTTTGTGAGTCAAAGCTCCAAATCATGGCTTTTGCATACCTTCCCTTGCCAGGAAATGTTCTTGATTGACCTGATAGTTCCTGTCAAATGGGCAGTCTCTTCAGGGATCAATGATCAGGACAAAAGTACCCCAAATCTACAACACAGGTGTCTTTCAGAACACCTTCCTTGATGGAAATCCCCTCCCTCCTCTTCTCCACAGGTGCCTTTGCCTCTTCCCACTCTGAGTAAGACACTCTGCTCTCTCCAACTCTCAGAGCTCCCTAGGCTTAATCTAGCAAACTCTTCACTGGGCCTGGGATTATTCCTAGATTAAAATCCGGGAGTTTCACCTTCTAGAGCAAGTCTGCTATGAGATGAACCACACTGCCTCTGTTTCTTTTCTCCTAAGCAGGAATAATGCCGATTTAGCCATTCACCGTTGAGTGCCAAGATCACGGTGCATGCTTTGCCCCTTCCCACCTCCACTTTTGTGCCTCTGCCACCTTGATTCAGGCTTCCTCTTCTCCCATCTGGACCCAGGGGACAGCTTCTCTGCATGTCTCCCTGCCTGCCACAGCCTCCCCCACCGCGTCACCCCCAACACACACACACATACACACACACACACACACACACACACACACACACACACGGACCCAGGGGACAGCTTCTCTGCATGTCTCCCTGCCTGCCACAGCCTCCCCCACCGCGTCACCCCCAACACACACACACACACACACACACACACACACACAGAGTCATCTGATAGTTTGAGATAATAGATGGGAAAATGTGTTGAACAGTGAAAGTCCTATATAAATGCAAGGGGGATCGGGCACAGTGGCTCACGGCTGTAATCCCAGCACTTTGGGAGGCCAAGGTGGGAGATCACTCGAGGTCAGGAGTTCAAGACCAGCCTGGCCAACATGGTGAAACCCCGTATCTACTAAAAATACAAAAATTAGCCAGGTGTGATGGCAGGTGCCTGTAATCCCAGCTACTTGGGAGGCTGAGGCAGAAGAATCGCTTGGACCCAGGAGGCGGAGGTTGCAGTGAGCCGAGATCTCACCACTGCACTCCAGCCTGGGCGACAGAGTGAAACTCCATCTCAAATAAATAAATAAATAAATAAATAAATAAATAAATAAATAAATAAATAAATGCATGCAAGGGGTATATTTAGTATTGATGAAAAGGTTTTCCCTTTGGGGTTCCCATTGGGTTATAAAAATCTTCTCACTGTGCACCTCCCTACAGAGTCAGCCACTTAAGCTGATAGAGACATGATGTAACCGTGGGAATTTCTTCTCTCTCAACAGGAACTGAAGCTCTCTTCCCACGAGGAGGCCTTGTCCTTTGTGTCCCTGGTAGATGGCTACTTCCGGCTCACAGCAGATGCCCATCATTACCTCTGCACCGACGTGGCCCCCCCGTTGATCGTCCACAACATACAGAATGGCTGTCATGGTCCAATCTGGTTGGTCCTAGAACCTTATCAGTTGCCTTTGGTGTGCAGAGAGCCCGTGTTTTAGTGATGGGGCATGTCATCATTGTTTAGGTCAGGCCAGTTGACCATGCTGCCTGGTACTTGTTGGCTGTCCTCCTTTCCTCCCTGCTGTCCAAGCTCTGGTCAGGCCTTCCTGTAATCTCCTACCATCCTCTTTGCAGCAGCCCCTCAATGCTGCTTCTTTACTTGGATCTCTCTTCATAGTTTAACCCCCTCACCTCTCCATAGCTGATCAAGAAGTACTACACTTTCTGATTTCTTGCTGTGTCAAACAATGTGGGCAATTCAAGAAACACTGAACACAGCTGAGCGTGCTGCCATGTGCCTGTAGTTTCAGCTCCTTGAGAGGCTGAGGTGGGAGGATCACTTGAGCCCAGGAGTTCAATTCTAGCCTGGGCAACATAGCAATATCCCATCTCTAAAATATATAAAAGAAGAAAAAGAAAGATCAGATGATGATCTCAGCATCAGACAGTGTAATAAATGGAATTGTCAGTCAGCTTGTCCCAAGGTGCCAGGTGAACAGTGGGGACCGTGAGGGTAATACAGCCTTAAGGCCAGAAGGGGCTGTGTGGGATGCCTTGTCCCACCTGCATCTCAGAACTGGCAGCCTGTGCTGAAGTACCTCTGGTGATGGGCAATGTGTGAGGCAGCCCATGGATTGGAGCTCTGACTGTGAGAGATGTGCATACCTTTCTGATATGGAGCTGTAGTTGGCTTCTCTGTAACTTCTGCCTACTCACTTGAATTCTGCCTTTTGAGACAACAGGGATTCTTTTGACTTTCTCTTACATATGACAGCCCTTCAGGCAAAGGAAAACAGCCAGCTGCTGTGTTTCTTCTGAGCCTCTCTTTTCAGACCACAGAATATCTGGGGAAGCATCTCTTCTGCCACCTTTCACATGATGTGCTTCTCACCTTCTTCCCTCTTCCGGCTGCCTTGTGGACAGGTAGCTTAGTAGTCACATGGCCCTGGCCTTGAGAGGCTCACAGACTCATAGGGAAACAGACACACAAAGAATGGCAGAGCAAGGGGTTGAGCATTTGAAAAGCGTCTTCTGCCAATGTCCCAGCCATGGTTGTGCTTCAGGGCCCAGGCACTCGCTCTTCCCTTGGCCCAGAATGCCCTTCCTCCAGAATCTGCACAGCCTCCACTTCCTTCAGGTGCTAGTCAGATATCACCTTATCCGTGAAGTCTTCCTTGACCACCTTATATACAATCATACCTCTTTCCCTTCTCCATCCCATACATGTTGGCCACTGCACTCTACCTTATTTTCCTTCAGTGGCAGTTGTTACCTCCTGAGATACTATGTTTATTTACATAACATAACATTTGTTCCTGGTCTGACTACCCTCACCTCCCAGAATATGAGCTTCCCAAAGGCTGGGGCTGCATTGCTCACTGCTTTCTTAGCACACACAGGGTCTGACACATTGTAGGCCCTCAGTGAGTATTTGTTGAATGAATGGATATTTCATGTTTGATGGGATGCTGACATTCCTTGCCTAAAGAGCCTGCTCAGAGTAGGTGGCATTCAAATCTGATTAAACCAAAGAATCAATGATGGCTTGCCAGGCCTTAAAGCACGGAAAGGGTACCTAGATGAGAGGTCAGCACATGCAAAGGCATGGCGCAGTTAGAAAGTACACAATGTCCCTGTCTCTCTAAAACACACGAACCATGGCGGCCCTCTCTCACCAGCACTTAGCAAGCAGCACTCACCTCATGCAGGGATGTATTCAGTCAGTATTCACTGCTCTCTACATGCCAGGACTCACTGGTCCTGGGGATACAAAGAAATGTAAGACAGGCCTGTTCCTACTAACATCTGTCCAGTCCTCACTGATGTATTCTCTCAGTGTGAGCCCATGGTGATACAACAATAAACAACATGGCCTCCAGTTCCCACCCCCATGAGGTTTGTGCTTCCACTGGGCTGGCTAGGGGTGGAGGGGAGGCGTGGCAGATGCTCATCACCAGCCTCCAGAGAGGCTCTTCTGTCTTGAGCTGGAGATGATGTCTGTAGGGAATGCGGGGACAAGCAGGGCTCATTGCCTTGGGCAGGAGTCTGAGTCCTCTTCTCAACCTTGGAGACTCCATCGGTCCTGAGGCCACTCGGTATTTCCGCTACGCTCATGGATGGCATCAGAGGGGACTTTAGGATCCCAGGCAGGGCAGATAGTGTGATGGGGCTGTTAAGACTTGAGGCAGCTCAGGAGAGTGGATAGCCCAGAGGTTCAAAGTCCTGTTTGGTGTGAGCTCTTTCTCCCTTTGCCTACTTCTCCCTCTAGTACAGAATACGCCATCAATAAATTGCGGCAAGAAGGAAGCGAGGAGGGGATGTACGTGCTGAGGTGGAGCTGCACCGACTTTGACAACATCCTCATGACCGTCACCTGCTTTGAGAAGTCTGAGGTCAGTCAGGACACTGGCTTGGACCAGGCCATACAGCCATGAGGTGTCCAGTGTAGCCTGGTTCAGGAGCTGCTGCAGACAGAACCACCCTTGGCAGGGTGGAACTGAAAAGCCTGGGTCTCTGAGAAGATCCCTGGGAGGTCAGGCAAGGGCCCCTGCTCTCAAAAGGAGACTGCTCCCCAGTAGCCAGACCCCTGCATCCTCCCCCTGTAGGGCCCTTCTTCCTTCATGGGACCCATGGTGGGGGTCCACCATGGCTCTGGAAGACAGAACATGACCAGAAAACCAATTCACACCCAACACTTGGAAAGTATAGTGTCATTATTTAGAGTGGTTTATTTAGACTCAGTGCCACCATCATCTCAGACCCAGAGCTATGCCTGTCTACAGCATTCACTGGTACAAACCAGCGCCCAAATGCCACTTCATCCACATGGCCTAACACAGTTTTTTCCAAATGGTAGCTTCAGACACTTTAACAAATTGCCACCCCATCTTAGAACAATGAATAGAGATGTCTTTTAGTGATTGAAGCGTAGCTGAAGCTGGGGATGATGTGAGATACATTCTGAGGGCTAAGATATTCACCAGAATTACTGACTTTGCCTCACTAGACCACAAATGCCTTTGTTATTCATGTAATTAAAAAAACTACAAAGTGGAATATTTTCAAAGACAGTGAGTTTTACAAAACACTTTACATCAGTACACTTTAATCAGTACTGGTTAGGCTCCACATGCATGGGGAGACCTGGGACACGGAGGGGCCTTTGGCACGGAGGGTAGACGCAGGAAGGACAGCTTATTGGCGAACCCCTGGGGCTGGACTCAGTCAAGAGTGGGAGGAGGAAACGGCAGAAGGAACCAGCGCTGCCAAGTGTCCTGGG
This sequence comes from Homo sapiens, assembly GCF_000001405.40. Classification (NCBI taxonomy): domain Eukaryota; kingdom Metazoa; phylum Chordata; class Mammalia; order Primates; family Hominidae; genus Homo; species Homo sapiens. Next base: position 64,856,768 of record NC_000001.11, on the reverse strand, counting down.
TGATGCAATGCAGGAACACCACCACCTGCCCAGGCTCTTGCTGAACAGCTGGGCCTCGGGGCTCCGTGGCTCAGAGCCTGTCAGGTTCATTGCCTTCCCAGAATGCTTGCCGTCTATTCATCAGTCATTGGAGGAAGTTTAATGTGTTTACGATGGAGGGGTGCATGAGACAGCCCAGCCTCCTCCTGAAGTGGAATTGGCCTGTGCAGTACCAAGAGTGTCCGTGACTCCCTAACAATGTCACATCACCCGGGGAAAACAGCAGTCATAGAAATGATTACTTCCACCGCACACTGTGGCCCACCAGACCCTGTGCCAAGCGTTGTACCTACTTGTGCTTTTTTAAGCCTTGTAATAGCCATATTAGGTAGGTGATATTATCCCATTGTACAGATGAAGTAACTGAGATTTTGAATATCATCTCCTAGTTTACAGCTTATGTAAGTCTTTCTGGCCCTCATTGTTTACCACTAAAATAGTTTAGTTTGTACAAAAAGAGCCCATGAGGGAAAACTGCTTATACCTCCTATCTGGCACCACAGTGTCCCAAACCTGGGTCAGACACTGAACACCAGCTCCCAGTGTGGTTTTCCTCAAGTGGAGACATGGCCTGGAAGGGCTCAGTTTGAGGCTGTTCCTTGAGAAGTTGTGCCATCATAATTATTACCTCATATATAATATCTGCTGGACTTTATAAAGGGCTTACTAAGTTTTTCAATACACCATGTTAGATAATTGTAGCAACAATCCTATGAGGTTGGATTTTCATGAACTTTATCTTACAGGTGAAAAACCAAGTGACGCTTTTGTAGAAATAGCTACTGTGTCTGCTGTAGTATTAACTCCCTTTTATCAATGCCTTCTCCTGGACCTTGTTTTATTATTTAGTTAGTTGTTGGTTGGATTATTTATTGATAATAAACTTTATTTTTGAATAATTTTAGATTTACAGAAATGTTACAGAGATGGTGCAAAATTACTCTTCATGCAGCTTCCCCTAATGTTAATATCTTACATACCCATGCCTGACCCCATTTTAAACATGTAATTTCTGGTCATTTCCCGAATAGCAGGTGCAGGGTGCCCAGAAGCAGTTCAAGAACTTTCAGATCGAGGTGCAGAAGGGCCGCTACAGTCTGCACGGTTCGGACCGCAGCTTCCCCAGCTTGGGAGACCTCATGAGCCACCTCAAGAAGCAGATCCTGCGCACGGATAACATCAGCTTCATGCTAAAACGCTGCTGCCAGCCCAAGCCCCGAGGTTCGTCTCCCTGTGCCAGAGCCAGGCTGTATCCCATCAGTAATGTGCTGAGACCCAGATCGACCAAAACACGCTGACTGACTTAAACAAAGTGGACCCTCCCCACAGTTTCTAGGTGTTTTTTATTGAGTTTAATTACACTTCTGTGCCCAACTCACATCCAATCCCTTGAGTGTGAGCATTTTCTGTAGAAGAGGCATATACCTTTCTCAGCATCTCATTAGGCTGCAGAAAGAGGCATGCTCAGCATTAGTAAGCAGAAAATCACTTCTTTCTTCCTTAAGATAAAATGCCTTGAGGAGTCTCCTGTCACTGGTTTATTTATCTGAGAGATATTCCTGGCACATCTTTTGTGGGCCAAGAACTATATCAGATGCAAAGAATCAGAAATGCATAAGGTCCAGTCCCTGCTCTCTGGGGGTTTCCCAGCCTAATGCTGATGTTACAGGTAAATGAGGCCACTGCAGTTTGTGATGGGTGTTTTAACTAACATAGATATCATACCCTGGAGTCAAACAGAAAGGGATGGTCAAAATCCCTGAGTTCCGTGGCACAGGGGGCTGCCTGGAGGAGGCAGCTCTTGAACTGAGTGTGGGAGGATGAGTGGGAGGTTGCCAGTGCGGTCAGGGCATCTCGGCACGTGCAAACAGAGGCATGGGCGGGGGCTGCCATGAAGGTGAAGGTGGAAGGAAGGTGAAGGTGGAAGGGAGGGGCAGGTGAGGCTGAGCTTAGGGTGTGGGGGCCTTGAGTGCTATGCCATGGAGCTGGGTCTTTATCCTGCAGGCTGTAGGGGCCAGGGAGGATCAGGGAGTGAAATGGATCCAAGGGGGAGCCACTCAGCTGTTTCTTGTTAAGCCTCTTGAATGGCGTCACTGATGTTCTGCAGGTGGATTTGTCTCTTAGAATGTGAGGACTGGAAAGACACGTAGAGGTCACACAGTCAACTGTCTCATTTTATAGATGAGAAAATTGAGGCCCAGAAGAGCGAAGTGGGTCTCATCAAAGGTCAGCGTCAAAGAGGGGCTTGAGTGCCAGGCCTAACCTGAGTGCCCTAGCTCTTGAGAACGGTTTATTTTGCTGCTCCTCACCTCAAGATGCTGCCCTTCATGCGTCAGGTTCTTCCCTTAGAAGGAGGAAGGCCTCAAAGAAGGAGCAGCACGATTGCCACTGAGGCCCCATGAGTGTCAGAGGAAGACCCTCTGAGGAGTCTTTATCTGGGACACATCTTGTTCTTCCAAGCGAACGTGTCCATAAACCCTCACACCACCAGGAGTGGGCAGAGGAAGCAGCACCAGGATAGAAAGGGACCTGGGTTCTTGATGTTTGAATCAGTTTTTGGTCTCAGCAAGGGGCTTGTCACTGAACTTGGTGAAAGAGGAGGGACTTGTGTTCTTGATCAGATAGGGGTTCCTGCCAGGCTCAGAGAATAACTGCAGCCTTTGTTTTCATGCTTGAGGATTTTCCGCAAAGGTAAAAACACATCTGCCACTTGGCTGTGAGACCTCAGAGTAAGTTCAAACCTTAAAGCCCAACAGCCCTATTTATTCACAGCAACACACTGGAACGAACCCCAGTTGAGGCTCCTGAAACTCAGTGCTGAATGTGTTTCCTGTTGCCTTTCCCACCTGACTGTGAACTCTTAAGACAGGACCTGAGTCTCACTCACCACTCTATGGGCTCGTGGGGAGGACAGTGCCCAGCACGGAGTCAGCGTGAATAATGCCTGTCAAGTGAACAGGTAGCAGGAGCTGCTGGATGGTGGGTGCCTACTGTGGCCCAGGCAGTTTATGTACCTACCTCATTTATTTCATCTACACAGTAGCTTTTTGTAGATATTACAAAGGTGATGAAATTGAGACTTGAGATGGTAAGTGACTTGCTCAAGGCCATGTAGCTAGTAGTATCGGTAGTAGGTAGAACAGTAGTAATAATTAATAAGAACGGCTGCTATCATGTGAGCAGGGCTTACAGTTTGCCAGGCGTTGTTTGGAGATCTTTCATGTTTTAAGTCATTTAGTCCTCAAAATAACCCAGAATATGTTGTTATCCCAATTATACATGCCCAAGATCACTTAGGTAGAGGATGAGTGGGGATTTGAACTCACGTTGTCTGACTCCAAGTCCAGTGATTCCTTCTGTACCACTGCCCCCACCCTGCCCAGGTCACACTGTCTTTGGAAAGGTGCAGCCATCAGCCTAGGACTTTAGAGCAGGCACCAATTCTCCTGACCTTGGGAGAGTAAGAATAAGGCCTGTGTGTGAGGCCTCCTTACATAGGTCCCCCAAAGCTCTCTCTCTTCCCTTTGCCATGTGCAAATTAGAGAAGTGGGGAAATCGTGAAAATTAGACATGAGAATATTGTGTTGGGTTCTTCAGCTCCTCTGCTCTCCTAACCACGGGGTTTTGATAGCCAGACCCTGATCTGGGTTTCTCACTTGAAAATGCAACTAAGAAACTCTTCATGGGATAAATAAAAAGCAAAGTGAAAAAGCAGGAGGCCATTCAGAGTGGGCGTGACGGCTCAGCAGGTCCCACATCTCTAGTCCTGTGTCCTGTGTCCAGCTCCACTACCCATCTCCCACTCCAGAACCCTGATGATACAGGAAGAATGATGACAGTGACTAAGATGTAATGCCAGTCATAATCACGGCGGCAACCAGTCAGGGAGCGTTTTACTCCATACCGGGCACTGAAGGCAGCCGTTCCCTTGCGTCATCCCATTCTTCCACACGGTAACCTATGAAGGACACAACTGTGGCCCCCATTTTTCTAGTGAGGAAACACCTTCATGGAGGCACTGTGGCTTCCCCCATTCACATTGTTAACCCTGGTGCCATGTTCCCTGAAGTGCCCATGCAAAGAATAGTCCATAAATGGCTTCGGTTCCATCCGCCTCTCATTTCCCAAGTGGCTCTGCTGCCTGGCCTCTTGCCTGTGGACACCAGCCACGGGGCCCCTTCTTGATGCCTTTTCTCCTGAGTTGAGTTGAGCCTGAGTTGCCTCTGAATCGGATTTTCCCCAGGTAACAGAGTGGAGTCAGGAAAATGGTATGGAGGGAGCAGCCTCTGGAAAAAGAGTGCCCAGGTTGTGAGAACAAGGGGAGCCTCTCCCTGAGCCCTGTTTCTGGCACCCACATTTGTTCTCCCGATTAGGGCCAGGTATGTTGTGGGAAGGGTAGAGACGAGAGCATCTCTGACTTCAGTGTGAATCCTAAGATTACGAACTGCCTGGCCTTGGGCCAATTACTTAATCTCTCAGAATCTCTGTTTTCTCATCTATAAAATGGGGATAAGAATACTGTGTATTCCACAGGATTGTCATAAGGACAAAGGAGTTAATGTGTATAATGCTCATAGAACACCGGCTGGCATGGAGAAAACAGTCGGAATATGTGAGCTTAAAAAATTAGAAAGGAAAAGAATGCCCTGTCCTGAGGGATAGCAGGGATTAGAGACGTGGCCCTGTGCAGGGACCCGGCGCTCAGCAGCCATTGTCTCCCAGCGGTGTGTGTGGTGGCCTCCATGGGTTGTGCCTGGCTGTTCTACAGATGTTCTTTTAGGAACTTCCTTCTGTTACAGTCCAGGAATCAGGACTGGAATGGCTACATTTTCTCCCCTAACTTGTTATTGTCTTCTAGTGCAGGAAAGAGGAAGTGAAGGGAAATGCATGTTCGTTGTCATTTTGCTAATATTCCTGCTTCAGTTAATAAAATTGATGAAAACATACAAGTCTTCAGAGATTCCCAGAATACTTTCCCTGCTAGTCAGAATCTGGAAGGTCCTTTCTTGCCTTATGATAACCTCGTTCCTTGCAGTAGCTCCATAGCGGGAAAGGTGATTTCTATGGATTGTAGATTTCCTGGCCTCGAGGATTTTGTAATGTGTTGGGTTTGCTGTTTGAATCAGTAGAATCTGGGGGATAGTCTACTTAAACCTGCATATTGAGGGGGCATTTGGTAAGCGCCTCTCCATGTCAGGCACTGCTGGTACCACGAGCTTCAGACAGGGCACTGTTATGGGTCTCCTGCCCTGATCTTCTGGCTCAAAACCAGCGTTTGTTCACCTCCTCCTCTGGTTCCCATCATGCCCTGGGCCCGGGTACTGCTTCTTCCTTCCATAGCTCTCATCCTTTAGAAAGACGCCAGTCATTCATTCACTCATTTAACAAATAATAATTGAGTGCCTACTATGTACCGGGCTGTGGAGGTGGAGAAGAAAATAAGATAGACAGTCTCTGACTTCTTTCAGTTTCCAGTCTTACATTTTAAATTTTAATTTCATTAGGGAAACTGTTTCTGACCTTTCTTACCAGAACAGATCTTGCCATGCCAACCTTGGAGCACCACACACCTGTTCTTTAGAGGAGCTGAACAAATTGTAGCTTTCCATTTAATTGTTTATTTGGGAGTTTTGGCTCTGTCGTTACCCTCTGAGCTCCTGGAGGGTAGGAGCCATATGCCTATTGAATAAGCACTTGTCGAATGACTGAAGCAGCAAGCGCCCGCACACCGGTCCCACGGCCCCGGCTCAGCAGACGTTGGCTGTCTGAGAGCTCGGATCTTGGGTGCTGTGCTCAGACTCCCCCAATCTCTTCCACAGAAATCTCCAACCTGCTGGTGGCTACTAAGAAAGCCCAGGAGTGGCAGCCCGTCTACCCCATGAGCCAGCTGAGTTTCGATCGGATCCTCAAGAAGGATCTGGTGCAGGTGAGTCACGGCTGCAGGGTGTGGGCCAGCTGTGGTCCTGCCTCCCCACGATGGAGCAGCTTGGGGATCTGGGGGAAGGAAGGCTGTGTTTGGGGAAATCTTAGTAGAAAAAGAACAGGGAGACTTTCCTTTGATGGCAAAAGCCGTACAACCATTGCCTCCATCCTCTTCACCCTTGCTGATGCTCCTCAGAGACATGTTTTGAGGTAAGTGGTTTGGTCAGGCTTTGTGGGGTTACCTAGAACAGCAGGGACCTTCTGTGGTGAGCTGAAGGGGTGGCAGGGCAGGAGGTGGCTCTCCACAGGGGAGCATGGCCATCACACCTCGCTGCCTGCAGCAGGCTGTGTGATGGAGCACCTCCAGAGTTCAGTCCTGCACTTTCTGATGATGCTTCCAGAAGGAGCAGAGCTCAGGAGGAGAGAACACAGGGAGGGAACAAGAGGACATGCACACTCTGGGCCTGAAGGAGAACTATCTTGAGAAACAGATCCCAGTCTTTGGAGGCCTTTTTGCCCAGAATCTACAGGCTGAGCGGGGAGCCCAGGATCTCCCCAGGGGCTGCCCTGGAGCTGTTGCTGGTGGTGTGAGGCCCAGGGAAAGCCCACTTTCTGTTCTGCCACCGCTCCCCAGCCCTGTTGCATAGGGCCACGCGTTGGGGTATCAGGGAGATGGTGCGGCAGCCTTGGAGAGAAGCAAGCACGGGGCCACTCACCACCTCGGGAGATGGCAGCGCCTTGGAGGTGTTGGAGGGTGAGGCGGAAGCTGCCTGCTGTGAAGGAGCCTGGGGAGAGTGGCACTCGGGGGTTTGTTACTTTACCTTTTTCAGTGAGTCCCCGAGATTGTTGGATGGGGCTTGAGGGAGTGGAAATCCACAGCTAAACTGCCTCACTTCCCTCGTGGTACATTTCTTCACCAAAGGCCCATCATTGTTCTCTATTCCTCTCGTGGTGTGAGAGCTGTGTCCTGAGATTACAGTCACCAGAGCCACAGTTTCATAGCCTCTTTTCTGTGTAGAACTTGACATAGTCTGTGGGGCCTGCCTCTTTTCCCTTGCCTCGAGCCTCCAAGCAGGTAACCACCATCCTCCATGCCTTCCACATCCACTTAGCCAACAGAGATCAAGCATTACACGTGCGAGGCACGATTGCTGCTTCAGCAGGCTCCTGTCTATTTTGAGGGGGTAATCACGTTAGCAAGAGTCAAGTTCCAAAGTAGGGAAGTACAGCAGGATGTGGACCTAATCTTGAGAGGACGGAGATAGCTTCCTGGGGGAAGCGGTATCAAAGCAGAGTCCCAGACCAGGCACAGCGGCTCACACAGTGGCTCACACCTGTCGTCCCAGCGCTTTGAGAGGCCAAGGCGGGAGGATCGCTTGAGCCTAGGAGTTCAAGACCAGCCTGGGCAACACAATGAGATCCCATCTCTACTAAAAATACAAATGAAAAAATGAGCTGCGTGTAGTGGTAAGCAGCTGTAGTCCCAGCTACTCAGGAGGCTGAGTTGGAAGGATTGCATAAGGCCAGGAGTTTGAGGTTGCAGTGAGCTATGATTGTGCTGCTGCACTCCCGCCAGGTGTTAGAGCGAGACCCTGTCTGGGGAAAAAAAAAAATCAGGGTCTCCTCCTGGAGGATGAACTCAAGTAGCTAGGCAAGGTGGAGGGAACAGCATCAGAGGAGGATGAAGTGGGCCATATGGGCCTTTGTGGGTCCCTGCAGAATCCTGACAGCATGGTGTCATGACTTGGCCACGGGAAGAGCAATTATTCTGAAAGCATATGGCTTTTACGGGATGTTCTGGGAATACAGCTTCCCATAACCTTGATGGATCACTTCATGACAGATGCAGCTTTAATGAATAGCCAAAGACCTTGCCAGGATACAGCAGACAGGGTGGATGCATCGCCATTCGGCTCTGACAGATAACAAATGGTGGCATTTGTGCAAATTAATATACCTGATTAACAATGGTGTATGTTCCTATGGGGGATAAGACTGATTCCCTAGGTATCAGTGACAGTCCCTTTTCTGCATTTCCAGGGGGTCCTCAAATAATAGAATAATGGATCTTCAGTTTACAAGTTTTGTGGTGCTAATGTCAACAACTTGACATTGCCTAAGTTTCGTGAATCCCATTTCGATTTCCAAATATTAAGAATTTTAAAAGCAGAATTATTGCAACTTGAACTGGAAGGGTCCTCAGAAATAGATCATGGTATGGCTAGGGCTTTGCACGGATCATCTCATTCAGTCCTCCTGCCACTCATCTGGGGGTATTGTTCCCTTTCACATGTCAGGAAATCCAGGACACATCACCCCAGGCTCCACCTTCATCTTCACATTGCCATCTCCTCTGTGAGGTTGCCAGGGCAAATGCAGGTGTACTTTGCACCACTAATTTTAAATCCTAGCGTGCATGCACACACATGAGCACACACACTGGATAAATGGATGGGAAACAGATGGTTCCAGTGTGAGAAACTGTGCCTACCTGTGCCAGAGGGCTTCAGATAACACATGGATCCACCAGATGGGTTTCTACGCATCCCCCCGTGTGCCTGAGTCTGTACCAGGAGCCTCCATCCCTGTTTCCTGGTTTGATTCTTACCACAGCCCTATGAGGTCAGTACCATTATTACCTCCATTTGCAGAAAGTGGGCAGAGATTGCCCCCATGTCACATGGCCAGCGGGTAGTAGAGCTGGGATTTGCAAGCCTCTTCACAGGGTAGCACAGCCTGTGAGTAGAGGAGCTGCCTGGGGGCTCCTCTCTTGAGTCTTCTCTGGAGGCCTGGGGTGGGACCCATGTGGCTGGCTGTTGATGGCCCTGTTTGCAGTGTCCTGACATGTTAGGACTGTGTTTTGGCCAAAGGCTGTTCCTAGGGGTAGAAAGCAAGGAGCCGTTTAGGGAGTAGGAGGACTGTCTCCTGGGGCCCAGCAAATGTCACCACTGTGTTTGGCCAAATAGCTTGTTGTTTTCTCTGGAGGCCTGGGGACCACGAGCTGGGGCAGGGAGCCCTCTTGCCTTTGCCCCATCCCATTGATAGTCCATGTTCCCATTGAGGACCCATTCCCAGACGGTCCATCACTTCAGGGCACAGAGAGGTCACCCAGCCTTCTGCTTCTTCCCTCAGGGCGAGCACCTTGGGAGAGGCACGAGAACACACATCTATTCTGGGACCCTGATGGATTACAAGGATGACGAAGGAACTTCTGAAGAGAAGAAGATAAAAGTGATCCTCAAAGTCTTAGACCCCAGCCACAGGGATATTTCCCTGGCAAGTGTCTTCCTCTGAACTCCTCCCCTCCCCTCTCCCGTTTCTGGAGCCAGTGGAACACAATGGGTTGAGAAGAACCCTTGCCCTTCTTGTGGCCCAGTGGTTTTCAAACTTGCCTTTTACTCAGAATTTTTTTCTCCACATATGATCTTAGTGGACCCTGCATGTAGAGTAAGTGAGGTGGGTTGAACAGCTCCTCACACTCAGCCTGTGCCCTCCCTTCCACCCCCAACCCCCACCTTTCCTAAGGACAGGTCCAGGTGGCTGTGCTGTGGAGCCCTAGGACTCTGGCCAAATGGTTCAAAGTTCCTGATACAGTCCATGGCTCTCACCACACAGTCTGGAAAACGAAAGCCCAGAGGAGTAAAAGGACTCACCCAGGATTCTACAGACTATTAGAGTGACACAGTCAAATCTTGAGCAGAGATCGGCTGCCTTCATTTCCCCTTTGTTCCAGCATAGTGCTAAATATGGGTATTTCCCAGAGCTGAAAGGAAGAGAGAGAGGTGGGCATGAGTATCCAGTGGGAAAATTCTTAGCCAGCTTCTCCCACCAGCCCTGCTCTGCATCCTGTTAGGTTTTCTAAATAAACCTCACATCCCTGCCAGGTTGGCCCAGAGAACAAGGCTTGGCAGTGCCTCTGGACAGCCAAGGCCAGAGGATTGATGTTCAGGGCCTGGGGTGGCGACAGTGGTGAGCTTTCCTGGGTCCACTGGCTTTCCCCTCAACAGAGCCCCTGGGGAGCAGCCCCCTGGAGGCTGGCCTGAGACATTCCTATGTCCTGCTCGCCCACAGGCCTTCTTCGAGGCAGCCAGCATGATGAGACAGGTCTCCCACAAACACATCGTGTACCTCTATGGCGTCTGTGTCCGCGACGTGGAGAGTAAGTGTGTTCTCTTTCAAAGGGGTGGGTGGCCTGGCTGGGGAGCTTGGGTGCTGTGGAGATGGTGGAGGCTCTTCCCACCCTCACGTTGCCCAGGCTTCTTGCCTTTCTTTTTGCAGTTGAGGAGATTGAGGGACTGAGCAGGTCATTTGCTTAAGTTAATAGTGGAGGTGGAACTAAAACCAATTGCTTTTCATTCATTTGTGTAATGTTTTCTTGTCAACGCTGGCCAAGAACCCTACACTGTGCTAGACCTGGGAGGCTGAGGTGAGTGAAATGAGGTCAAGGCCACAAGAGTCAGGCCCAAGGAGCTCTGGGCAGGTGAGCGAGGTGAGCGCACCCCACAAGCAGCAAGACGCTGGCTCCTCGAATGGACTGGCTTCCATTTTAACCACAGGCAGGCTTGGCCCTTTCTTGGTTGTCAAGCCACTGAGCCGGTGGGCCCTTGGGCTGCTGCTGCACACTGAGATGGAGGGGTGGCCTTGGCCTCTGAGTTCCTGACATGTAAGTTTGGAAGAAGAGCGATTTTTTTTTTAACCCCAAGTGACTTCTTCCCTGTGGAATCCAACAATGTGAGCTGTTCCGTGTACTCACACAGGAGTCCTGTTGAGAGGGAAGTTTTGCCGTGTGAGCGGCCTGACCTCTGCATCACAGTGTGTTGTAGAACAGCAGCAGTGGTGGCGGTTGTTCCCAGAGCCCTTGTTCTCTGTGTCAGGCCCTCCGCCAAGGCTTTCCAGGCCTTGTGACATTTAGCCGCCATCTGTTATTACAGATGAGGGAATTGAGGCTCAGAGAAGTGTCACTTGCTCAGTGCCACCGTTTAGAAGAAGAGCTTGGGGTTGAACTTGGCCTTTCCAGCTCTGAAGCCCCTGCACCATTGCACCCCCCAAGGATATCTGTGTACTCTGAGGCCGAGTAGTGTCCACTGAAGTGGACTGTCGTAAGGGGATGAAGGAGAGGACCGTGCCACAGACCAGGTTCCAGACATGGCTATTTTTATGCCTACAGATATCATGGTGGAAGAGTTTGTGGAAGGGGGTCCTCTGGATCTCTTCATGCACCGGAAAAGCGATGTCCTTACCACACCATGGAAATTCAAAGTTGCCAAACAGCTGGCCAGTGCCCTGAGCTACTTGGTGAGAATGTCCTGATGTCCATAATGGTCCCACCAGAAACCAGAGTGTCCTGGGAGGGGTGGCAGGAAGGAGGTGCTAGCCAAGCAGCTAGAGGGGCCTGTCCTTGGGTTCCATGGGGCCAGGGCTCTGTGGTTGAACAAAGGTGTGCCTGGTGCTTACTGAAGATGGTCGTTTGGGGCCGTTCCCTGTGCTCACATGAGTTCTGTTTAGTGGGAAATGTTAGCACGTCAGAGGGCCGACTTGCATACTGCAGCATATGGATGGCAAGGCTGAAAGCAGTGCAGTACGTGTTGAGTGAATGAGTGAACTGCCAGCATCTAGTAGCTGACGTGTGGAGTGCTCACCATGGGTCAGCTGTTCAGGCGTTTCACAGATTCTAATCAGTATCATGCTCACGAAGCCCAATGAGATACGTGCCACTATTTAGCCACATTCAGTGATGAGGGAGCTGGAGCCAAGGGGCACCTGTGATGTGCCTAAGTCACACAGATGATTGGCAGCAGGGCCAGGCTGTCCAGATCTGGCTGTAGCTGGGGGTAGGAAGAGATGACCTGAGGGACCAGGGTTGGAAATAGAATGCGGGAAGGAGCAGCTTGGCTAAACTTGACCTTTTTACTCTGCAGGAGGATAAAGACCTGGTCCATGGAAATGTGTGTACTAAAAACCTCCTCCTGGCCCGTGAGGGCATCGACAGTGAGTGTGGCCCATTCATCAAGCTCAGTGACCCCGGCATCCCCATTACGGTGCTGTCTAGGCAAGGTGTGTCTCCCCTCTCTTCCCTCTGGCCCCACCCCGAGTCAGGGGCAAGTCAGCAGAGAGAAGGGCTGGGCTGGGGTTGGTCTCCTTTTAGAGAGTCATTTTTTTTTTGTATTTTAGTAGAGACGGGGTTTCACCATGTTGGCCAGGATGGTCTTGATCTCCTGCCTTCTCTTAAGTCCTTGAACGAGCCCCCGTTCGTCCTCCTGCCCTGGGTGATGGCCCCCACCCTGGGATGTTTTGCTGATCCTAAGGCCAGGGCTTCAGAAGCCTGGCTTCACACGACCCTCCTGGGGAGCTTGGAGGCAGGGACCCATCTGCTGGCTGTGACCCAGACTGATGTATCAGAAGTGCTGGTGGTGGCTTGGAGGGCTGCACGCCTGCAGGCCCCCCGCACAGGGCCTATGTGGCCATGGGCCATGTTTGGGCACACTGCTTGAAGTAGTTCCTTCATTGGCTCACTGTTCTGGCTGCAGTGACAGTAATTGAATCCCTAGGAGATCCCAGAAACTGCTCCATCAGTGTGTCTGTTGTCTTCCAGAATGCATTGAACGAATCCCATGGATTGCTCCTGAGTGTGTTGAGGACTCCAAGAACCTGAGTGTGGCTGCTGACAAGTGGAGCTTTGGAACCACGCTCTGGGAAATCTGCTACAATGGCGAGATCCCCTTGAAAGACAAGACGCTGATTGAGGTGAGCAGGTGTTTCCCGGGGCGTGAGGCAAGTGAGGGCTTTCAGGTGCTCGTGGGCTTCCCAGGAGTTGTCGGAAGCCTGGCACTGTGGGAAGAGATGGGCATGGGTTTGAATCTCTTCACGGGCCTACTGGGTGTGTGACCTCACAAATGTAACTGAACTTCCGTGAGCCTCAGTTTCATCATCTATAAAATGGGGATAATCAGTAACTACTTGTAGGGTTGTTGTGAAGATTAAATAATGCATATAGAGTGACAGGCATGCAGTACAAGCTCGATAGATGTTATAGTATTATTTATCTGAGATTTTAAGTGCCTGTTATTCAGCAAAATTACCACACAAATACGTATGGAGTTCCTATTGTGTATCAGGCATCAAGCTTGGGAAAAGCTGGAGGTTCACTATAAAATAAGATACAGGCCTTGCCTTCCCTTGAGGGCCTTAGGGTATGGTAGGGAGTTAGGCTAAAATAACAACGGTAAGAATTCCAGAAAGAATACCTGAAAGTGTCACCCTAAGAGCCCTGCAAATTAGGTAGGATGGTGTCATTACCCTCATTTGACAGATCAGGTAACTGAGACTCAGGTAGCCCCACTTACCTGGGTTCCTCAGCTAGAATGCAAAACAGGCGAGGTGTGGACCTCCTCCAAATCTACCTGTGGAAAAAGTGGAGACTCTAACTCCAAAGGGGTAAAGTAGTAAAAATCACAATGAAAGACCATTGTCCCTTCATCTCAGTGACTGCAATTGGAATGTGCTCCTGTTGTTTAGAGGGGGCAGGCATCAGTTTCGGCTGTGAGAGCCTGGTTTCAGTGCTGTGTCGGGAGCCTGGGTAGTTTGGTGTGCCTGGCCTTGAGTGTCTGGAGTGGGGAAAGGAATAACAGTGATCAGGTGGGAAAGGCCATTTGGGTTCAGATTTTTAAAGTCCCTGATTCCAGGCTGCAGAACCTACATTTTACTGGGGGTGGCATGGGACAAGGAAGGATTTGGGTGGAGGAGGGAGGGGCTTGGAGGTCGGCCTTGGGATGTTCTTCTGGATGCAGTAGCTGGGATGGACAGAGGAGAGACCTGGAGGGAGACAGGGGCCCCGAGTCTCTCAGCAATGGGAGCCCCATGTCCGGAAATGGCAGCGGAAGTCCAGAGTGCAGGGTGGGAGATATTGAAGAGGTAGAACCTTTATGACTTGCCAGTTAATGATGGTGCAGGACTTGGGAAAGGATCTTAAACCCGCAGGGAAACCATCAGATCTACAGATCTGCTATTTGGAATTTTCAGCCTAGGCTTTTGGGAAATTCATATTTATTTTTAACTTCCTTGGATCCTTGGAAATGAAACAACATACCCTTTGTCATCAGTCAGTATTTATTGAGCACGTGCTGCGTACCCTGGGCTGAACAGCATACAGGGTGGTGTAAGGAAGGACCCGTGTCTTTAATAAAATAGGGGTCTCTCTCCACCTAAGTCCCCTTGGGTTAGATGGCTTTTCTGCAGGCTGCACTGACGCAGGGATGTGTGAGTGACACTCAAGGACAAGAGCAATTCTCAGCTCCTTAATTCCAGTCCTCCCTCCTCCCTGTCCTCTGGGGCCTGCCCACCCCACCCCACCCCAGGGCCCACGGGGACCAGAGAGGAACTTAGTACCCTTGGAGTCCAGCTATGAAGTAGAAACTGGAATGCAGTGGTTTCACTTCATCTTCCAAAAGTAGCATAAGTTCTTGTTTCTAAAATTTAAAGTAATAAACAGTTGAAGAAAATTTTTAAAATGAAACTATTAAAAAAAGAAAACAGCAATCACTGCATTCTTGTCATCCCTGACCACTGTTAACACTTTGGCATTTTGTCTTCCAGCCTGTTTGTATCTCTCTTTTTTAAACAAAATTGGGGCCATGCTAGATAGAGTTATATAAAATTCTGAGTTTTTTCATTTAATACTGAGAATGCTTTCCTGTGAGATTAAATCATAATTTTTACAAATTTAATGTAAGAGTTAATTGTTTTGTTTAATTTACTTGACTAATTTTATATTTGGCATTTAAGTTTTCAAATTTCCAGTGTTCTGTCTAATTCTGCAGGAAACATCCTTGTACATAAATATTTGTTCATATCTGATTTATTTCTGAGTCATTCAGTCATTGAAGTTAATGCATCAGAGGGTTTGAAGAATCTGAAGATTTTTGTACATGTTGCCCAATTGTATTCCAGAAAGGCTGCATGCCTTTACTTGAATGAAGCTTTTTGGGACTGGGCTATAGTGCCCAGTCTCCTTGAATTTGGACTATTCAGTATTAGGACTGTGATTTCCCCTTGCAAGAATAAGGCAGCAGTAACAAACACTTACGAAATCTACCTGTAAGTGGAGATGTTGAGAATCGAATGAGGAATTGGCAATTCCACCTGACCTGGGGCTGAGAAGTTTGTAGGTGGTTCCTTTGGTTTCTTCCATGTGCCCCTCTTGTTTACAGAAAGAGAGATTCTATGAAAGCCGGTGCAGGCCAGTGACACCATCATGTAAGGAGCTGGCTGACCTCATGACCCGCTGCATGAACTATGACCCCAATCAGAGGCCTTTCTTCCGAGCCATCATGAGAGACATTAATAAGCTTGAAGAGCAGAGTAAGACCTGCCATGTGCTGCTTTAACCCAGCTTGGGGAGAAACAGGAGCCTGGGTGGCAATCCCTGGCAATCGACTGCCTTTCACTCTGTTTTCTTTTCTCTTCTGTTAGATCCAGATATTGTTTCAGAAAAAAAACCAGCAACTGAAGTGGACCCCACACATTTTGAAAAGCGCTTCCTAAAGAGGATCCGTGACTTGGGAGAGGTAAGTTACACCCGTGCTGCTTGCTGCTGATGGCAGAGCCCTCCGCCATCCACAGCGCCACTCTCTGCACGTACAGCTGCTCTCCATTCTTTTTCATTCTGGGGCCAGGTCCATGAGCGAAAGCACCTTACTGCATTTGGGGGCCACTTTCATCACAAGGGATTGTGTCTTTCTCCATGTGACACACGGCACGGACGGAATGCACGTCCCTGCCTGCATGCACGACTGTGTATGCACACGGGACTCTGGGCAGCTCCCTTGAGAGACTTGAGTTTTCTCTACAGGACAGAAGAGAATGGAAAGAGGGAGAGATGGGGGAGTAGGTATAGATATGGTGGAATAGGAAAATCCTTGCCTCTGACTTTCCCGGGCATATATATCCTGTAAGCTTCTCTCTTTTTCTTTTGCCCCCGAGAGACAGGGTCTCGCTCTGTGTCCCAGGCTGGAGTGAGTGGTGTGATCATAGCTCACTGCAGCCTCAACTTCCCAGGCTCAAGCAATCTTCCTGCCTCAGCCTCCTGAGTAGCTGGAACTACAGGCACACGCCCCCATGCTGGCTAATATTTTTTATTTTTTATTGTAGAAATGGGGTCTTGCTATGTTGACTAGGCTGCTCTCAGACTCCTGGCCTCAAGCAAGGAGGCCTCCCAAAGTGCTGGGATTATAGGCATAAGCCACCATACCCAGCCCTGTAAGGCTCTTTAGAGCAGGGATAGGTTTATTGCACAGAATCCCAAAATAGAGTGTCAGCGTTTCTTTGGACCTTAAATGGGAGTTTCCAAACAGTTAATTGTGACTAGAGAAGCTACTGAGATTTGTGTCTTTATACAGATTTTCTGTAGTCTGGTTAATGAAACAGACTTGATACATCTCCAGGATCTGCTGTGTGCCAGCCACTGTGCCAGGCATTGTCAGAAGCATGGCATCCTTAGTTCCCCCCACCGTCCCCGAGGCCAGTTTCTGTATGCAGCGAGTGCATCAGGAGCCAGCTCCGATTTGGGGACTTGGCCACCACTGTCGCTGTCAGGTGGCTTGGCTGGAACCTGATCTCACGTCTTCTAAAGACTCCTCATGCATTTGCTCTTTTCAGCCATGCTGTGGGGCCTGTCCTGTAACGTGAGCCCAGGGCTTTTAGAGAACGGCAGTTGTCCTGCAGGCCCAGAAATAACCTTCATTTCCTGTGGTCATAGAAATTGGGATTGATGAGTTGGTTCATCGTCACCTGCTACTTTGTCTTGGCTCAGTAACTGAGGGGACAGTTTGTGAGGCCAAGAGAGCGAGGGGGCTGTAGTGAGCAAGTACAGTCCAGGTGAGAGGCTTCTGCCTGCAAGGCCAGACAGCGAGAACCCCTGGCCCTCAGGGGAACGGCTGTGAGGAGCAAGACTTCTGTGTGTTCCGTGGCCTACGATGGGGCTTCCCTGATAACAGCACATGCATCTTTCCCTCCAGGGCCACTTTGGGAAGGTTGAGCTCTGCAGGTATGACCCCGAAGGGGACAATACAGGGGAGCAGGTGGCTGTTAAATCTCTGAAGCCTGAGAGTGGAGGTAACCACATAGCTGATCTGAAAAAGGAAATCGAGATCTTAAGGAACCTCTATCATGAGAACATTGTGAAGTACAAAGGAATCTGCACAGAAGACGGTATGTTATGCAAGGCTGGGGTCCGGTTTAAAGATTTGGTGACTGTCTAGGGTCATAAAGGCCAGTGCAAAACAGGCACTCCGTGGCCTTACCTGGGCGTCTGACATGCTAGCTGGTGGTTCCCACACACTCTCAAGGCTTCCAAGTCATATGTCAAATCCCTCAGCAGCTGCAGGGCTCCTGAGGAGGCCACCCAGGCCCCTCCATCCAGGGGCTGGTTCCAGCACTGTCTCTCCACGTCACTTGCACTTATGCCTTATGAAACTGATTCCTACTCTACCTCCACCCACTTCCTGTTCTGATCCAATACTAGCCAGGGTATTTCATTTTCTAGTTGTCTAAATCAAAGTGGCAAGTAATATTTACTAATAATTGTATCTTATTTGCAAGCCAGCATCTACTCATGGTAGTGAAATTGACAGCTGATGATAATTTTTTTTTTTTTTTTTTTTTTTTTGAGACGGAGTCTCGCTCTGTGGCCCAGGCTGGACTGCAGTGGCGCAATCTCGGCTCACTGCAAGCTCCGCCTCCCGGGTTCACGCCATTCTCCTGCCTCAGCCTCCCGAGTAGCTGGGACTACAGGCGCCCGCCATCACGCCCGGCTAATTTTTTTGTATTTTTAGTAGAGACGGGGTTTCACCGTGTTAGCCAGGATGGTCTCGATCTCCTGACCTCGTGATCCGCCCGCCTCGGCCTCCCAAAGTGCTGGGATTACAAGCGTGAGCCACCGCGCCCAGCCCGATAATTTTTGAAAACAGTCATTTGCCTGTGGTTTACAGAGCACTCTGACTGTTATCTCAGTGAGTGCTTATGCCTGTGAGGTAGGTACACCATTGTTACCATCTCCATTCACTGCTGAGGATCTTGAGGCATAAGAGGTCAAGTAACATGCCTGTAATGAAGGGGCGAAGCTGGCGTCACCTCAGGGCCTCTGTCTCATATCCTGTGCCCTTGCCTCTCCCATGGTTCCCTCATTTGGCAGCCTCAGACTGATGGATGTTTTTTCTAAACAGGAGGAAATGGTATTAAGCTCATCATGGAATTTCTGCCTTCGGGAAGCCTTAAGGAATATCTTCCAAAGAATAAGAACAAAATAAACCTCAAACAGCAGCTAAAATATGCCGTTCAGATTTGTAAGGTAAAAAATAAAGACATCATGTTACAGATTAAGACATCAGGCACTCTGTCCTGGGTAATTGGTTTGTAATTTGACTCTAAGTGGGTAAGTTTATGATAATTATACTGTTTGTTTTTCTCTGCATTATTTAGATGAAAAGTTAGCTTCTACTAAGAAAGTAAACGGATTTAAATATGGTTATTTTAATGTGTATTTATTTGAATCAGTTTGTTCTTAATATTCTTGCATAAAAGTCAGAACCAAAAAAATTGTCAGTGATATGTGAATGAAATGACATTTCTATTTTTTCTGATGAAGTGATAGATAATACAATCTAAAGTGACTTTAGCAATGTGCTTGACTTTTACTTCTCTCTCTCAGGGGATGGACTATTTGGGTTCTCGGCAATACGTTCACCGGGACTTGGCAGCAAGAAATGTCCTTGTTGAGAGTGAACACCAAGTGAAAATTGGAGACTTCGGTTTAACCAAAGCAATTGAAACCGATAAGGAGTATTACACCGTCAAGGATGACCGGGACAGCCCTGTGTTTTGGTAACTGAATCAAACCACTAGGTTTTATCAATGCTTCATAGAGTTTACACTGTTTTAATAGGCCCTTTCTGGCTATATTAATGTGTCTCATTCCTCTGGCCTGACTCAAGGTTAGAGAAGGTTTAGAACATTTGGAATTGATTGATATTTATCTTCAAGAAACACACCTTTCAGCCTGTTTCATTGAAAGCAGCCTATATAAATGACTGAGCTTCATATGACACCGTCTTCCAAGGAATGAAAGAAATCTAACCACCAGCTCAACATTCCTAGCTTTCCAGGAGAGGGCATTCATCTGATGCAGTTCTTAAAACTGTGAGCAGGTGGAGAGAATCTAGTTCCTTTCTTAAACACATTCCTGCAGAGGGAGGCTGTAGGACAGAGTGGGCATTGCAGATTCAGGGAACTCCTGGACAGAGCAGAGCAAAACCTACGGGAGACCTGGCTGTCTCATGAATCACCAGAGGTTCCCAGGTTAGAAGGCCACACACTGGCTACAACCATGTCTCAGCCGGGAACACTGTCCAGGGGAGAGGCTGCTTACATCTCTACCGCACCCTGCCACGTAACCACATAACGACATAACCAATCAGCACTCCCCTAGGTGCATCCTACATGGACACAAACATAGACCTCTCCCACTTATGGAGCCTAAACTTACTCATTCATTCATTTAAGAAAATGCATCAAGGTCCTGCTTTGTGCCAGTACTGGAGATATGGTGAACAAGTAGGCCGAGTTTAGAGTTTAACAGGCTAGGCAGCCAACGGCATGGAGCAGGAAACATACAGAAGGGTTCGGGCTTGGTTTTCTGGAAGTCGTGAGTATTCAGAAGAAACCTGAAAGATTCATGCGGGTTTAGACAGACGGTTGCTAGACAGCATGCGTGACTAGGAAGAATGAGACAAGAGCAGTCGATTTCCCAGGAACTGAACCTCAGTGAGGTCAGATCATGGAATAGGAGGTTTGCAGGAGGAAGCTTGAGTCATGGAGCTGGGACTTCATCTCAAGAACAATGGGATGCTGCTGGAGAGTTTAAGGAGGGAGACTTTGTTTTAAAAAGACCACCACTGAATGAAGGGAACAAGATTGGAGCCAGGGAGTCTGGAGCCAGGGAGTCTGGAGCCAGGGAGTCTGATTTGGCTGCTTCAACAGCTCAGGCCAGAGCTAGTGACAGCATGAATTAGGACAGGGACTGGGAGAGTGACAGTAGGGTTTGAGAGAAGTGAGTAGGTTCAAGGAGTATATAAGGAGATTGGGTGCGGTGGAATGCCTTCATTTTTGGCTTGGGCAAGTGGGTGTCATTCAGCAAAGTAGGCAATGCTGGAAGAGGATTGGACAGCGATGCCACATTGTGCAGTGAGGCCACTGCTGTCTCATTTAGAGCCTGCAGGCAAATCAGACCTGGGGCTCATCATTACACGGCCACCTCCTCCCATACCCTGAGAGCATGTTCTCAGTGAAATGAAGAGCACAGACTTGGCGTGTTATTTTAGGGCAGATACGTGCTACCGAGAGCCTGTAAAGGATACCGTACTATAGGTCAGATGTGCACCATAGCAGCGTATACATGGTATGTGTAAAATATATAATACACAGTCAGATGCTGTATTAAATTATAAGAAAAACCGAAGAGGTGATTTTTCAGTTATCCTGTAATGTCGGATGGAGTGTGCCTCCCAGGAAATGAAGTTTTGTGTTCTGCTTCCTTTCAAGGTATGCTCCAGAATGTTTAATGCAATCTAAATTTTATATTGCCTCTGACGTCTGGTCTTTTGGAGTCACTCTGCATGAGCTGCTGACTTACTGTGATTCAGATTCTAGTCCCATGGCTGTAAGTCCTACTTTTCTCTTCATTTGAATCCAGTACCCATTTAAAATGTGTCCATCCCTCTGCTTGGTTAACTTTTGTTTTTAAATGGAATCCAATGAATGTATTATAATGGAAAATGTCACTTTCCCATTAACTTGGTTTGCTACTTGACAGTTATTTGTGAATCTCTAAAGTCTTGCTTTCACAACGAGCCCGGAGTTCTATAGGATGACCTTGACTCTCAAGGATCTTATCTGTGTAGAGATGAAGGGCAGTTTTATGGGAAAATGAGCAAGTTAAGTGGGGTAGCACTGGGTAGGGACCAGCCTTGTCTGTGCCTCCTTCATTCCTAAATCAGATCATTTTCTTGGGAACAGACTCCTTGACCAGCACAAGCACAAGGAGTGGTTGGTAGAGTCTAAGACACTGGTTAGAGACAGATCATTGAAAGCTAATAAGGATTTTGGATTTTTATTTAAAGTTACTAAGGAGAAAAGCCTTTTTATTGCTACTTAAATTTCCAGTTGATTGTAGAAATTTCACCTTAATCTGTTTGGCATTTATGTAAATACTTGCAAAGTTAAACGTTTTGTTTGATTTTATTTTATATAGTTGTTCCTGAAAATGATAGGCCCAACCCATGGCCAGATGACAGTCACAAGACTTGTGAATACGTTAAAAGAAGGAAAACGCCTGCCGTGCCCACCTAACTGTCCAGATGAGGTATCTATGGGCCACGTCACAGTAATAACACTCCATTTCTATTATGTTTTCGCAGCTTGAGTTGTCCAGCAATGGGTAGAGGGGAGAGCGAGGAAATGATGCAGTGAAGTCCTTGTAAAATAGTTTTCTGAAGCTGAATTTCACATAAGATAACTGAGAAATCGCCTTTGGGGCTAGATGATAGCCACCAGTTAGGTTCAGAGCAAGGATTCCCTCCAAAAGCCAGCCCCTCTTTATCCACTTGCTTGCCCCAGAGGGACAGGTTTTGGTGTAGCCTTAGTGTGACAAATACATATAATTGCATTTTTTGTGTGTAAGTTTATCCCACTTATTAGCATTTATAATTCAGTTTTCTAAGTGAATTGAGCCTTTAATACTAAACTCTTGAGACTGTGTAAGACACACTGAACAGTATGAGTCAGAGAGTGAGGCAGCCAGTCTGGAAAGTTCAAGTCTGAACTGAGATTCTGCTTCACCCTCTAACTGGTTTACAGGAATGACCTGGATTTTATTGCAGCCAGTCAACCCTTGAGCTTCTCAAATGTTAAAATATTATTTATGAACTAGAGTTGTATCCCATTTTCTGTGTTTTAAACTATTCAAATACTCTTGTTTTTCTAGTCTTTAAGGAAAAGTCATTGCATTTCCAAAATTATTTTCTTACTCTTGATATTTCTGTTATTTTTTAAAGTTCCCAGATCTAACATTTTTACTGTTGTTACTTCTTTCTTTTTACAGGTTTATCAACTTATGAGGAAATGCTGGGAATTCCAACCATCCAATCGGACAAGCTTTCAGAACCTTATTGAAGGATTTGAAGCACTTTTAAAATAAGAAGCATGAATAACATTTAAATTCCACAGATTATCAAGTCCTTCTCCTGCAACAAATGCCCAAGTCATTTTTTAAAAATTTCTAATGAAAGAAGTTTGTGTTCTGTCCAAAAAGTCACTGAACTCATACTTCAGTACATATACATGTATAAGGCACACTGTAGTGCTTAATATGTGTAAGGACTTCCTCTTTAAATTTGGTACCAGTAACTTAGTGACACATAATGACAACCAAAATATTTGAAAGCACTTAAGCACTCCTCCTTGTGGAAAGAATATACCACCATTTCATCTGGCTAGTTCACCATCACAACTGCATTACCAAAAGGGGATTTTTGAAAACGAGGAGTTGACCAAAATAATATCTGAAGATGATTGCTTTTCCCTGCTGCCAGCTGATCTGAAATGTTTTGCTGGCACATTAATCATAGATAAAGAAAGATTGATGGACTTAGCCCTCAAATTTCAGTATCTATACAGTACTAGACCATGCATTCTTAAAATATTAGATACCAGGTAGTATATATTGTTTCTGTACAAAAATGACTGTATTCTCTCACCAGTAGGACTTAAACTTTGTTTCTCCAGTGGCTTAGCTCCTGTTCCTTTGGGTGATCACTAGCACCCATTTTTGAGAAAGCTGGTTCTACATGGGGGGATAGCTGTGGAATAGATAATTTGCTGCATGTTAATTCTCAAGAACTAAGCCTGTGCCAGTGCTTTCCTAAGCAGTATACCTTTAATCAGAACTCATTCCCAGAACCTGGATGCTATTACACATGCTTTTAAGAAACGTCAATGTATATCCTTTTATAACTCTACCACTTTGGGGCAAGCTATTCCAGCACTGGTTTTGAATGCTGTATGCAACCAGTCTGAATACCACATACGCTGCACTGTTCTTAGAGGGTTTCCATACTTACCACCGATCTACAAGGGTTGATCCCTGTTTTTACCATCAATCATCACCCTGTGGTGCAACACTTGAAAGACCCGGCTAGAGGCACTATGGACTTCAGGATCCACTAGACAGTTTTCAGTTTGCTTGGAGGTAGCTGGGTAATCAAAAATGTTTAGTCATTGATTCAATGTGAACGATTACGGTCTTTATGACCAAGAGTCTGAAAATCTTTTTGTTATGCTGTTTAGTATTCGTTTGATATTGTTACTTTTCACCTGTTGAGCCCAAATTCAGGATTGGTTCAGTGGCAGCAATGAAGTTGCCATTTAAATTTGTTCATAGCCTACATCACCAAGGTCTCTGTGTCAAACCTGTGGCCACTCTATATGCACTTTGTTTACTCTTTATACAAATAAATATACTAAAGACTTTACATGCATATGCCTTTTAATATTAAGATTTCATTTTCAAAGCATTTCAAACAATTTGCTTACATAGAAAAATAACAGTATAGTTTTGGGGGGAGGAAGGGGTGGGTTACGGTCCTTACTACTAACAAACAAACAAACACCACTTGATTTGCACTTCTTCACTGTTGTGCCCAGTGATTGATAACGGGGCACAGGCCAGTATGGATGGCATGTCCACTGTGCTGTAGTCCAGACACCTTTGTTTGTTTGTTTTAGTTCCTTCAACCTCTTCCTGCTTTGACTGACTGACTTTTTGCAGCTCTGTTGCAAAATTCACCATCTTTCCTTTCTTCTGTTTGTTTGTTTGTTTGTACTATAGTGGAGGTGTGACTAAGCATTGAAGAGGCTGAATGCAACAGGAAAATGGGAAAGAGAAGTGCAGGGCCTGAAAAACCCATTAGTCATCTGCTATATCACTGAATGATGCCTAATTCTTATCAGTTACTTATAGGTAGTATACTTAGAAATTACCTTAAACTTTCTAGCTGTCAGTCATTTTCCAACAGAAGCTAGTATATGCAATAAATTAGACCAAGTGAAATTCTTTACAAAGCATACAACATATGTACCAATTCTAGACTTCATAATTAAAACAGGATATCCACATCATAGTTAAAAATAACAAGTCCCCAAAGTGACGAGATATTTAATGATCTGATTTCAAAAAGCCCCGGATTGAGATCCCAAATTCCCTATCAATTAATTACAGTCTTATAACATAAACAAACTTAGAAATTTCTAGATGGCAAAAGGTTTCTCATGCATTTAATACCAAGGTCTTCAAGAAATGGTGATGTCAAAAGTCATCATAGTCCATAAAGATAAAACTTCTTTCACAAGTAAATTGGGTTAAATAACTGATTTTTCACCCTAACACACTATCAAAAAGAGTGAGAGAGAAAGCAGAGAGTGAGGTATAGCTTATTAGCTCAAAATGGTTATAAATACTGTGACTCCTTAAGACTCCATCAGAAAGTGCAGTATTGACTGCTTTACTATACTATATTGTGGAAATAATAGGGCATTTAGTGATCAAAATAGGCCCCATTCTAGTCATTAGATCATTACTAGTCTACGCTATGAAATGAGCACAGAAACCCATGTTCCTTTCCACTTACAAGTCTGTCTAAAGGCTAAAGGTCTGTCTTTAGGTGAATTGAAAGGAATAGTTGCTATTAGAATTAGTGCTATTAGATCAGGGATCAGCAAACTATATATAAATGGCCAGATACTTGAAATTTTAGGCCATATGGTCTTTGTAGGCCATACAGTCTCTGTTGAAGCTAATCAGTTCTGCCCTTGTAGCGTAAGAGTGCCACAGACAACACGTAAATGAATGAGCATGGCAACGTCCCAATAAAAGTTTATTTATGGACACTGAAATCTGAATTTCATATAAATTTCATGTCATAAGTTTTCTTTTTTCCTCCAACCATTTAAAAATGTAAACATTAGTCTTAGCTTGCAGGCAGCACAAAAGCGGGTGGTAGACCAAATGTGGACCCAGGGTGTAGTTTGCCAAACCCTTTTATTAGATCACCAAAGTTACTTTTCTTAAAATACCTTCTATTTTTCACAGAAGGTATAAATGGTAAACAACATCTTAAAGCATCGGTAGTAGTGGATACCTTGGATATCACTGTCACTCTCTTACCGGGTTTAATTTTGCATGGCTGGTGTGGGCGTAATTGAGTGTGCATGTAGAGCATCTTTATAATATTACCATCAGCACATTTGGTACTTGCACCCTTGTAGTTCTAGGAAAAGTCCTAAAAATCTATAAATGCAATTACTTCTAGGGAAAGTAAATTGAAATGCACATTGGCTTATAAGAAACTCATTCTTCTAAGGCTCAGGAAACAACACTGTTTCCCATTTATTGCTTCAAACTTCTTTTATATATGGTGTCAGAATTATTCCCAGTCCTAAATCAAGGAATATTGGAACATTGTTAGTTTCTCCAATGGATTGTAAGTTAGCACACTGATTAAGATGCATCTGACTCTAGTGGAAAATGTCCTCAATTGATGTCTCTTCTTATTGCTATTTTTTATTTGGCATTTCTGCCTGCTGCACAACACAGTTCCTTCTGGGAAACTATAAACCCGTATTTAAAGGATATGGCTAGTTTGAATGAAGTTAAGGCAGCGATGAACAGCAGAGATACTGCAGAGAACCTTAGGGGGTTATTAGGAGAGAGCTTAACTCAGTATACTCGCTTCTTTTTTAAGTAAGTTTCCATGTAATATGCTCCTGTGCCCTGAGAATGCTGGTCAACACATTCCACTGAACCACCTTCTGGGGCAGAGATGAGATATGATGAGCCTCGCTTTTCATTTCTTAAAGATGACACCTATGAGAAAATAAAATTGCAGCTAGTTTTAAAATCTAAAGTTGGCTTATTCATTAAAGATATTTATAAGAAAAGCATTCCACTTTGACTTGGTGAATATAGAATAACAGGATAAATACCCAAACTATCAAAAAATACACAAACCCCTTTGTTAAATAAGACTTTTAAATTTCTGTATCAACATCGCCTTTGGAATTTCTGCAAGACACAAACCAGTCTCAGCACCTTCACTCCCAACCCCAACTTTTTGGGAAAAGAAAAAATTAGAGCACTGCATGCAGCTGCTTCTGCTGATCACAGCTAGTTAAACCCACGGACTCAGAATATCAACACCGAATGTCAGTATTCCTCTGAAGGAGGAGTGGCTAAGACATCAAGCTGCATATTGAATTAGATGTTAAGTGTGCCTGGTGACAAGAGGAGTGGTGAGAGAATAAATCAATAGGTGTAGAAACTGACAAATGACATCAAAGAAAACAACATGAAACATTCTAGAGAGCAATGGGAAACTCAGAGCTTTGGTCTCCACAATAATCGCCTGGCGAGCATATTAAAATGCAGGTTTTCAGGCACCATCCCAGAGATTCTGACCTGAAAGTGGGCCACATGTCCTCACAAGTGGTCACAGTGATCAGCACAGTAAATCAGATGGTGTAGCACTGCTCAGCTTAATGCCTCTTAGTTTCAGCTTTTACAAAAATAAGTGCAGCAAGCTTTTATCAATGCAGAATTATGTGACTTAATATGCAAGAACTTAGAAATGACTGATGAGTAAAGCTTCCAGTAACACACAGGAGCCTTCTCACGTTGCAATTAAAACTGCAATTGTTTTTGAACCAACAACGGTCACAATTTTTAAAAGTGCAGCCAGCCTCAGAGGGAACAGATGATAGGTCTCTCTCAACTCCTTGCTAAAGTAGTTCTCAGTGGTCCATGTTAGAGGGATGACAAGACTGAAAGAACGCTGCGTCCTCTGGTATCTCATTTCAAAGTGGCTTACTGTGGGGACAGACCAATACAAAGCGTCTTCACACAAGCCCAGTGTAAAGGAATGTTTCACAGAGTGAAGCTGATGGGCAAAGAATCTGGCTTGAATTTCTGCCTCGACATTTTTTTCCTGGTAGTAAAGTATGTCTGGGGTTTGTGCTAGAATGTTAGAAGGGAAGCAGGTGAGAGGGTAGATGAAAGGAGACCTGCCGTAAGTTGATAGTTGTCAAAGCTGAGTTGATGGTGACGAGGGGTTCAGCCCTAGAGAAGGGCTGCTGCACCAAACAGCTTGCTCACCTCTTAGGTGGAGCCTCTGCCCCAAAAACCCTTCCTCCCAGTCTCCAGCCTCTTGGTTATTCTCTCCAGCTGCCTTCTTCATTAGGGCCCCTTCGCTGGTAGGTGATCTTTCTGAATGTTGGACCCCAGCCACTAACACCATCAGACCTTACTTCAGGTATAAAGAACTCTTTTTAGCAGCTTTCCTCCTCTTAGAAGTCATCAGTCCATTCTACAAGTGAGATTTTCCAAAGACTGGGGGAGGGAAGCAGACTGCTCACTCTGGGATCTGGGATGCTCCTGCTCTTCTCACCCACCTTCCCCAATTCTTCTTGCCATGTAGTTATCTATTCTTTCATGTCTTGGCATGCAGCAAAGCAACAGCCTGGGTTTCTGTCTTTCTATACCATCTTCACTGTCAGAAGCCAGATAGGAAATTTATTACATTCTTTTATTCAAAGGGCTTCCCAATGGTGCTAACACCATTCACAGTGAGAACCAACTGAGACCTATGAAATCAGCAAAAAACTTCACTGAGCAGCACAGGAAAATATTAGAACAGGAAATGAAAGTGGGTGTCACTCATCTTACAATAAAGACAAAGCCTGCAAACATTACGTTGAGTAAAATAAGACATTCAAAAAGAGACAGACATGGTATGATTACACCAATGTGAGATATAAAAGTTAGTCCCAGTTATAAAAACAGAAAGTCAAATGATGTTCTCTTCAGGAGCTGAGGAGAAGAGGGGGAAAAGTGCAGTTTATTAATTATCAGATTTTACTTTTGTAAAATGAAAATCTAGAGATCTGTTGCAAAATAATGTAAATATACTGAACATTACTAAACTATACACTTAAATATTTAATAGTAATTTTATGTTTTTATCACAATTAAAAATTTAAACCTTAAAAAAAAAAAAGAAAACGGGTTTCACTGTAGCCCATGTGATACTGGGAGAAAGGTAATTCTTCTGATACGCCCTATCAAAGATATCTAACTTCTAGTGTAAGGACTGGTGAATGGGGAATGATGATTTAAAATTTTGAAAGAAAGCTCAGTGCTCTGGGAGAAATAAATTCCTACATAAGAACCACAACCACAACCACAACAAAACACAAAAGAGGGAAAGAATATAAAGTTAGCAAATATTTTTCCTTCTATTTTGTATTTGTAGGATCTAGACATCCATTCCTTCATAAGTGGTCTATTGCGGGCACTGGGCTTGTGTGCTATGAGGTTTACCTGGATGAATGAAACTTGGACTATGCCCTCCCACAGCTCATATCCTAGGAGGGGAAGGAAGAGGAATGCAAAACATAATTCTAAAAGGGGACTGTCACTTTGACAAAAGAGAAATAGAAGTGAAGTGCTAAAGCTTTTTCCAGACAAGGAAAATGGGCGGGGGGTGGGGGGGGTGGGTTTGAAAGGTACAGGCACTGGTTTCATGGATAAGATAGCATCTGAGTTAGGATTTGGAGATGAGGTCAGATATGGACATGAGGAGATAGGTGGTGACCCTTCCAGGAGAAAGGCAGGGCCTGTGCAAAGGCAGATGGCAAAAAAGCCAGGCCTGTGATGGTAGCAGCTGGCAGGCAGAAGAGGGCAGTGGCAAATGAGGTTGAAAAATGAAGCTGGCCTCAGTCATGGAGGGCTGGAACGCCAGGCTAAGGACTGTAAACAGGACCATACCCTTGATCTTGGAATATGGCAAGATTAATAAGCAGCTCTGTAAAAAGTATGGCAATGAAGGAGACAGGCATTATTAAGTCTCACCAGGAGGCTATTGAACTTGTCCCTATTAGATACTTGCATGTGAGCAAACACACAGATTATATGTGATTTAAGACTTGATTTAAAATGTAGCATGAAACTTACAGATGAGACAGAACAAAGTGGTATATTTAGAAAATCTGAAAACAATTTTGATGAGCATTTATGCTTTGAATACCAAACAAAAGGAAGACCTTTAGAGAAGCTATAATATTCTAGTTTTACATGTCTAATATTCAGGTGGAAATCAAACACAATAGTCATTTTAGAGGACTTCATCTTTAGCAGGGTCTTTTTTAGGGTTGGCTGAAACCACTCTATGAATAGTTTGCACCCAGTGGTTCCATTCTGTACTTTGGAACTACAATCCAAGTCTAATACTTCCTTATCAGAATGGGCATAACTTCAACGGAGGCCCCTCACCCTCATGCCCCTGGGCAATCCTACTATATCCCCACCCTACCCTGCCCACTGATCTCCACTCCCCTAAGTGACTATTGCAAGCCTTCTCTTTTCTCGAAGCTCCAACAGTACACCCTCATCTTCACTCTCAGCTGATGCTTTGCTTTCTATTTCACCAAGAAAACAAAATCGAAAGAGAAATCTTAAGACGCACAGTGACTAACCCCTGGTGTCTTTACTTACCCTCACTTCCTTGGTGATCTCATCCAATTTCATGCAATTCACAATTATAGCGATTTACAGGAATGCGATGGTTCTCAAATATGTACCTCTAGAGGCCCATAACTCTCCCCTCACCTCCAGACTTGTATAATGAACACCAATAAAGGAACATCTTCACTTAGGGATCTTATGTCTAAAACGTACCCATAAAACTTGCTCCACCCACACAGTCTTACCCATCTCAATCAATAACAAATTCATTTTTCTAGGCCAAAACTCTTGGGGACTTGGCTCCTCTCTTACCCTCGTATACCCCACTGACTCCAGCTTCCAAAAATGTCTCCAGTCCAGCCACATGTCACTGCCTCTGTTGCTTCCAGGCTTGTCCAAGTCAGCATTTTTACTTGGATTGTACCACAGCAGCTCCCTAACTGACCCTGCTATGTTCTACATTCATTATTTAACACAGCAGCTAGGCATGTTAAACTATAAATACAGTCAATTATCCCTCTACTCAAAGCATCCCAGTGGCTTTCTATCTTAGAGTAAAAGCCAAAGTCCTTACAAGGGCCTAAAAGGTCCTAAATTGTCTGTGCCCTCTGCCTCCCCGACCCCACTGTGACATCATCTCCTATTCTCCACTTTGCTCCCTCTTCTTCTGCCCTAAAGGTTGCTTGCTGTTCCTTTAACAGACCAAGCATGTTTCTGCCTCAGTACCTTTGCACTTGCTGTTCCCTGTCCCTGGAATGTACTTTACATAGATATTCATGTGGCATACTCCCTAAAGTTCTGGTCTTTGCCCAAGAATCAGTTTTACTATGAACCCTTCCTTGACCACGTATTTAAACTCCAAGACTTCCCAGACACTCTTTAGCCTCCATCTTATTTTCTCTGCAGCGATCACTATTCCTTTTACTAATTTTTTCCCCTAAATGTAAGTTCCATTCTTATAAGGATTTTGATGTTTTGTTCATTGCCATATCCCTAGTGCCTAGAACAGTCCTGTCATATAGTAGACATTCAGTATATACTGGTTGAATGAGTAAATGAATACCTTTCAAAAAATATTTTCTAAGCATCCATTCCCAGCTCCTTCAGCAAATAGTCATGGGCCATGGTCTCTGACACTCTGACATGGAAAAACTGAACACCGTAATCTACTAGAGCCTACCAAAGCAAAGGTTAATGTGCTTCTCGCTTTGGGCACCTGCCCTCTCGTTAGAATTTCAAATTAGTTGGCTCTTTTAAATGTTGCTCACCAATCCAATCTTTTGCACACATCTACTATGAAACCCATTCTCTATGCAGTCGCTATTTTATTCTTGGATTTTAAAAAGTTAATTTTCTTTTATTAAAGCAAATCTTTTTATTTTCATGTAAATGTAGACTTTCTTTTATCCCATTGATTTCCAAGTGAATGTAGAAACAGAATGTCACAATATCATTTGTTGACTGCCAGTTTTTAATACAATGTATCTTAAGCTCAATTTTTAAGCTCATGTCAATAATTGAACTGGTGGCTAGTTTTCAAAGCCATCGTAAGAATTGGGGAAAGGGGAATCTTGACTATCCCTCAGAAGATTCCTTTGGGATATGTTAATGTCAACAGTGAATTCCATTAGGCTCATCTGCTATCAGTCCAATTAAAGATATTTATTATTGTTGTTCTTCTGAAAAGAATATAAGCATCTAGCAGGTAGCCCTTTAAATACAAAATGAAATTTGTTTTCAGAAAATTCTGCCTCAAGGACTCCTCAGTCTCACCCTTACCTTCAGCCCCACTTCACCTTTTCTAAGTCTTGTCTCTTCAGTGGAGTCAGGTATACGGAGAACCAAAATGGGACTGCACTAGTTCTCCTGAGATCTGAATCAAGCCCCTAATGTCCCTTTCTTATAGCTTCAAGTCCAGCTTTTAGATTTCAGACCTACAGAAACATGAATTAATTTTATCATTATTTCTGCATTAAACATTTTTAAATTTTTATTTAAAAATATAACTTTCTCCCATTGTTAAAAATGTTTCAAAATCAATATGCTTCATTCTGTGACATTAATGATATAATAAAATGTCTCTGTCTGATATATATACATAACAAATGTTTCCAATGTTCATATTCATATTTGCCTCTCAGCTACTTGTCTTTCTTCATATGAATAATGGTTGAGTCCTAACTTTGGATTTAACGATTCATCCCCAAAAAGGTATTGCACAGCACTAATTTTTTTTTTTTTTTTTTTTTTTTTTTGGGAGACAGGGTCTCGCTCTGTTGCCCAAGCTGGAGTGCAATGGCGGGATCTCGGCTCACTAAAGCCTCTGCCTCCCGGGCTCAAGCGATTCTCCTGCCTCAGCCTCCTGAGTATTTGGGATTACAAGCGTGCACCACCACACCCGGCTAATTTTTTGTATTTTCTGTAGAGACGGGGTTTCGCCCTGTTGGCCAAGCTGGTCTTGAATTCTTGACCTCAGGTGATCCACCCACCTCAGCCTCCCAAAGTGCTAGGATTATAAGCATGAGCCACCCCGCCCAGCCGAAATACATTTCAACAGCTTGCTTTCCTTACTTCCAGTTTTTAACCAAAATCACTTTTTAAAAGTACTTTCCAAGTTATTGTCTAGGGTTAATATATAGATAACCTGTGCTCCCATAATTGTTGTTTAAAGTAGGCTTATGTTTTAAAACATATTTTGTATGGTAGGTGTTTGTCACACGATTCGGATCTATCACGGTCCATACAAAAATCCACACAGCATTCATTACATAACACAATGTACTTTTTGGCAAGTCTGTCTGCATTATTTGACCACTGGGTGGCAGCATTAGGCTCCATATGAAAGGACCAAGCATTCATTTTCCAGGTCTTTTGTTCATTTTTCTTTCCTCTTCCCCTCATCACATCATCTCATCATATATTCTGTGGTTGATTCCCTGGAACAGGCAGTCAGCCTCCTGGCAGGGGAGATCCCTGGAATCAGGGTAACACAAGAACACACCGTGCAAGTAGATAACACTGCTGTGCTGCATGCTGGACAACTGCCACATATGGCAAGTGTTAAATGAAAAACAAAAATCAGGCCGGGCGCGGTGGCACATGCCTATAATCCTAGCACTTTGGAAGACCAAGGCAGGCAGATCACTTGAGGTCAGGAGTTCAAGACCAGCCTGGTCAATGTGGTGAAACCCTGTCTCTACTAAATATACAAAAATTAGCTGGGCATGGTGGTGGGTGCTTGTAATTCGAGCTACTCGGGACGCTGAGGCAGGAGAATCACTTGAACCCAGGAGGTGGAGGTTGCAGTGAGCTGAGATTGCATCACTGCCCTCCAGCCTGGATGACAGAGCAAGACGCTGTCTCAAAAAAAAAAAAAAAAAAAAAATCACAACTTACACAGTCATATCAAACAGCTGAAAAACCTCTTACATTTTTCTTTACATTATTGGGACTATGTCAAACTGGAAAGGTGCTTAAGATATATTTTTACCTATTTTAATTAAAAGGGGAAGGGTGAAATGTTTTGTCTTTGACTGATTATAATTAGATGTTAGATTTAGGTGTTTAATAGACATTTAATAAATGGGCTCAAAAGCTTCTCTTTTAAGGTAGACTTCTCCCAACCATTTGACATAGAAGGACCTCAGAATCTGAAATTTCAAACTCAATTTGTACATTCATATTGACAGGATTACATAGCTGACTATAATGCTATTAATAACTGCTAGAGTGTATACTACAAATTTTTAAATAATTTATTTCTGATTTAAGTTTTCCCAATCATAGTTCAAATATTCAAGACATGCAGTTTTTGAGAAAATTCACAGCTCAATGGCAATTCTAATTAATTATTACAACTGACTAGAGAAATGGAAGGGGTAGTCCATTTAAAACTGATTTCTAATTAGACCTAGATCTTGAAAAACTGATCTGATCTGTTTGCTCATAACTAACTACTTTTAGGATCTCTAAAACACTAAATGAAAATGCTATTCTCTGTTTAGTACAGTTGAAGCTTAATTTCTAAAGAGTCCAAAATTTGTTGATTCACAAGGTTCACCAACTTACGAACAACTATCACCACAATTGAATTCTAGAGTATTTTTATCACTCTCCCCTCCCCAAAAAAATCCTGTTAATCATACTCCCCAACTCCTCCTTCCTCCAGCCCCCAATAACCACTATCTACTTACATTCTCTATGGATTTGCCTATTCTGGATATTTCATATAAATGGAATATCATATGTGGACTTTTTGTCTGGCTTATTTCATTTAGCATAATGTTCACAAGGTTCACCAATGTTGTAGCATGGATCAGTACTCCATTCCTTTCTAGTGAATAATATTCCATCACGTGGATATTACCACATTTTGTTTATTCATTCATCACTAGATGGACATTTGGGTTGTTTTCCTTTTTGGCTATTATGAATAATGCTGCTGTGCCAATGCATGTACACATTTGTGTACAGACACAAGTTTTCAATTCTCTTGGATACACCTAGGAGTCAAATCCTGGGGCCATCTGGTAATTCTATGTTTAACATTTGATGAACTGCCACACTCTTCCAAAGCAGCTGCACCCTTTTACATCCCACCAACCCCCAGCACTGTATGAGGATTCCCATTTCTCCACATCCTTGCCTACATTGCTATGGTTCATTTTTCTTCATTCTCTTTTCTTTCAGTTTCTCAGACTGGATAATTTCAATTGACCTACATTCTAAGTTTGTTGATTCTTCTGCCTGCACAAATCTACTGCTGTGCTGTAGTAAATTTTTCATTTGTTATCATACTTTCCAAATCAAGAATTTATATTTGATTTTTAAAAATAATTTCTCTCTCTTTATTGATATTCTCTAAGTGATGAGATGTTGTTCTCGTACTTTGTTTGTTTTTGAGACGGAGTCTCGCTCTGTCACCTGGGCTGGAGTGCAGTGGCGCAATCTTGGCTCACTGCAAGCTCTGCCTCCCGGGTTCACGCCATTCTCCTGCCTCAGCCTCCCGAGTAGCTGGGACTACAGGCGCCCACCACCACACCCAGCTAATTTTTTGTATTTTTAGTAGAGACGGGGTCTCACTGTTGTTAGCCAGGATGGTCTCGATCTCCTGACCTCGTGATCCGCCCGCCATGGCCTCCCAAAGTGCTGCGATTACAGGCGTGAGCCACCGCGCCTGGCCTCTCATACTTTTTAAAAGTTCCTGAGACATGGCTCCCTTTAATTCAAATCGTTGTCTAGTAAGTCCAGTGTTTACACTTCCTTATGGGCAGTTTCTATTAATTACTTTCCCTTTGTGTATGGGCCATACTTTGTCGTAAAATCTTTGTGCGTTCCTGTGTCCAGGATGGTATTGCCTAGGTTGTCTTCCAGGGTTTTTATAATTTTGTGTTTTACATTTAAGTCTTTAATCCATCTTGAGTTGATTTTTGTATATGGTGTAAGGAAGAGGTCTGGCTTTAATCTTCTGCATATGGCTAGCCAGTTATCCCCGCACCTTTTATCGAATAGGGAGTCTTTACCCCATTGCTTTTGTCAACTTTGTCGAAGACCAGATGGTTGCAGATGTCCAGCCTTATTTCTGGGCTCTCTATTCTGTTCCATTGGTCTATGTGCCTGTTCCAACAGAGTTTCAACAAGGTGTGAATACATATTTCTACTGCTTCTATTCAACATTTTACTGGCGGTTTTAGTGCAATATGGTTCCTTGGACATAGGAACGGGCAAAGATTTCATGACAAGACACCACAAGCAATTGCAGGAAGAACAAAAATTGACAAGTGGAATCTAATTAAGAGCCTCTGCAAGCAAAAGAAACTATCAACAGAGTAAACAGACAATCTACAGAATGGGAGAAAATTTTTGCAAACTATGCATCTGACAAAGGGCTAATATCCAGCACTTACAAGGAACTTAAATTTACAAGAAAAAAACAACCCCATTAAAGTGGGCAAAGGACATGAACAGACACTTCTCAAAAGAAGACATACTATGTGGCCAACAAGTATATGAAAAAAAGCTCAATATCACTGAATATTAGAGAAATGCAAATCAAAACCACAATGAGATACCATCTCACACCAATCAGAATTGGCCGTTATTAAAATGTCAAAAAATAGCAGATGCTGGCGAGGTTGTGGAGAAAAGGGAACACTAATACATTGTTGGTGGGAGTGTAAATTAGTTCAACCATTGCGGCAAGTAGTGTAGCAATACCTCAAAGAGCTAAAAACAGAATTACCATTAGACCTAGCAATCCCATTACTGGGTATATACCCAGAGGAATATAAATTATTCTATCATAAATACACATGCACACAAATGTTCACTGCAGCACTATCCACAATAGCAAAGACATAGAATCAACCTAAATGCCCATCAATGACAGACTGGATATGTGGTACATATACACTATGGAACACTATGCAGCCATAAAAAAGAACGAGCTCATGTCTTTTGTGGGAACATGGATAGAGCTGGAAGCTTTTATCCTTAGGAAACTAATGCAGGAACAGAAAACCAAATACCGCGTGTTCTCACTTGTAAGTGGGAGCTAAATGACAAGAACTTATGAACACACAGAATGAAACAATGGACTCTGCTGTCTACATGAGGGTGGAGGGTGGGAGGAGGGAGAGCAGCAGAAAAGATAACTATTGGGTACTGCACTTAATACCTCGGTGATGAAATAATATGTACAAAAAAACCCTGTGACATGTGTTTACTTATGTAATAAACATTCACGTGTACCCCCAAACCTAAAATTAAAAATTTTTAAATATTAAAAAAGAAAATATGTTATAAATGGAGCATGCAGTCTATTTTCATTTGATATAATTATTACTACTGTTCAATTTAGGTTTACCATTCGGATATTTGTTTTTTATTAGACCTAGTTGTTTTTGTTTTTCCTGGCATATTTTGGCTTAATCACATGTTTTCATAATTTCATTGTAATTAAACTATTCATATTTTAGCTATATCTCTTTGTATAATTTTTTAATGGTTGCTGTATGGATTACAATATGCGTTCCACAACTTATCACAACCTACTTAGAGTTACTTTTGATGTACTTCATGTAAAATATTATAACCCCAAAACCATAATTTCATTTACCTTATTGTCCTTTACACTATTGCTATCAAATATACTATATCTATATACATTATAAACCCTATATGTTACAATTTTTGCTTTTAAATAAACTAAGAGAAAATATATAGTCTTTTTTAGTCACCTGCATGTTTACTGTTGCCTTAACACAGTGGTTCTCAATGGTGTGTGTGTTGGTGGGGGCAATCTAGGGGTTAGAGGACAAGGATGTTGCCAAATCTCCGACAATCAAAGAATAGCCCTTCCCACTTAAGAGAGAATTATTCAGCCCCAAACGTTAATAGTACCAAGATTGAGAAACCTGTCTCAAGACAACGTGCATTGTTTTTATCTGGTTGCTCTCAAGATTATCTCTTTACAACTATAGTTTTCAGCATACTAATTATAATGTGCCTAGGTAAAAATTTCCTTTTATTTATCCTGCTTTGCAGGAGGGCCTCTGAGCCTGTTAGATCTGTAAGTTTTTTGAAGCAAATTTGGAAAATGTTTGACCATTATTTTTTCAAACAATATGTGCCCCCATTATCTTTCTCTTCTTCTCCCAGGACTCCATTTACATGCATTTTAGACTGCTTGATATTTTCCCTCAGGTCCCTGAGGATATGTTCATTGTGCTTTTAAAAATCTCTTTTCTTTGTGTTCCTCAGATTGAGTTGTCTTCATGTTAACCGAACCTTTTTTTTTCTGGCCTCTCCAATCTTCTGCTATGCCCATCTAGTGTATTTATTTCAGATACTATAGTTTTCAGTTCCAAAATTTTTATTTCTTAGTTTATATCTCTTGGCAGAGATTCCATACCTGTTCATTATTACTTTATTTTCTTTTAAGTTCCTAAACATATTTATAATAGCTGTTTTATGGTTATTGTCTATAAGACCAACATCTGGGTCACCTTGGGGTCGTTTCCACTTTTTCTCTTAATTGTGGGTCACATTTTCTTGCTTCTTCAACTATCTAGTAATTTTGTTCTACTGGACATATTGATTACTATAATATATTGTAGAGCCTACAGATTCTATTATCTTCCTCTGATGAGTGTTGATTTTTGTTCTAGAAGGAGTTAACTTTGCTGAACTCAAATTCCAAACTCTGTCTCCTCTGTGCTGGAGAGGAGTTGAATCTCTTCTCAGTTCTTTCAGCCTTTCAGCTGTTTTCTACCAGGTCCCTTGGAGTTTTCCTCAGACAAACACAGTTTAGGGGCCAGCCAACAGTATTTGGGTTAAGTTTACACATAGATTTTGAGACTCCTTCCTATGCAACCCCCTCTTTTCCACGATGTCCCCCCTTCACTTAACAGCCTTGCTAACAGTCCTGAACTCTGTCTTCTGACTCCTCAAGCTAGTGAGACTGCAGCTTTCTCCATCTAGGGAGTGGTATTAGGCAAAAAGCTACAGAAACACAAATACCATACAGTGATGTTTTCCTGTTTCAAGGAATAATTCTCCCGTTTCTGCCTGCTTTTGGTCATTCATTCTCTAGTGCTTTCAAGTAGTTGGTTTTCATTCATATTTAGTCCAGTTTTGTTTTGTTGTTCTTTTGAGACGGAGTCTCACTCTGTCGCCCAGGCTGGAGTGCAGTGGCGCAATCTCGGCTCACTGCAACCTCCGCCTCCTGGGTTCACGCCATTCTCCTGCCTCAGCCTCCCAAGTAGCTGGGACTACAGGCGCCCACCACCACGCCCGGCTAATTTTTTGTATTTTTAGTGGAGATGGGGTTTCACCATGTTAGCCAGGATGGTCTCGATCTCCTGACCTTGTGATCCGCCCATCTTTGCTTCCCAAAGTGCTGGGATTACAGGTGTGAGCCACCGCGCCCAGCCTAGTCCAGTTTTAATAATGGTTATCTGTAGGGAGATAGTATGATACAAGCAACAACATCAATAATGGAAATGCCAATTAGGTTTTTAAATCTGATAGTTTTATTGGAGATAAAGATTATTTTGTCCCTCTATGCCTTGACATATTCATCTCTCCTAATCCATAAGCAGAGCAGCCTACACAGTTTCTCTGAGATATTACTTCCATGCCTGAAGAAACTTCTCAATGGTATAAATAATGTGGCCTTTGAAATCAAGAAATCACTTACCAATTGTATGAACTTGGAGAGATTATTTATCCCTTCTCCATTTGTATAATGAAGGTGATCATTTAAATCTCACAAGGTTTTTTTTTTATTATACTTTAAGTTCTAGGGTACATGTGCACAACGTGCAGGTTTGTTACATAGGTATACATGTGCCATGTTGGTGTGCTGCACCCATTAGCTCGTCATTTACATTAGGTATATCTCCTAATGCTATCCCTGCCCCTCCCCCCACCCCACGACAGGCCCCAGTGTGTGACGTTCCCCTTCCTGTTTCCAAGTGTTCTCATTGTTCAATTCTCACCTCTGAGTCAGAACATGTGGTGTTTGGTTTTCTGTCCTTGTGATAGTTTGCTCAGAATGATGGTTTCCAGCTTCGTCCATGTCCCTATAAAGGACATGAGCTCATCCTTT
This sequence comes from Homo sapiens, assembly GCF_000001405.40. Taxonomy (NCBI): domain Eukaryota; kingdom Metazoa; phylum Chordata; class Mammalia; order Primates; family Hominidae; genus Homo; species Homo sapiens. The sequence goes on along the minus strand of NC_000001.11, from coordinate 64,817,577 downwards.
TTTATGGCTGCATAGTATTCCATGGTGCATATGTGCTGCATTTTCTTAATCCAGTCCATCACTGATGGACGTTTGGGTTGGTTCCAAGTCTTTGCTATTGTGAATAGTGCCTCTATAAACATACGTGTGCATGTGTCTTCATAGCAGCATGATTTATAATTCTTTGGGTATATACCCAGTAATGGGATGGCTGGGTCAAATGATATTTCTAGTTCTAGATCCTTGAGGAATCGCCACACCAACTTCACAACGGTTGAACTAGTTTACAGTCCCACCAACACTGTAAAAGTGTTCCTATTTCACCACATCCTCTCCAGCACCTGTTGTTTCCTGACTTTTTAATGATTGCCATTCTAACTGGTGTGAGATGGTATCTCATTGTGGTTTTGATTTGCATTTCTCTGATGGCCAGTGATGATGAGCATTTTTTCATGTGTCTGTTGGCTGCAGAAATGTCTTCTTTTGAGAAGTGTCTGTTCATATCTTTTGCCCACTTTTTGATGGGGTTGTTTGTTTTCTGCTGGTAAATTTGTTTGAGTTCTTTGTAGATTCTGGGTATTAGCCCTTTGTCAGATGAGTAGATTGCAAAAATTTTCTCCCTTCTGTAGGTTGCCTGTTCACTCTGATGGTAGTTTCTTTTGCTGTGCAGAAGCTCTTTAGTTTAATTAGATCCCATTTGTCAATTTTGGCTTTTGTTGCCATTGGTTTTGGTGTTTTAGACATGAAGTCCTTGCCCATGCCTATGTGCTGAATGGTATTGCCTAGGTTTTCTTCTAAGGTTTTTATGGTTTTAGGTCTAACATCTAAGTCTTTAATCCATCTTGAATTGATTTTTGTATAAGGTGTAAGGAAGGGATCCAGTTTCAGCTTTCTACATATGGCTAGCCAGTTTACTAAATCTCACAGGGTTTTTAGAAATAGTAATCACTTATGTCACAAAGCATATAGCAAGTGTTAAAAAGAAAACAAACACTTTTGGTTCCTTTCCCTTAGACCTCTTCCTTCATCCCAGCAGTGGAAATAGTAAAAGGAATTCCTAATACACGACCACCTTTTTCTATAATGGTTATTTTAGTATTCCATTAGTTTAATTCCATGTACTTTAATGTTCCATTAGTAACATTTAATTAAGTTTATAAGGAAGAAAGAACACGAGAGAGAGAACAAATCCCATTTTATGAACAAGCGTGCGCTAGAAGCAGGGACTGTCAAAGGAGACACTGAACAGTGCAGGGAGGATTCATTTCCCCACCATATCTCTGGGCAAGCAAGTGTGGAGGCAGAAGACATACAGTAATGCAAAAGGCATCATTATCACAGAATTTCTCCATGTGTGAATGAGAAAGTCTTTCCATGGATATAAGTATACAATAAATCACAGTAATCTAATAAGCAAAACTGCTAAGAAAAAGGCAAATTTAAAAAGAAATAAAAGTTCAAAAAATTTTTAAAGCTTAAATATGTATTTAATGAATTTTTAAAAAATTTATTGTGCTTCTCCTGTTTATAAAAAGTTTGTTTCTTGAAAAGAAACAAATTGGAATTGTACAGGACTATATCTTGTAAATTTTACAATTAATGTCTTTATCTAAGTCATTACTTCAAATGTTATCTAATAAAGGACTGAAGATGACTCTTATGAATCAATATAAGAGAATGCCTTCAGACTGCAGCAATTTGTGATCACTGTTCTCTAAATATAGATATACTGTCACCTAATTACATCATCTACCCAACCCATATTTTTCCGTCTTGTCCCAGGTATATAAGAGATGGCAAATATTTCACTAATATCCAGCTGCACCATTTTTACAGAACTTGGGCTGTTTCTAGTACTCTTATAATCAGGCGTCAATTGTTCTAAGTGGTTTTCTTTTCTAAGTTTATTAGGGATGGGTCAGGCAAACACAAAGCTGCTCCAGGGAAATCAAAGTGGAGACAAGACTCCAACGAACAGGATAGATCTGAGAAGAAGCTGGCTGTTCTAGGAAAGTAAGAGTCAGAACTGATAATTATAAGACTCTTGTGGACTCTTATGATTCCATAATCACACAGGGCTAACATGATATATATTCAGCTTACACCACTAAGAGTAAGCTGAAGAAGGGCCAAAGCAAAACTGAAATATTTAAGTAATGACACAGGACATCTTATGAACATAATATTTTTATGTTATTGATTGGCTGGTTTAGAAGTTAGCACAGTAGTGTCTGTAAATATGATCATCTTTCTCCATCTACAATCAGTGGAGAAGAACAGAGGCATTCCCTTGGGTTTCTTAGGTCTACACTAGTGCAAACCAGAGGTTAGCAGCATTTTTCTATAAAGAACCAGATAGTAAATATTTAATCTTGCAGGCCACATAGTCTCTACTGTCATCACTCAACTCTTTTATTATAGCATGACAGCACCATAGACAATATGTTAATGAATGGACATGGCTGTATTACAATACAAATTTATTTACAAAACCAGGTGGTGGGCTAGATTTGTTCTATGGGCTGTAGTTTGCCAACCACTAGGTAAACAGTGAGAGGTAAATATCTAGTGCAAAATGATACTAAATAATGTCTTGAACACATTCCCAAATTTCAAATGATGAGTAAGAAATACATAGATCAGTGCAATTTGATTTGCCTACGTTAATAATATAGAAATCACAATTTCATATTCAGTGAACTCAATATATAGTTGAACCAATTTTTCTGAGTATCATCAGAACCTGGGAATTATTTACCTGTGCATAATCACCAAAAGGTGGAGAATAAGCAATGCACTTTTCCAATGCGTGTTGTGATTCACTTCCCTGAGAGATTGCATCCAGAATGCTGCTTGCAATTCCAGTCTTATGAAGAGTGGTTTTACTTGCAGGGGCTAAAGGCAGAATCAACAAGTTTATTTTATTTAGGTTATTTTATTATAAATTTATTTTATTTAGGTTATTTTAAATAAATTATTTTATTATAAGTTATATTATAAACAAATTATATTTTATTATAAATTGTAACTCAGCACATTATCAAATAGAACAAAATTTTAGTTTGCCAATATATAACTAAATAATTTTCCCCTGAGAAGTATATAATACTGTCTTATTCATTTGGAACAACTTAAAATGGACACCTGTCTCATGGGTAAATAATTTTGGTGGAAAGGTTCAAAAACATATATGTCTGGCTGAGCACGGTTGCTCATGCCTGTAATTCCAGCACTTTGAGAGGCCAAGGTGGGAGGATCACTTGAGCCCAGGAGTTCGAGATTGGCTTAGGTGACATGGTGAAACCCCATCTCTATAAAAATACTAAAAATATAAAAATTTGCCAGGAATGGTGGTGCATGACTGTAATCCCAGCTACTTGGGAGGCTGAGACATAAGAATTGCTTGAACCCAGGAAGTGGAGGTTGCAGTGAGCCGAGATGATGCCACTGCACTCCAGACTGGGTGACAGAGCAAGACTCTGTCTCACAAACACACACACACACAAAATTAGCTGGGCATGGTGGCACATGCCTGTAGTCCCACCTACTCGGGAGGCTGAGTTAGGAGGATCACTTGAGCCCAGGAGGTGTAGGCTGCAGTAGCCAAGATCACACCACAGCACTCCAGCCTGGGTGACAGAGGGAGACCTTGTCTCAAAAAAGCAAAACCCTAAAACTTAAAGTATAATAAAAAAATAAATAAATAAATAACCCAAAACAAAACGTGTGTGTGTGTGTGTGTGTGTGTGTGTGTGTGTGTGTGTGTGTGTCTAGTCTCTAAAACAAGGCATATAAAATGTAAACTAACCATTCTTATAAATGTAATAATTGTCACCATCAATTTTTAGACCAGATCAATATATAACAGGTATACTAGAAGTGCCTTTACATTTTTTTCCAGCTCAAAAAAAATTACAAATTAATGTTTGGATTCAAGGATATTTCATAAAATACAGAGGATGTATATTAAAAATGAAATTCATCTTTCATCTCTTTTCATTTAATCCTATTCTTCTTCCCAGAGGTAATAGTTTAGAATTTACTTTTTTGGATTTACTTCATGCATTTGCACTCTCAAGTATATACATGTAAGGATATATAACTTTAAATAAACATAAATGGAATCATTTTATGCATATATTTGCCAAAATATGCTTTAGAGTTCATCTCATATCAGTATATGTAGATATCCCTCAATTATTAAAAAAAAAGTTGCACAGTATTCAATTTTATGATGAACTATTTAAGCATTCCCCTATTGACAAATATTAAGTATTTTCCAGTTTTCCCACTATTTACAACCAATGTTGCAGTGAACATCCTTGTGCCTGGAGCACATCACATTTGTGATTTTCTCTTAAAACGATATTTGAATGAATAGTTGATTTATAGTAATTGAAGGCTTGAGGGTTTCCTCCAAAATGTAAATGAGAATTCCACTTCCACCAATTATTGGTAGCTCATACATTCTGGGAGTATTCAAATACTCAAGATATATAAGATTACTTATAGGTTTAAACTTCTGGTTAAGAAAAATGACTCTCTATGAGTTGTAATGTTTTCCTTAAATAAAATAGCACGCATTTTGAGTGTCTTAGTTTTAATTATTCTTTCAATTTAAAGAATAATTTAGGCCTTAATTTGGTCAATAGGTATTATTTGCTTCCATGAAGTCAAAAATTAAAGTAAAACTTATTATGAAAAGTATTCAGTAAAACTCCACAACAAGAATACTGAGCCCCTACTTACATGATAAGCACACACTGGGCAACACACTTGCCAAATTCAAGTATGGATTTTTACTGAGCCGAATTTCTTTTGGTGGTTCTCCCAAGAGTGAAGTTTGATTCTTAGAGGCAGCCTATTTAACAAAAACAAAGGAGGGAGTACTTAATGAGAGGTACACGAAAATAAAAATAAAGAATAGAGAAATACTTATTTTTCAATACATCTAGTGTACTTATGAAATATTTATGGATGTTCACTAAAATTATCACATTTCACCTGTTATTAGTTGTTCAATTAGGTTTTTAAAAAACTATTGTAGAGCCATAGAACTTTAGAACTAAAAGAGAATGAAAGGACATCTTATACAACCTTCTCATTTGAACCAGGAAAGAATTCATCTTCACAAGAAAAACCAAATTCCATATCTCTTTTCCAGAAACACTGTTATCTATCTGTCTGTCTGTCTGTCTATCTATCTATCTACCTATTTTTTTTTTTTTTTTTTTTTGGAGATGGAATCTCACTCTATTGCCCAGGCTGGAGTGCAATGGTGCAATCTCAGCTCACTGAAACCTCCGCCTCCCAGGTTCAAGCGATTCTCCTGCTTCCGCCTCCTGAGTAGCTGGGATTACAGGCCCGCACCTCCATGCCTGGCTAATTTTTTTATATTTTTAGTAGAGATGGGGCTTCACCATGTTGGCCAGGCTGATCTTGAACTCCTGACCTTCGTGATGCCCCCGCCTTGGCCAAAGTGTTGGCTCAACACCAAAGTGTTGAGATTACAGGCGTGACCCACCGCGCCTGGCCTGTTATCAATATTTTTACTGAGATTTTTATATTTTATGACCAAATAACAAAAGCAAAGCTTATTTACCTCTGGTACTAAAAATAATGTCAAACAAAATAAATGAGTTTAATAAACTCCAACTCCACATTTAGATGATGCTAGAAATACACATTTCTTGAAAATGTATATCAGTATATTTTTATGTATTAGTTAGGTGTAAGGATTCTAGCACAGTTGACCCTTGAAACAACATGGGGGTTAGGGGTGCCAACCCCCTACACAGTGGAAAATCTATGTATAACCCTTGTCTACCCAAAAACTTAACTACTAATAGCCTACTGTTAACTAGAAGCCTTACCAACAGCCAACAATTAACACATATGTTGTATGTTACATGTATTATATACTGTATTTTTACAATAAAGTGGAGAAAAGAAAATATTAAGAAAACCATAAGGAAAACACATTTACAGTACTGTAGTATTTATCAATACCATAAATTACATCATTTGTTTACAATATGGATCTGTCTGAAATGGTGGACAACAGCAGCTACAAACCTCAATCTGTGGTACACATCAAGCAATTCGAATTTTTCTTACAATGTCATGACATTGTTTCTTGAGAGCACTTCTAGTATCGCTAGTGGCATTTTTATGGATTGTAGGATGTTATTCAAGGTTTATGGTATTGCACTAAACATGATGAAAAATATGCAAGCATGACGAGACATCACTTTTTACTGCAATAAGCAATTTACTGGAGAGATGAATGGCTCACATGGAGATGATTAGCAACATACAGCATTTTAAGTGGATCCTCTCAACACTTGAGCTCACCGCAATAGCAACAGGAAGTAGCTACAAAATTATCACAGTAGTACGGTACACACTACAGTTAATTTTATGCAGTTATGATTTAATACTGCATCTTTATTTTGGTTTACGTTTCTTTTGACTGTGAATGGTGCCATGTACGGTCTGTAAGTATGTATGTTAGTTTTGCTAAATTTTAACTTTTTAATAATAGGTTTGTATACATGTTATGGTAGTAAATTACAAACTAGACTAATATCTACATATATTTTATGCATTCATGACATATATAACTTTTTCTTAATTTTTTCAATATTTCTAGGCTATGGGGTTCATTTGTGAGTTTTTTCAAACTTTTTCAAATTTCCAAAAAATTTCCCACTATATTTCTTGGAAAATATCCAAGTATAAGTGGACCTGTGCAGTTAAAACCCGTGTTGTTCTAGGGTCAACTGTATGTAGAAAACTCCTAAAAACTGAGCAATGACAACAAAAATGAACCTGATTTAAAATGGGCAGAAACTTTAATAGACATTTCTCCAAAGAAAATATACAGATGACCAGTAAGCACACACAAAAATGCTCAACATCACTAATCATTAGGGAAATGCAAATCAAAACCACAATGAGACACCACTTCACACCCATTGGGATGGCTATCACTACGAACTGAATGTTTAAGTCTCCCCAGAATTCATATGTTGAAATGCTAAGCCTCAATATGATGGTCTTAGAAGGTGGGGCCTTTGGGAGGTAATGAGGTCATTAAAGTAGAGCCCTCAAGAGTGGGATTAGTGCTCTTATAAGAAGAGACATGAAAGGTCTTGCTCCAGCCTTTTACCATGTGAAAATGGAATGGAAAGATGGTCATCTGTAAAGCAGGAACAGTATCCTCATCACACACTGGATTTGCTGGCACCTTGCACCTTCTCTTAGAATTCCCAGCCTCTCAAACTGTGAGAAATAAATGTTTGTTGTTTAAACCACCCAGTCTATGGTATTTTTGTTACAGACAGCTAAAACAGAAAACAAGCGTTGGCAAGGATGTTGGAAAATTAGAATCCCTGTGCACTGCTAGCAGGAATGTAAAATGGTGCAGCTGCTGTGGAAAAAAGGATGACAGTTCCAACAAAAATTAAACATGCATTATGGTATGATCCAGCAATTCCATTTCTGGGTACATACCCCAAAGAATTGAAAGCAGGGACTCAGATACCAATGTTCACAGCAGCATTATTTACAATAAACAAAAGGTAGAAACAACCCACATGTCCATGGATGGCTGAATTAAAACATGGTATATACGTACAATGGAATATTATTCGGCCTTAGAAAAGAAGGAAATTTGGATACATGCTACAACATGGATGAATCTAGAAAACATTATGCTAAGTGAACTAAGCTACACACAGAAGGACAAATATTGTGTCACCTAGGTACCTAGAATAGTCAAATTCATAAAGACAAAAGTAGAAACGGTGGTTACCTGGGCTAGTGGGAGAAGAAAATGGAGAGTTATTATTTAACAGGTACAGGTTTCAGTATGAGATGATGAAAAAGTTTTGGAGATGGAGAGTAATGATGCTGCACAACAATGTGAATGTACTTAATGCCACATCACTTAAAATGGTTAAAATGGTAAATTGTATGTTATGTATATTTTACCACAATAAACAGAAACTGGTTATCATCCCTGTCTCCCTGAATAAAATTCTCAAAGGTTGGAGTTGGGGTCCAAATCTCTTTTATTTATTTATTTATTTATTTATTTATTTATTTTTGCACTAGAGGTGATTCTGGAAACAAAAAGGTAGACTCAAGACTTACTGGCCAACACAATATTAAAGATGCAGGTCTAAACATCTGAAGCAAAGTTAAACCAATCATTTCAGCCAAGTCTAAAATCTCACAATTAGAAAACACTGAGGTTACCTGGTACAACCCCTACTGACAGAAAGAGGGATCATTTCTATTAATACAACATCCTTTACAGATGCTTGCCTGGGCTCTGCTTAATTGCTTTTGGTGATATGACATTCACATCTTTGTGAAATAAACTTTCTCTTTGCTTAAAAGCTTGAATTGTTCTTCCTTATATTAAACCTAAATCTGCTTTATTGTATGTTGTACTTAATAGCCAGTTCTGCCCACTGGAGGTACACACAATACTGTATGACTACTCTTTAAATAGCTTTAACAATGTATATGTTTGGTTGTCCCTTTCCAGGTTCCATATATCCATTTCTCCTGAATTCTTCTTCACAGGACTTATTTTCCAGAACCTGCCCCCATTTTGGCTGTCCTCTTGTAGATAGACTCATTTGCCCATTATGTGAATCACCTAAAATCCACAGTTCTTCTAAAGACTCTGAGGCTTTCAGTGAATTAAAGATTGCAAAGAGACATGAAGTATTCATATACAAGTTTTATTTGTGTAATTTCCCTCAATAACCCAAGCAATGAACACTGCAGATAAATTTTTAAAATTCATTCTATAAAGAATTGACGGCCAGGTGCAGTGGCTCACACCTGTAATACCAGCACATTGGGAAGCCGAGGCGGGAAGATCACCTGAGCTCAGGAGTTCGAGACCAGTCTGGCCAACATGGTGAAACCCCATCTCTACTAAAAATACAAAAATCAGCCAGGTATGGCGGTGTGTGCATGTAATCCCAGCTACTTGGAAGGCTGAGGCAGGGGAGCCACTTGAACCCAGGAGGCAGAGGTTGCAGTGAGCCGAGGTTGTGTCGCTGCATTCCAGCCTGGGCAACAGAGCAAGACTTGGTCTCAAAAAAAAAAAAAAAAAAAAAAAGGACTGCATTAGCTTTCTCAATATACAATTGCAGGGCATTCTAGTCATACCTCTTGCTATGGCTAGGTAACACTAAAACCTCTTACAAATTCAGTATTATTATTTTGACACTTGAATACAAGAAACTACATAGATTTTTTTTCCTTACAAACTGCTTAAGCCTAAGTTTTATACCACTTACAAACCACAGTGTATTTTAGGGTACAAATATAATAAAAATTAGATGTACTTTAGTCTACCTACTTATTACAACATTTATAAATATCAGTGGTATTTTAGCCAATAAAATGATTCGGTAAAATCTTCCAGAATTAAAAGAGAGACCAGATTAGTTTGAACAGACCAGAGTTTAATAGCTGGTTTTGATATTTTCCGGATAAAATTGGTTCTGCCTTTAAATATTAAAATACTTTAATTAGCTACCAAATATATATTTAAGATAGAAAAAAGTATATTTGAAAGAACAGCATTACTATGTACTTAGAAAGCCTTACAAATAACATTACTACGTAAGCGAATAAGCATTGATACTCCTAAGCTTTTTCAAACTACAAAATTCTGAACTTAAACTAGTTTATATCTTATATTTAAAATAGCAAGTATTTTTGAAAACCATGTATATCACAAACTTTTTGGAAATTCCTTATTCTCTTATAAGGAATAAAGAATCCACATTTAAATTATTTATAAGAGACGTAACTCATTTTACACAAATTAAAATTACTTTACTTACAAACTGGCAAATAATTAAGATAGTCCCAAATGCCAGCTAGCATAACTTATCAAAAAATGGATTTTTTGTTTGCTTTATTTATAACAGATTTTTTAAAAGAATGCAATGTTTTCTTCAATTTTGAAAAGTAAATGTAAACTATGAAAAAGTCATCATTTCATTGACACGACAATTTAAGACATAATTTAAAAGGAATATATATACATATACATGTATATATACATCTGTGTGCACCCACAGTTTTCTTACCCCTGAACTTATCTCTGTGCCTTTTGGCTGGCTTTGCTGCTGCTTATGGTGTCCCACCAGCAAGCTTCCAGCAGCAAGGTTTGGAAAGCTCTGAAGATAAGGCTGCGACCCTGAGAAATTTCCTTCTGCCATTCCCACCGTGGCTGGCTGTTTCTCCTGAGTATTACTGTGCCCTGGCCCAGCCTGTCCAGCAATGTGCTGATTTGGAAAGAATGGTAACATGCCCATTCCAGCTGTTATCGTTGTTTGAGTTGGAATCAGGCTAGATGCTGTAGCAAACCATAAATGCAAAAAGCTTTTAGTTAGAAAATATTTATTCACAATAGTCCTTTTAATTTTGTTAAGTTATGAGCAAAATGCAGAGAAACCAATTTTGTACCTGTTAGATAACAGCAAAAGGTAAGGTTAGAGGTTGTTAATTAGTGGGTTCCTTTATGAAAAAAACAAAAACCTACAATAGTAATAATGCTCTTATTTTCAGCAACTTTCAGGGTAACCTCAATGATAAGGAATTTTTAAGTTTTTAAATTCTATATATAATTGTTAATTATATATTGTTAAAGTTGAGGGCAAAGTTTATGTACTTTTTGGCATTTAAGCTGTATTAGTGCTTTTTTTTATGCCCAGTCATTGCAACTTGACTGTTTCCATAACTGAAGGAAATAATTAAGTTTTAAGTTTAAAAAGTTATCTGAAATTAAAATTTAATGAAGTTTGATTGACTCCAATAATAAATTTGGTTAGCTGGCTTCCATCAGCTCATGAGAGCTATTAATACACATCTCTTCCCAGCTATCAAGTTAAGTGTCTTCATATTGGTAACTTGAAATCAGTCACAGCTGGAGTATTCACAAACAGAAATGCACAAATGCTACAAATCAAGCCCTTTTTTTCAACCTAGAGAGCTGGTTGTTAAACACTTATCAGCATATCACTGGTTTCTTTTTTTAAATCAGTATTTGTTAATAGATAAGCACTAAATACATGAAAGTTTTATGTTTTTATTTACAGAAAATAACAAGAAATTCTGGAAGAAATAAAAGGGTTTTTTTGTTTGTTTTTTGAGTCAGGGTCTCATTCCCATCGCCAAGGCTGGAGTGCAGTGGCACAATCATGGCTCACTGCAGCCTCGACTTCCTGGGCTTAGGTGATTCTCCCACCCCAGCCTCCTGAGTAGCTGGGACCACAGGCGTGTGCCAGCATGCCTGGCTAATTTTTTGCATTTTAGTAAAGTCAGGGTTTTGTCATGTTGCCCAGGCTGGCAAATAAAAGTTTTAATAGGAAAATTCTGAACCGTTCCACTTTTTAAAAAATCTATAGGTCAAAATTAAATGGAAAAAGCTAATTTTGACAACTAAGTCAGATTTACCATTTTATAAATTTACTAAACAAATTTCTTCAATTATTTTTAGTAATAATCATTTAGAGATGGATACTTTGGTTCCCCTAACGTTTAGAATATAGTTATTTGGACACTGACTTTTCAGTGTTCTTAAAGCGGCATATACTAAAGCAAATAATTTATTAGTTAATCCAACACAAATAATACATATTTGCATAAGCTTTTAGACATAAAAAATTTAATTTTTTGGAAATACAGACCCCATGATATCACAAAATTTCTTCACTGGCTTAACTTTTGTCCAGTCAATTTCAACAGTCAGAACTAAGTTATTTGATCACTGGACAAAAGGTTAAGTAAGCTACGCATATTTAATTGACTTTTTTTTAAATTATTGGTGGCCCTTCTGTTTTTACTCAGCATGCTCACTTCTAAGCAAATTTCAATTAAGCTTCAAGCTGAAAATGCCCTTCAAAATCACATTCAAATAAGAAGTCTTAGTATAACACCATGCTTCTGTTTTCCTGCCAAAAAAGCTATTTTGTTTGCCATGTTTTTAGAAGCACATAGTACACACATTAGTTTTGACTACTGATTTAGAGGTTAAATTTTTTTAAATAATACAAATAAATAATCAAACTTTAAATTTATAAATACTAGATTTTAAAAAATAAAAGTGAATGGTTTCTTATCCCAGCAATAATTACATGGATCCATATGTGCTGTCAGCCCAGTGGGCAGCATGTCAGTCTCAAATGGATCTGTGTCTTTACCTTGTACTGCTGTGAACCTGCATAAAATATTAAAGCATATCCAATAGGGGAAGTCTTATCTTGGCATGGAAGCAAGTCCATCAGTAACTTACCAATATTGAAAATCGAAAAGCCAAGAGGGTTCTCAAAATTTTAAATGACTAAATAAAACTCAAATTTGACCTCCCTGTAAATAAAATTAGAACATAGGTAAACTATCTTTAAATCTCAAACCTGACTGTTTACTGACTTCTCAGTAAATACACATCATTTACTTTTATGTGCTTCTCCATGATGATGTCCCAACTCCTTTTTCAATGGAAGCACTGACCCTATCCCTAGTGCAGTCTGAAGTACCACAGCTGGGGGCTCTCCAAGTAAGCCGGGTTTCTACAAAAGAAGAAAAAAAGGTAAGACCCATGGCCATAAGATATAACCTAAAAAAAGCTACACACGTGAAAATTCATAAACAACCTGATCCACAGCCTGATTCTAGAAAAGAAATGAACTGATTTTAAAAGAAAAAATGATACCATACTTACATTATTAGTATGAATATTCTCAAACTTCATTAATTGTTGTTGTGCCAGTGGTATATGAGAAAGATTCTGAAGGAATAAATTAGAAGTATTACCCATAACTGAGCTCTGTGAAAATGACAAAACGTTGTCAGTTTAATTTTGAAAAGCTACATGTTGTATAACCCAATTCATTTTGAAGTTCAATTCTCCAGTCGATCTGAGTAAAAGTAACTGCTTCTAAACATATTTCACTCTCCAACTTATCAGACAAAGCTAATTAATTATTTTAATAATACACAAGAGGGGGCCATGCAGTCATGAAATAATTCTACATTATTTCATCCTTCGTTCCCTCCTCTCAACCCTTTTTGGTTTCAATGACAGTGACATTCTATTCATTCATTTATTTATTCATTTAATCATTCAACAAAGGTTTATTGAGCACTTTCTATGTTCTAGGCACTGTGCTACTTAGTGAGAAGTACAATAAGATCTGCCCTCATAGATCTTACAATCCCCTAAGGAAGGGAGCCATTAATTAATAAAAAAAACACAGGATTACACATGGTAATCACATGAAGGAAAAATACAGGGGGCTATAAGAACAAATAGTGGAGGAATGCTATTTAGCCTGGAAGATTCAAGGAAGGTTTCTTGGAGGAACTAATTATTGTACTGCAATCTGAAGGCTGTAGTTGAAGTCTGGGAGGGAATTAGGTGATGTTGGGGTGGGAAGCGTTCCAGGAAGAAGGACCAGCAGGAGAAAAGACCAAAGGAGGAAAAAACAAGGTCCTTTGAGGACCAAAACCAGGCTGTTGTAGTGGGACAGCGATCTGCAGTGAGTTGAGAGGCAGGAGGGGCCAGCTCAAATGTATGGGCCTTAAAGGTAATGCATTTTGGTGTTTCTCTTAAAACACAGGGAATATTATCAATACTCTGAACTTCCCCTCTCATATTACTCTCCACTCCTTATTGTAATTAACTGTTTAATGTGTTTTCCCTACTGGTTGAAATTCTATAATAACATAGACTTTAAATGTTACATTCCACACAGTAGCCTCAATGATTAGCACAATGTCTAATACATATATGTCAGATACTCAATAAAATACATTGAGTAAATGAATGAATAAAAACTCTATAATGTATCACCAAGTCCTGTGTTAGATTCTAAGGATGAAAAATAAAAGCTGGATTTAGGACCAGATATTCATTCATTCAACTTATATTAAAATTCGATTATATATTGTTTGATTTGTAATTAGAATTCTATGTTCTTAAACAGTACCTGAAATTAATGAGTAATGCTTATCTCTAATATTACAGACATTTAAATCTATAAACACACATTTAAAATATTTATCTAAAAAAGGTAGGAAACATACTCTATTCTCATATACATGAGTTATTTTTTATAATAGTCATTAAATTTTAAAAATTAAGTTACTGTTCATTTATATTTTCTTTCTAGAAATACTTTTTTGAGTTAAGACCACATAAGAAGCCGTGTCTTGAACAACTTATTTATTATCTAGAAAAAAATATACCACTTTCCTTCTTAATGCCATACAAATTGGAATCAATAATATTTATCATGGTACATAACTACTGCTTTGGCTAGCTTAATTGAATCTGATATACTCAATAAGTTATGATTTTACATACCTATACTTATTATTAAAGATTTTCTTTAAAAGCAAAATACTCATTTAATTTCTTGAGAACTTTAAGTGTTAAGAACAAACAAAATATTCACTCCGAATATTTAATGCTTCAGTACTCAATGTTATTTATGTACCTGATGTGCTTTATTCAAATGTAAAAATGCAGGAGAGATGGATGGATTCATCAGATGTGGCAAGCTGTGAGGTGTTCCAAGAACGGCTTTGAGAAAATAAAAGTAAAAACTTTAATTTATATATGGAATTAAAAATTTTTAAAAACCAAGCTTCGAAAAGGGTAAATGAATATTTCTTTAAACTATTAACAAATCCACTGAAAGTTCAATGATATAGTGACCTTGTCATTGGTCAAAAGTGATAGGTACCTTTCCCTGAGATTCAACCCTGGAATTTGCTTTAAAATTCAAAAGCCTTCTGCCATAATTGTAAAACTCCAAACCTAGGCTTAATTTTCTCTAGAATTTAGTGCAACAAAACACATCCACCTTTAATAAGCACAATACTCATTGAACCCATGTTATTTATTCAGTGTTTTTTTGGTATTTCAGGGATTTTGGCAGAGGGTAGGAGTAGGGGACAAGATACAATCCTTGTCCTTGAAAAGCTTACATAAAATCCAATTGAGAAGACAATATATGTACACAAAAATATTTACATAATAAAATCAAAAGAAACTGCAAAACTGTACACAGACATAAAAAGAATAAATGGTAACAATACTCATAATCGCGTCTAAGAGTCTAAATACCAGAGTACATTTCAAAAGGGATGTTTTTAGAATGGAAAACTTACAAAAGGGAGCAGGTGGGGGGTGTCAGAGATGTTTGAACCAGAGTGCCTCCATCTTGAATAGAAGTTAGGTAAAATAAGGCTGAGACCTGCTGAGCTGCATTCCCAGTAATTTAGGCATTCTAAGTCATAGGATGAGACAGGAGGTCAGCACAAGATACAGGTTATAAAGCCCTTGCTAATAAAACAAGGTGCAATAAAGAAGCCGGCTAAAACCTACCAAAACCAAGATGGTGACAAGAGTGATCTCTGGCCGTCCTCATTGCTACACTCCCACCAGTACCATGACAGTTTACAAATGCCACGGCAACGTGTGAAAGTTACCCTATATGGTCTAAAAAGGGCAGGAACCCTCAGTTCTGGGAATTGCCCACCATTTTCCTGGAAAATTCATGAATAATCCACCTCTTGTTTAGCACATAATCAAGATAATAAAGAAATAACCATAAAAATGGGCAACCAGTGGCCCATGCCACTGTTCTGCCTATGGAGCAGCCATTCTTTTTTGTTTGTTTGTTTTTGAGACAGAGTCACACTCTATTGCCCAGGCTGGAGTGCAATGGCACGATCTCAGCTCACTGCAACCTCCGGCCTCCTGGGTTCAAGAGATTCTCCTGCCTCAGCCTCCCAAGTAGCTGGGATTACAGGCGCTCACAACCATGCTCAGCTAATTTTTGTATTTTAGTAGAGATGGGGTTTCACCATGTTGGCCAGGCTGGTCTTGAACTCCTGACCTTGAGATCCACCTGCCTTGGCCTCCCAAAGTGCTAGGATTACAGGCGTGAGCCACCGCGCCCGGCCTGGAGCAGCCATTCTTTATTGCTTCCCTTTCTTAATAAACTTGCTCTGACTTTAAAAAAAAAAAAAAGGGAGGATGTTTTTAGAATAGATAATATAGAGACACAAAGAGGACCATGAGATAGAAAATATATTTAGAAATTTAATCTAATTATTGTAAAATAACTGGAATAATCATAATATACAAAATTAGGCTGGGTGCAGTGGCTCACGCCTGTAATCCCAGCACTTTGGAAGGCCAAGGTGGGCGGATTGTTTGAGGTCAGGAGTTCGAGACCAGCCTGGTCAACATGGTGAAACCCCATCTCTACCAAAAATACAAAAATTAGCCAGGCATGGTGGCACATGCCTGTAATCCCAGCTACTTGGGAGGCAGAGGCAGGAGAACTGCTTGAGGCTGGGAGGCGGAGGTTGCAGTGAGCTGAGATCACGCCATTACACTCCAGCCTGGCTGACAGAGTGAGACTCCATTTCAAAATAATAATAATAATATACAAAATTATATATATATATATAAAATATACAAACAGTGTCCAGAAAAGGTTCTGGCAACATCTTCTTGTAATATATATGTAGCAAAATAAAAAAACACTGTACTATGAAAGGTAAAATAAATAAATAAATGAAATAAATCCTCATTGTAACCAAATTTTTTAGTATCCATCTAAGTCTACATTGGGACCACCTCAGAAGACAAGAATGATCCAACTTCTTGGTTTCAGGAGTAGAATGATATCAGTGAGATAATCACAGGAAACTATTTAATTCAACAGTTTTCAATATTCTCTCTAGCAAAGGAGGAAGTGCCCAGAGTACACAGGATTGGAGGGAATGTTTAATTCTAGCATAATTTTAGGAAAGTTATGATAATGTGAGGATATATGGAAGATGACTCACTTAGAATTCTATTATCTACTTCAATGAGGAAAAAGGCATTTTTGAGTGGAAAACTGGTACACGGAAAAGAACTCCTCTGCAAGTGATAGGGAATTAAATGTAGAAAATTAGGGAAAATATTACTTGACTTAGACAAATAACTTCAGTACAGCCCCTTCAATAAATTATGCTGGGAAAACGGAATATTCATATGCAAAAGAATGAAGCCAGACCCTTATCTCTCACCATATATAAAAACCAACTCAAAATCTATTAAAAACTTAAATGTAAGACTAAAAATTGCACAACTACTGGAAGAAAACATGGGGGAAACACTTGAGGACACTGATCTGGGCAAAGATGTTATGGGTCACACTTCACAAGCACAGGCAACAAAATCAAAAATAGACAAATGGGATTTTATCAAACTAAACAGCTTCTGCACAATGAGGGAAACAATCAATAGGGTGAACACGTACAACTTGTAGAATGGGAGAAAATATCTGCAAATTATTCATGTGACACAGGATTAATATCCAGAATATACACAGAACTCTAGCAATTCAACAGCAAAAAAAAAAAACAAAAAACAAAAAAACACCCCAAATAATCCAATTTAAAAATGGGCAAAGGATCTGAACAGACATTTCTCAGAAGGCATATAAATGACCAACAAGTATATGAAAAAATGTTCAACATCAGTAATCATCAGGGAAATGTAAGTCAAAACCACAATAAGATACCATCTCACCCCAATTAGAACAGCTAATTCTAATTATCAAAAAGACAAACAAATAATAAATGCTAGTGAGGATGCGGAAAAAAGGGAACTCTCTTACACTGCTGGAGGGAATGCAAATTAGTACAGCCATTATGGAAAACAGTACGATGGTTTCTCAAAAAAACAAATATAGAACTACCATATGGATCCAGCAATCCACTAATGAATATTTATCCAAAGAAAAGGAAATCACGGCCAGGTGCAGTGGCTCACACCTGTAATCCCAGCACTTTGGGAGGCTGAGGTGAGTTGATCACTGGAGGTCAGGAGCTCGAGATCAGCCTGGCCAACATGGCGAAACCGTCTCTACTAAAAAATACAAAAATAGCAGGGTGTAGTGGTGCATGCCAGTAATCCTAGCTACTCGGGAGGCTGAGGCATGAGAATCGCTTGAACTCAGGAGGCAGAGGTTGCAGTGAGCTGAGATCATGCCACTGCACTCCAGCCTGAGCAACAGGGTGGGACTAGCTCAAAAAAACAAACAAATAACAACAAAAACAACAACAAACCAAAGAAAAGGAAATCCATATCTTGAAGAGATATCTGCATCCTAATGTTTATTGCAGCATTATTCACAGTAGCCAAGATATAGACTAAGTGTCCACCAACAGATGAATGGATAAAGAAAATGTGGTACATATACACAATGGAATACTATTCAGCCATAAGAAAAAAGGAAAGCTGGTCATTTGCAGCAACCTGGAGGACATTATATTAAGTGAAACAAGTCAGGCACATAAAGATAAATACTGCATGTTCTCCCTCATATACAGGAGCTAAAAAAGTTGAGCTCATAGAAGTTGAAGGTACAATCATGGTTATTAGAGTCTGGGAAGAGAAGGGAGAAGGGGATGATAGGGAGAGGTTGGTTAATGGTTACAAAACTATAGCTAGATAGGCTGATTAAGTTTTCATGTTCTATAGTACTGTAGGGTGACTAAGTTAACAAACATTTATTGTATATTTTGAAATAGCTAGAAGAGAGGACTTTAAATGCTCCCAACACAATGATATGATGGATGTTTGAGGTGGTTAATATGCTAATTACCTTCATTTGATTATTACAGATTATATACATGTATTGGACCATCAGTCTGTACCCCATAAATATGTATAATTATTACATGTCAATTAAAAATTTTCTTAATGGAAAAAAACTTGAGTGGAGGAGTTAATTTTTTTCAAATTCTGTAGTTGAAGTACAAAAAATAGAGTTTTTAAGACACATCCCTTCTTGTTAAATTAATGACCACCTGGGGAAATACATCTAAATTACAAAGCCCTAGATGTATTACCTATGAAAGATTAATAGAAGTCTCTTCCCTCAAAAAACTATTATGGAAACCACAAATAACAGATATCAAAACACTTTTAAAACTACACTTTTACATTGTTGGTGGGACTGTAAACTAGTTCAACCATTGTGGAAGTCAGTGTGGCGATTCCTCAGGGATCTAGAACTAGAAATACCATTTGACCCAGCCATCCCATTACTGGGTATATACCCAAAGGACTATAAATCATGCTGCTATAAAGACACATGCACACGTATGTTTATTGCGGCATTATTCACAATAGCAAAGACTTGGAACCAACCCAAATGTCCAACAATGATAGACTGGATTAAGAAAATGTGGCACATATACACCATGGAATACTATGCAGCCATAAAAAATGATGAGTTCATGTCCTTTGTAGGGACATGGATGAAATTGGAAATCATCATTCTCAGTAAACTATCGCAAGAACAAAAAACCAAACACCGCATATTCTCACTCATAGGTGGGAATTGAACAATGAGATCACATGGACACAGGAAGGGGAATATCACACGCTGGGGACTGTGGTGGGGTGGGGGGAGGGGGGAGGGATAGCATTGGGAGATATACCTAATGCTAGATGACGAGTTAGTGGCTGCAGCACACCAGCGTGGCACATGTATACATATGTAACTAACCTGCACAATGTGCACATGTACCCTAAAACTTAAAGTATAATAAAAAAAAAAAGAAAAAAAAAAACTACATTACTTTAAAGTCACACATTATTGATGGAGTAGCCAGTAGTAATACTGCAAATATCAGAAAAGGATTTTCCAAGATAATAGAAAATACAAACCCACTTGGCAACTTAAAATATATTTTGTTAAACATATAAACATATAGATATAGATAGATACGGTGATATTAATTTTTAAAAGCTGGTGGCTACTTTAATATCAAAAAAATCCAGATCAAAAGATATTACCAGGGATAAAGATCACCATTTTGTAATGATAAATGGGCCAATTAATCAAGAGGATGCAACAATCTTAAATGTTTGTGCACCAAATAACAAAGCTTCAAAATATATGAAGCAAAATTCACAGAACTGAAAGGAAAAGTAGACAAACCCAAAATTATGATTAAAAATTTCAACAACTCTTCTTCTCTTTTTCATATCATCACTGTATTTTATTATAAAAAACTGAAATAATTTTTCTTCACAGCTTTTTACTGAACACAGTACCTTCCAGTTTATAACAACAACAGAAACAACAATCAGAATAAAAACAGTCTGAAAATGTCCATAGCATCATGCCTACCTGCTCTTACCCTTAGCTATGGCTAGGACTCCCACTATGCCCCATCCTTCTCCTCAGTATAACTGATAGAATAAGTTGATGAAAAATCAGTAAGGATATAGGAGACATGAACACTATCAACCATGTTGATCTAACTGACGTGTATAGAACACTCCACATCCAGTAAGAGCGGAACATATATTCTTCTCAAGTGTCCATGGACTATTTGCAAATATAGCCTGTATTCTGAACCATGAAACAAGTCTAAATTCTAATTTATAAATTTAAATTGTACAAAGTATCATCTCTGTCTATAAGTGAATTAAATTATAACCAAAAAAATCTAGAAAATCTCCAAATTTTGGAACTTAAGTGACACAAATAACCAACTGACCAAATAAATCAAAATGGAAACCAAAAAGTATTTTGAAATGAATGAAAATAACATATCAAAATTTGTGAGATACAGTGCTTAGAAGGAAATTTGTAATACTAAACACATTAAAAGAAGAAAGGTCTCAAGTGAATAATCTAGTTTTACTTTAAAAAACCAGAAAAGGAAGAACAAAATATGTTCAAGGTAAGCAGAAAGACATAATTAAAGCGGAAATCAATGAAATAAAAAACAGACAACAACCAGAGAAAGTCAATGAAAACAAAAGCTAGCTCTTTGGAAAAATCAATAATACTGATAAACCTTTTGCCAGACTTATCAGGAAAAAAGAGAGAAGACAAAAATATCAGGAATGTGAAAGAGGCCATCACTATAGATCCTGCAGAGATTAAAGAATAATAAGGGAATACTATGAACAATGTTATGCCAATAAATTTGATAACTTACACAAAATAGACAATTTCCTTGAAAGATACAAACTAGCAAAGCTCACTTAAGAAGAACAAGATCCTGAAATAGCTCTTACATATTAAAGAAATTAAATGTGTAGTCAGAAATCTTCCTTAAAAAATTTGACACAGCTGATTTCACTAGCGAATTCTATCAAACATATGAAGAAGAAATAATAGCACTGAACATAAACTCTCCTGATGACTGAAGAGAGGGAATATTTTCCAAATCATTCCATGAGGGCAGCATAATAAAACCAGAAAATATATTACAAGGGAAGAAAACTACAGACCAATATACCTCATAAACATAGATGCAAAAATTTCAAACTAAATTTTATTAAATCAAATTCAACAATATATAAAAAAGATTATAATATAACATGACTAAGTGAGGTTTACCCTAAGAATAAAAGGTTGGTATAACATTCAAAAATCATCAATGTAATGTATCATGTTAACAGATAGGAAAAATATATGATCATCTCAATAGATGGAGAAAAGCATTCAACAAGTTCCAGCAACCATCATGCTAAAATTCGGCAATTAGAAATAGATGGTAAATTCCGCAGCTTAATAAAAGAAATCTGTGAAAAAAAACTCTAGCTAAGATAATACTTAATAATTAAAGAATGAATACTTTCTCCATGAGATCAGAAATGAGGCAAGGATGTCTGCTCTCACCAGTTCTATGCACAATTGGAATTTCTATCTAATGCAAAAAAGCAAGGAAAAAAATAGAAGCCATACATGTTGGAAAGGAAGAAGTAAAATTATGTTTATTTGTAGATAACATAATCATCTACATAGAAAATCCCAGCAAAAACCTACTAGAAATAATAAGTGAGTTTAGCAAGACTGTAGGATATAAGATAAATAAATATTTAATCAGTCATACTTCTATATGCTAACAACAAGCAACAGGACATTGAAATTAAGACAGCAGTACCATCTAAAATAACATCAAAAAATATGAAATACTGTGAATAAATCTGACCAAAGATGTATAAGATTTGTATCTGAAAAAATAAAACATTGCTGGGAGAAATTAAATATGACCTCAAAATAATTGAAAAGATATACCATACTTATGGATCAGAAGCCTCAGAATTGTTGTGAATTCTGCCTAAATTAGCATACAAATCAACACAATCTCAATCAAAATCCCAGCCGACATTTTTCATAGAAATTGGCACTCTGATTCTAAAATTTATAAGTCAATGCAAAGAACCTGGAATGGCCAAACAACTTTGAAAAAGAAGAATAAAGTTGAAGGACTTACACTAACTGATTTCAGGATTTATAACACATATATTTTGGTATAGAGACAGTATTGATATAAAGACAGTACTGGTAAAAGACAGACATTTAGGTCAATGAACACAGTTTAGTTATAGCCTCATGCATATATGGTGAACTGATTTTTGGGAAATGTCAAAATATTCAATGAAACATTATCTTTCTAAACAAATGATGCCAGAATAATTGTATAACTATATGTAAAAAAAAAATCTGGACTCTTACCTCATACTACAAACTAAAATTAACTCAAAATAGATCATAGACCTAAATATAGGGATAAAAATTATAAAACTTTCTCCAAGAAAACATACAAGAAAATCTTAGAAAACCTGAATTTGGCAAAGATTTCTCAAATATGACACAGGAAGTACAAATTATAAAAGAAAAAATAATAAATTGGATTTTGTCAAAATAAAAAATTTTGCTCCTCAAAAGACACTGTTAAAAAAATATTTGCAAACCATATATCCAACAGAGTACTTGTATGTAAAATAAAAAAACACTCTTACAACTTGATAAGAAGACAAACAACTCAGTTTTTAACACGTGCAAAATATTTGAAAAGACATATCACCAAAGAAGATATAAAGATGACAAATAAGCACAATAAAAGAAGCTCAAAATCATTAGTCAAAAGAAATATTCAAATTAAAACCACAGTAAGAGAGCACTATACATCCAATAGAAAGGCTAAAATTAAAAAGACCAACAGATCAAGTACTGGTGGGGATACTAAGCAAACTGGAGCCCTAGAAACTGATGGTGAGTATGTAAAATGGCTCAACCACATTGGAAAACAGCTGGGCAGTTTTTTTTTTTTTTTTTTTTGAGACGGAGTCCCCATTTGTCACCCAGGCTGGAGTGCAGTGGCACGATCTCGGCTCACTGCAAGCTCCGCCTCCCAGGTTCACGCCATTCTCCTGCCTCAGCCTCCCGAGTAGCTGGGACTACAGGCGCCCACCACCACGCCCGGCTAATTTTTTGTATTTTTAGTAGAAACGGGGTTTCACCGTGGTCTCAATCTCTTGACCTCGTGATCCGCTCGCCTCGACCTCCCAAAGTGCTGGGATTACAGGCATGAGCCACTGCGCCTGGCCCAGCTGGGCAGTTTCTTACCACTTAAACATATATCTACCATATGACTCAGCCATTCCACAGATAGTTAATTATCAAAGAGAATAAAAGCATAAGAAATAAAAGCATAAAGACTAGTACACAAATGTCCATAGAGATTTTATTTGTAATGACCTCGAACTGGAAATAATCCAGATGCCCATCAACAAATCAATGAATAAGCAAATTATAGAATGAAATACCACTCAGTAATAAAAAGAAAAAAATACTACTAAGCCATGTAACAACGTGAATGAACCTCAAAACAGTAAGCTAAGTAAATGAAGCCAAACAGTACAGACTGTGCGATTCCTCTTATACCAATTTCTAGAAAATACAAACTGTAGTGACAGAAAGCAGATCAGTGGTTTCCTGGGGACAGGATAGGGGATGGATTACAAATGGACAAAAAGAAGCTTTAGGGGGTAATTTATACGTCTATTATTTGATTGTGGTAATGATTTCATGAGTATATACATAACATCAAAACATATCAATTCATACACTTCAAATACCTACAGTTTAATGTACATAAACTATTCCTCAATAAAGCTGTTTAAAAATAGTTTATCCTAAAAAAATACAGTTTATACTATCAAGTGATTACACAACAGTTAAATTAGGAACACACACATACATAAAGAAGTCTAGAATAATTATATTTATTGTATTTTTGAAGGTAGTTAAAAGGTCTAGATTGAAGAGAAAAGATCAGCTTGGTCAGAGTAACATAATCAAAATTGGACCTGGGAGGGAAATTAATCTAATAGCAGTTGGAGCTTCCATTTTAGTGGTAGAAATAGACAATAAACAAGTACCTGTATAATATATGTCAGTTGTTTTTAAAATTACACAATGATAAAGAAGCAGAGCAAGGGTATAAGAATTACAATTTTTTTTTTCTTTTCTTGAGATGGAGTCTCGCTCTGTTGCCCAGGCTGGAGTGCAGTGGTGCAATCTTGGCTCACTGCAACCTCCGCCTCCAGGGTTCAAGTCATTCTCCTGCCTTAGCCTCCCGAGTAGCTGGGACTACAAGTGCATGCCACCATGCCCAGCTAATGTTTGTACTTTTAGTAGAGATGGGGTTTCGCCATGTTGGCCAGGCTGGTCTTGAACTCCTGACCTCAGGTGATCTGCCCACCTCAGTGACCCAAAGTGCTGGGATTACAGGCGTGAACTACAGCACCCAGCCAAGAATTACAATTCTTTATCATTAATTTAGTTGGCTCAGAGAAGGCCTTTGTGAGGAGTTCAGGATATAGCAAGGCTACAGTTATGATATAGTAAAGGACATAGTAAAAGAAAAATAAACGGAATTTATTGATTAACAAGACACTGTCTTTTTTTCTCAACATCAAGAAACTTTCCACACATTTTCCAGCTATGTATGTGCTCAAGTGAGGCAGTGATTTAATCCTCTTCCCTTTCCACCCCACACAAGAAAAAGCTATGCTTATGAAATAACTTCTGCATCAGTGTAATATTCAAACATCTTAAAATTGAGAAAGCACTAAGTATAAAGAAGTCTACTGCCATATGGCCATACATTAATCTGAGTAGAACAGCAGAGTGGAGAATATTTAGTCTTAGATGAAAAGAAGAGACAAAAATAATACTTGAGATGAATTAGTAAAGATAGCCCAGAGTCCAAAGAGGCAGATGATACTTTCTAAAAGACCTAAGAATGTGGTATACTTCTTTAGACACTAATACATAATCTTGGACTGCATTAAGGGAAATATAATGATAATAGGAAGGAAATCCCACTGCATTCTGTGTTAATCAAAACCAATATACAGAATATGTTTGTGTCTGTGCACATCATATTTTGGGACAACCCAGAAGACCTAGACTATATCCACAAGAGAACAACTTGTGGGGGATTTAAAGCACATGTCCTGTGACATGTTATGGGAAGTCAAATATAGAACTGTAATCTGCAAAGAGATATAAGATGTATAAAAAGAGAATTGCAGAAAAAAATACCATCTCTATTTATGTTTACTTTCATCTTAAAAAAGGAAAACATTAGGTTTGATCATTTCTAAATATATGGATTGTCAATGGTCCATCTGTTTAACTGACATCTTTTACATATATGGTATATACTGGGGCTCTGCTCAAAATTTATTTTACTGATAAAGTTGCATTGTAAAAAAAAGAACTGGTCTGGAGAAAAGAAGACAGGTAAAATAAAAAATGACTGAGGTTTCATGGTAGTTGTCTTCAAATATTAGGAGGCTTTTATTATGCAAGAAGGAATACATTTATCCTGTATTTCTTCAGAGGTGGAACCAGAATAAGTGGCTAAAAATTACTTATATTAGTAATATAAAAACTTTCCAGTAACTGAAACTGTCAAACCAGGGAATAGGCTGCCTTGGGAAGTAATGAGCTTCTAATCCTTCATGTTGTCAAGACAAAAAAGAGTATCTCTATACTATTAAAATTGTAAAAGAGATATCTAATTGCATAATAGCCTGAGCCAGAAAACTACCAAAGCTGCTTCTTACACACAAATAATTATATGAAGTACTGAATATGAATATTGTTGTATAATAAAGAATTTGACTGGCCTTTGTCCCTGGTTCCTGAGGGAGACTCTAAATCCTTGTATTTTCTTGAGTTACAGGAGTGTCTTTGATATGCTACTGAGGTAACTCATTATGGACACATAGATAGCTTCAGGATGAGGGCTGGCTGTGCAGAAAGACCAACTCTATAAGGAGAGGTGGAGCTTTGCATCATGTGATATCAGCCTGACCTTCTAACTTCCAGGGAATGGAAGCAAACTAGAGACTGAGTTCAATCATGGGGCCCATCAATCACACTGACATAGTGAAACTCCAATAAAAACTCTGGACATCGAAGTTCAGTAGAGATCCCCAGTTGGAAAACATATTGATGTGTTGGGAGGGTGACATGGCCTGATTTGATGGGTAGAGGACACAGAAGCTCTGCATTCAAGACCCTCCAAGACTTTTCCCTAAGTGTATCTTCCCTTGCCTGTGCTCTTTATAATAAAACTGTATTCATAAGCATAGTGCTTTCCTAAGTTCTGTGAGTCATTCTATTGAACTATTGAACCTGAGGGCACTGTGGGAACTCCCAAATTTGTAGTTAGTTGGTCAGAAGTGCACATGGCCTGGAGAATCCCCCGAACTTGTGTCTAGGTCTAAAGTGGGGGCAGCCATATGGAAGATTGAGCTCTTAACTTGTGGGGTCTGTGCTAACTCCAGGTAGTTAGTGCTAGAATTGAATTGCAGTAGGTGAGCTGGTGTTAGACCAGTTGGGACTGAAACATAATAAATGTATTTAATATATTTGCTCTATACATATTTGCTGTAAACTTAAATGTTGAATACATTAGTTCCCCCTTATCAGCGAGCGATATGTTCCAAGAACCCCAGTGGATGCCTGAAACCATAAATAGTACCAAAATTTATATACGCTATGTTCAAACTTCATTTTCCTTCTTCATAATTTCATGGATAGAAAATACATTCTTACTGTAGATCTTAGCAATTTCAGCACACAGTTTGTTTTTCCCTATTAAGTTGGAAATGTTTTAACCTTTTCACTGAAAGGATGCACTTTGCAGCTTCTCTTTGGCATATCCAAACTGCCAGCATCACTACTCTTGCGCTTTGGGGCCATTATTAAGGAAAATAAGGGTTACTCGAACATAAGCACTACAATACCATGACAGGTGATGTGATAACCAAGAAGGCTACTAAGTGATTAATGGGTGGGTAATGTATACAGAGTAGGTACACTGGACAGAGGGGTAATTCATAGCCAAGGCAGGAGAAGCAGAATGGCAAAACATTTCATCACACTACTCAGGATAGCATGCAGTTTAAAACCTATAAGTAGTTTATTTTTGGAATTTTCCACTTAATATTTTCAGACTGCAGGTAACTAAACTGTGGAACACAAGAACATAGATAAGGGGAGACCACTGTATAGGCATTCATTTCCTCATAATGCTAAAACAGACATTTTTGTACATAAAAAGTTGTACATTTCAGAATGCACAGAAGGTAAGCTCTTACTAGAGAAAGAATACTAAATAGGTAGATATTTAATGTATACTGATATTATAAAGATTTGCATAACACTTAGAAAATAATAATGTTTTCATCATTTGCTACAAAGTGAAACAATTTTACAACAAAAAGGGGAAGAACAAAGAGGAAACAAACACTTGGCACTTTTCAACAAAATAATTCTGCTAAAAATATTACATAGAAGAGTATTAATTCTTTGTTAATATAGGTTATAACAATGTAGTGTGTTAACCTTTACCTTGGTCTATAAATTCATGTCAACTAAGAGCTAAACAGAAGGTTTGATATTTAGCATTTATTAATAGTAAAAAATACCACATAAGCAGGTTGTATATGTCAAAAATAGTCAAAATATATCACCTCAGATTATTGTTAAAATTCATTAACAGGTCCTAGAAAAATTAAATATTTTATACTAATTTAAATATATTTTTCACAAATCAATGTATTTTTCCATATTTCACATGTGAAAAAATTAACTTCATGCTAGCATTCTTTAATTAATCAGTATACATACATGGTCCATACCTGGTTTAACAGCTCGTCCACATAACTGGGGCTGTAGAAGAACTTGCAACATGGCAGGGTTGTTTAAACTTTTCATAATTTGTACTGGATTTGGCTCTGGAAGTAAGCCCTTTTGATTACTGTGCATCTGCAATGAATATAGAAATAAGAAACATTAGAACAGCATAAGTACAAAGACACAATTTCAAAGGCTTTCTTCTAGAAATCCTCATTCATCTGACAAGATCTATTTTATGATAAACATAATTTGATTTATATTATATATCTATTTTATACTCTCTACTGCAGTTCTCAATTATACATATGGCATAAAATCCTCATAGAACGTCTCAGGTAAATACCAACTGGCTTTAAGAGGACTGACAATTTAGCACAATGAGTCTCATCATATCATACAAATAGAAGGATGACAAGGGAATCTGAAGTTATTAATAACTTGTTGACACAATATGGATACTTTGATACTACAGAAGAGCCTTCTTATAATGTTGATTTAAAGTTTAATTGGCCAGGCAAAGTGCCTCACACCTGTAATCGTGACACTTTGGGAGGCTGAGGCAGGAGGATCACTTGAGCTCAGGAGGTCAAGATCAGCCTGGGTGACATATTGAAACCCTGTTTCTATATTTTTACAAATAAAAACTTCAAATAAAAATAAAATAAAACGAAGTTTAACAATGTGGGTTGCCTTACAATTCAAAATCTTCTTTTTTTTTTTTTTTTGAGACGGAGTCTCGCTCTGTCACCCAGTCTGGAGTGCAGTGGCGTGATCTCGACTCACTGCAAGCTCCGCCTCCCGGGTTCATGACATTCTCTTGCCTCAGCCACCCGAGCAGCTGGGACTATAGGCACCCGCCACAACGCCTGGCTAATTTTTTGTATTTTTAGTGGAGACGGGGTTTCACCATGTTAGCCAGGATGGTCTCAATCTCCTGACCTTGTGATCCACCACCTCGGCCTCCCAAACTGCTAGGATTATAGGTGTGAGCCACCGCGACTGACCCAAAATCTTCTTTATTATTGTTTTTTTATTTTTATTTTTTGAGACGGAGTCTCACTCTGTTGCCCAGGCTGGAGTGCAGTGGCGCGATCTCGGCTCACTGCAAGCTTTGCCTCCTGGGTTCACGCCATTCTCCTGCCTCAGCCTCCCAAGTAGCTGGGACTACAGGTGCCCGCCACCACACCTGGCTAATTTTTTGTATTTTTAGTAGAGACAGGGTTTCACCATGTTAGCCAGGATGGTCTTGATCTCCTGACCTCGTGATCCACCCACCTCGGCCTCCCAAAGTACTGGGATTACAGGCATAAGCCACCGTGCCCAGCCCAAAATCTTCTTTTTTATAAAGGTCTTTACTTGATTAACTTAATATGAGATTAAAATGAGCTGGCCTTACATACATGCAATCGAGTAGCTTCCTAAAAACATGAAATAATTTTCAGTTTTAAAAACCAGCTTGATGGATGGTGATATGAATATATATAATTACATAAAAGATAAATTAAAAACTTTCAGCTATGAGAAAATGGAGAACGGACAAGGACAACTGGAACCTTCTCCCAACCCACATACTGCGAAATTGAGAGGGAGAAGGTGATGCATCCAAGAAACTGACATAAAGCCTGTGAGAAACCCCTGGGGAGATAGAAGATGTGAAGGTAAACATCAGCAGAGAGCATGAGAGTGCATGGGTCCACACACAGGATAATTCAGGGAAGGACTTTTGAGTTGTGTAACTACTTTGCCTTCAGAGAGCATGGCTTTCTTGGCCAGGACAGTGAGGTGGGAAAACAGCAGCATCACCCCAGTGACAGCCATAGGACCAACGAACAGCAGGATGGCACACAAGTGCAGAGACAATGGGGACAAGATAACACTAGGCGGGCAGACCAGCTGGTCACTGAAAACCTTCCCACCTCCCCGACCTTCTCAGGTCCTCCCACACCCACTCTGCAGGATAGAAGAGTTACAGCAGAGGAAGGCAGAACTTGGAAAAGAGCAGGGGTGGAAATGAAGAGAGGCTCTCTAAGGTGCAGGGCTGCCTGGCTGGGGTGGGAAAAGGGCTGGGCTCAAGCCTAGATGGTGAAGGCAGAACTTCTCTGCCCTGAGGTCCTTGCCTGCCCTTCCCTAAACCCTAGCTAAGACCAGGCTTTAGCTTCCCTCTGCCCATCCCCTTCCCCACAACCTCTAAACAGTGACATACAGAAAGGTGATAGCCCCCACAGGAAATGTATATTCATACATTCAAAAGAAAAATAGCTAGACATTTGGAGAATGCAGTCACTAAAAAATAAAAGCAACAAACTGAACCACCTATAAGACAGAAAGCAGAATTATGAATAGGAAATAATAAGAATGTCAAATAAATGTAATAGACATTACAAAAATAAAATGGATTTTTACTCATAACATGAAGGACAAGCAGTTTTTAAAGAATAACCAATGAGAAATGCTAGATTATGAAAAACATAAGTATTGAGGAAAAATAATAGCAGCCCTCACTTACTATAGACTTGGCATTGTTCTAAACACTTTACATGAATCAGATCATTTAATCCTCAAAAAACCAATTCTATAAGCTTAGTATTATCTCCATTCTATAGATAAAGAAACTGAAGGAATTCGTGAAGCATTATTATTAACATTTACCCTGTGCTTTAACAGATAGGTTAAATAGTAGAATATATGTGACTAAAAAACAAAATAGTATTTTTTTTTTTTCTTGAGACAGAGTCTCGCTGTGTCACCCAGGCTGGAGGGCAATGGTGTGATCTCGGTTCACTGCAATCTCTGCTTCCTGGGTTCAAGCAATTCTCCTGTCTCAGCCTCCCAAGTAGTTGGGATTATAGGTGCTTGCCACCGCACCTGGCTAAGTTTTTTGCATTTTTAGTAGAGACCGGGTTTCGCCATGTTGGCCAGGCTGGTCTCAAACTCCTGACCTCAGGTGATCCACCTGCCTCGGCCACCCGAAGTGCTGGAATTACAGGCAAGAGCCACCGCACCTGGCCCAAAGTAGTGATCTTAAAGATCCAATTAAAGAAACTGAAAATTCCAACAAACAAGAAAAAGCAGGGTGACGAAGAAAACGGAGGTAGAAGCATCAACACTTGTAATATTAGAAGTCTCTGAAGGAGAAGAAAATAAGATCTTTGAAGAAATAATGGCTGAGAAATTTCCCATTATTAAAGAACAATTGAAGAGCATAGAATGAAAGGGTTCACAGTCTTCCAAATATGATTTCTAAAGAAAAAACACACCTAGTCACATTTGTGTGACATTTAAGAACATCAAAGCCAATAAGAACAACAAAAAACCTTCTAAAAACTTCCATTTAAAAAGAACATATCTCTAAAGGAACAAGAAACAAATTACTATAATCTTCTTTCTCAAAGCATCAACATTAGATTCAAGAAGACAATGAATTAATATTTTCAAAGTATTGTAAGAAAAGAACTCTGAGCCTAGATTTTTAGATTCATCTAAGTTATTTAGTATCACAAAGAAATAAAAATATTCTCAACTATATAAGTTCTCAAAAGTTTTTACCACAAGAATACTATCTTTCAAAATGCCCTAGAAGGAAGTAATCCAGCAAGAAAAGAAATAAATGCAAGATGTTATTATATAATATGTTGAAATTGAGGTACACAATATCATAATTTTAATCTTGTATGCAAAGCCACAACCATAAAAACACCCCAAAAACATTTAAGACTATCCTAATGCAAAAAGGCAGACACCAATATGATGATAGGTATGGTAGGAAGGAGGAAGCAGATGGAGGTGAGAATAAGTGAGTAGACAGAAGTTCTGATAAACCTATGCATGTTAAAAAGTTAGGGACAATTGGCCGGGCATGGTGGCTCACTCCTGTAATCCCAGCACTTTGGGAGGCTGAGGCTGGCAGATCACTTGAGGTCAGGAGTTCAAGACCAGTCTGGCCAACATGGTGAAACCCCGTCTCTACTAAAAATACAAAAATTAGCTGGACGTGGTGGTGCATGCCTGTAATTCTGCTACTCAGGAGGCTGAGGCACGAGAGTCGCTTGAACCCGGCAGGCGGAGGTTGCAGTGAGCCAAGATCGTGCCACTGCACTCCAGCCTGAACGACAGAGCAAGACTCTATTTCAAAAAAAAAAAAAAAAAAAAGTTAGGGACAGGCACAATCACCAGCAGGATAGAGATAGAATGTGTAACTCTCAAACGACGCTAAAGAAATTAAGGAGAAATCATGATTATCTCAATAGTTGTAGAAATATTCTGATAAAGGTCAGCACCTATTTATGACATTAAAAAACTCAGAAAACTTGATATTACCAAAGGATATGTACCAAAAACCTATAGAAAACATTATCTAGAATACCTTATTTTTAAGACTGAGATTTCTCACTGTCACTACTATCTGACTGTAAAGGGCCTGCATGCCATGCTAAGGAAGGTGAACTTATGCAGGCATTAAAGAATATTAAGCAAGAGAATGACATAAGCTGATTTGAGGATGAGAAAGAGCTCTCCTGTGCACTGTGCAAGATGGATTAGAAGGGGAAAGACTAATGACATGGGACCACGCAGGGAATTATTCTAATCAGAGAGATGAGAAAAGATGAGATCCTGAGTGAAGTAATCAAGATGCTGACAAGGTCCCAAGGATTTGAGAGATCTTAGGAGGTGAAATTGAAAGGATGTGATAGTATTTCTGACATTTACATTAGAAAGTGGGTGAGGGAGACCAATCACGATTAACTGAGTTTTTGATTCACATAGTTTTAGTTTGGATGAACTGATGCCATATATAGATATTATAGAACATAGAAAAGCAGTCCCAGAAAAAAAGTCTTCTTTGAAATGCTGAAATTGAACTATTTATATAGCATGAAGTGGGAATGTCTAAGAATCCCTTGGAAACATAATTTAGTACTGAGAGCAGTTTGGTCTGAAATTATATGCTTGGAAGTAATCACTAATAGGCATATATAACAGGAAGAAAATGAGAAGGCCAAATATGGAAATCTACTGATATCAGCTCTTAGGGGGAAAAAATAAGTTAGGGAAAGAACACATAGGCAGATAGGAAAATGAATGGTGTGGCAGAATTCAAGGTAGTAGAGAGCTTTGTTTTGTTTTGTTTTGCTTTGTTTTTGAGACAAGGTCTTACTTTGTCACCCAGGCTGGAGTGCAGTGGTATAATCATGGCTCACTGCAGCCTCAAACTCCTGGGCTCGGGTTATTCTCCCACCTCAGCCCCCCAAGTAGCTGAGACTAACAGGTGCACACGACTAAGTCTAGCTAACTTTTTGTAGAGACAGGGCTTCACCATGTTTCCCAGACTAGTCTCGAGTTCCTGGGCTCAAACAATCCTCCCACCTTGGCCTCCCAAAGTGCTTGGATTACTGGCGTGAGCCACTGTGCCCAGCCAGTAGAAGGTTTTAAATGTTGCGAAGGGACCAACCAATAAAAGATTGAAATGTAGTCACTAGATCTGAATATTTAAAAACCCCTGTTAACTTAATGAGAACAGATTCACTTGAACAGTGGAGGAGAAACTACATTGCATTAGACTTGAGAGGGAAATGGAAAATTAAGAAATGGTGACAATAAGTGAGGCCTAATTCTTCAGGCAACCGGTTGCATGGTTATAAAGCCCAGTATCTTTTGCTGTGCAGAAGCTCTTTAGTTTAATTAGATCCCATTTGTCTATTTTGCTTTTGTTGCCATTGCTTTTGGTGTTTTAGTCATGAAGTCTTTGCCCATGCCTATGTCCTGAATGGTATTGCCTAGGTTTTCTTCTAGGGCATTAAAAGAAACTACCATCAGAGTGAATAGACAACCTACAGAATGGGAGAAAATTTTTGCAGTCTACCCATGTGACAAAGGGCTAATATATCCAGAATCTACAAAGAACTTAAACAAATTTACAAGAAAAAAACAACCCCATCAAAAAGTGGGCAAAGGGTATGAACAGACAACAAATGTCTTCTTCTCAAAAGAAGACATTTATGCAGTCAACAGACACATGAAAAAATGCTCATCATCACTGGTCATCAGAGAAATGCAAATCAAAACCACAGTGAGATATCATTTCACACCAGTTAGAATGGCGATCATTAAAAAGTCAGGAAACAACAGATGCTAGAGAGGATGTGGAGAAATAGGAACGCTTTTACACTGTTGGTGGGAGTGTAAATTAGTTCAACCATTGTGGAAGACAGTGTGGCGATTCCTCAAGGATCTAGAACCTAGAAATACCATTTGACCCAGCTATTCCATTACTGGATATATACCCAAAGGATTATCAATCATGCTATTATAAAGACACATGCACACATATATTTATTGCGGCACTATTCACAATAGCAAAGACTTGGAACCAACCCAAATGTCCATCAATGATAGACTGGATTAAGAAAATGTGGCACATATACACCATGGAATACTACGCAGCCATAAAAAAGGATGAGTTCATGTCCTTTGCAGGGACATGCATGAAGCTGGAAACCATCATTCTCAGAAAACTATTACAAGGACAGAAAACCAAACACCGCATGTTCTCACTCATAGGTGGGAACTGAACAATGAGAACACATGGACACAGGATGGGGAACATCACACACCAGGGCCTGTCGCGGGGTAGGGGGCTGGGGGATTGATAGCATTGGGAGAAATGCCCAGTGTAATGACGAGTTGATGGGTGCAGCAAACCAACATGGCACATGTATACCTATGTAATTGGCTGAGTACTCAATAGTCTTCCTTGCTTTGGCATTAGCCTACATCCAAGCATCCTCATATTCACTCTGCAACCAGACCACTTACCACTCCTCAAGCACTGTATGAGTAGTTTCTGTTCCACCTAGAGTGACTACTCACTTTCCCTCTTTGGGGTTGCCAGATGCAGCAAGTAAAAACACAGAATGTGCAGTTAAATTTTAAGTTCGGATAAACAATGAATGATATTTTAGTACAAGTATCTCATGCAAAAATCTGTATTTCTGTGGCAATCCTATTCACTTCTCATCAACACAAGTCAATATCTCATCCATTCGTTGTCACACTCAAATGTCACCTTCAGCATAAAGTCTTTCCCAATTCCTTCAAAAATGTATTCCTTCATTCAATTAACAAATATTTACTATGCTAAGTACTAGGGTAAAAACTGTGAAGAAGGTATAGTCTCCATCTCCAAGGATCCTCCAGGCTAAAGAAGTAGAGAAGAATGAGTAGACAGTTACTATAAAGAAGGAAGTACAATGTGCCACATAAGCAAAAAGGCACGTATTTTCCTCTACTTGTGAAAACTTCTTGAATAAAGAGGCGGCTGGGTGCGGTGGCTCACGCCTGTAATCACAGCACTTTGGGAGGCTGAGGCGGGCAGATCACCTGAGGTCAGGAGTTCGAGATCAGCCTGGCCAACATGGCAACACCCTGTCTCTACTAAAAATACAACAATTAGCCAGGCATGGTGGCATGTGCCTGTAGTCTCAGCTACTCGGGAGACTGAGGCAGGAGAATTGCTTGAACCCAGGAGGCAGAGGCTGCAGTGAGCTGAGATTGTGCCACTGCACTCCAGCCTGGGTGAAAGAGTGAAACTCCATTTCAAAATTTAAAAAAAAAGAAAAGAAAAAGAAAAAGGAGGCATGTTACACTCAAAATTTATAACACAAGAGGAACTCAATATTTGCTGAATAAATGAAATTCCTTCAAAAATTTCTCAAGATAAATACACTTTACTAAACACAATTTCTTTTTTTGGTAATGACTTCTGGCTTGACTTAACAAGGAAACCATTTAGCTAACCTTTTTTAAAAAAAAGGAAAAGTCTTCAGTGTGATGGAAATGCAATGATGGTGCAATCGACAATCAATTACTTTGGCTAGACTGGATAGATTAAAATAGTATTAGAATTTTCTATACTCTAAAAAAAGAGACAGAAAGAGAAAAAACTTACCACACGTTGAGCCGCTATCAATGCTGCTAATGTACTTCGCCCTGGCGCTCCAGGAGCACAGAAGGAAACCTGGACTTTGCTGCCCTTGATGGTCATACCGTCTGCTGCCTGC
Organism: Homo sapiens; assembly: GCF_000001405.40. Taxonomy (NCBI): domain Eukaryota; kingdom Metazoa; phylum Chordata; class Mammalia; order Primates; family Hominidae; genus Homo; species Homo sapiens. The sequence continues at coordinate 64,781,459 of NC_000001.11, read as the reverse complement.
TGGACCTCTTCAGCCTGCTCCGCAGTGCTATATTCAACCACTGCAAAGCCACCAACGTAACTACCTTCATCCTGTGCAAGCTGATACAATACATTCTATTAAACAGTAATTCCGATCTTTACTTAGAAACATTTATTTACGATATATAATTTTCAAATTCAAGAACAAGTGCATTGGAGCATGATACTGGTGGAAATAACATATTCTTTCTTTATGAAAATGTTTACTAATTGCTTAGATGTAGTTCTTCTTGAAGACAGGAAGATAGGAGTCTGTCAAGTTTCTATTCAATTCTTTAATTTTCTAATTTATTTTAACAGTAAAAGCCCAGATGGTAATAGTCTCTATATATTAAGAAATATATAAACTGGTAATTTATAGGAAAACATGAGGACACAATAATTATAGCTTTCCTTAAAAGAAAATCACCAGGTACATGGACAGTGAAACATACTGAACAAATTATTTGACCACACATCAATGGAAAATAAAGTTAGTATTATCAAGAGAAGGTAGGAGGAATATTTCATTTTTATTTCACTATTTTAGGCAGATCCCAGGAATTTAGTCAAGTATACCCAGGCAAACCTTATTTAGGAAAACTGTGTCCCAGGTTTATTATAAGCAACACACAACTTTTATTTCTGAATGTGCCCTAAATAAACTCCTGCCATGTAGAACTTGATTTATTTCCAGTCACCCACCTGTAAGAGTGTAATGGAAGATACTAAAGTCCTGGATCTGAAAAGACTGGTACAAAGAGCAAAAATAAGAACAAGATAAGACACTAAAACCTTTCTAGGTTTTGAACACGTCTGAATTATCTTAAATACATTCATGCTATAAAGTGATAAATGACACAAAATTCAGCTTAGTATATCTTTGAGAAGACACATTTCCAATACTTCTATTTGGGTGTGGCATCTCATAAGCTGATATTACAACTAAATCACTTCTTAGTCCTTCTCAGTTTCTTTTCTCTTGTTTTTGAAGCTTAACTTTCTTCTACTTCCTTGTATATTTAGATCAAATTTCTATCTTTTCCTTCACATTACTTCTTCCTTTAAAAACTGTCAACAAATATCTTTTCCTCCACAAAGCTTTTTCCAGTCACACAGGAAAAGGAAAAACATCTACCTCTTCTAAACATGTCTCCAACAACCCTATTCCTCTTATAATCCAAACCAGTTCTTAAAATCAGGTTTGTAAAAGCCACTAATTAATCATTTTGGTCTCTTGACCACAAGTTAAGAGGCTGTGTCTTTAATACAGTCTATGCCAATCTACCATGCAAAAGAGCCTGAGGTTAACAGACCCACTGATAAAGAGCCATCCCAAAGCTGCTTTATTAATCTTTTGAAAACTTAAAAATTTTTTTTTACTATTCTATTTCATTATAATGATCTTCATGCCTGTATAAATTATAATATTTTAAGTCTTTCAAAAAACAAAATCATTTTAAGTCCACGGCATCAGTAGTTTCAGAGAGGGCTATTTCAGTTCAATATGAGAGCCATTCAAAAACACAATGGTCTGACTTGTGATGTAGTTAATTTTCCACTCTTTTGAAGTATTTTGGCAGAAGCTAAATGGTCACTCAAAAATATGGTAGCAAATATTTTCTATGACATGTAAAGCTATACTAGATAATCTCTAAGGGCTCTTCCAACTCGGGGGGGTTCACAATTCAAATACAATTTATGATAAATGGCTTTTCTCTTCGCATCTGCTTCAAAGGCCTCAAATAAAGGCCACAGGATGACAACATAATATAATTCTTAGTATTCAAGAAGAACATATCAATAAGCCAATCCTAGAGCTTTGGGAGGCCAAGGCAGGAGGATCACTTGAGCCCAGGTGTTTGAGAGCAGCCTGGCAATATAGCAGGACCCAGTCTCTACCAAAAAAAAAAAAAAATTAAAAAGTAGTTGGGCATAGTAATGTGGACTTGTAGTCCTAGCTACTTGGGAGGCTGAGACAAGAAGATCGCTTGAACCTAGGAGTGTGGGACTACTGTGGGCCATGATTCCAGCCTGGGCAATAGAGAAAGACCCTGTCTCAAAAAAAAAATGTTAAAAATATATATTACTGCAAAATTTCACCCATGTGCGGAAGCTTAAAAAGGTGATCTCAAAGAAGTATAGTGGATACTAGGGGCTGGGGTGATTTGTGTGGGAGCTTGTGGAGATATGGTCAAAAGATGCAACATTTCAGTTAGATAAGAGAAATAGGTTCAAAAGATCTTTTGGACAACATGATGACTACAGTTAATAACAACATATTGTATTCTTGAAAAATGCTACGAGAGTGGATGTTAAGTGTTCTTACCACAAAAATGATAACTATGTGAGGTAATACATATGTTAAATAGCTTGATTTAGCCATTCTACAATGTATATATACTTCAAAACATGTTATACATGATAAATACAATTTTAACTGTCAACTTAAATAATATATATTTTAATATATATTTAATATTAAATAATATATTTATTTATATACATATATAGATATGTACTCCAACTCCAAAATTTCTACTGCAATACTAGGAAATCAACAAATGTATGATTAAAGAAAAGATGCAAAGGAGGAGAGGAAACAACAGAGGTAAGAGGAAAAGGAGCGTGGATGGGAAGGGAGTGCGGTAAAAAGGAAAACGGAGAAGGAAGAAATGGAGAGAAACAAGAGAGAAATAATTGATCAGTTGCTATCAAAACTCTGTAAGGAAAAGTGTTATATATAGTATATATATATATATTTATTAGAATGTATTTAATTTTACTATGATAAAGTGCTTGAAAAGTCTCGCCAGTGTTATCAGTTTTCAGGATCTTCTCTAGATGTCTCACCTACCGTGACCACATTAAGATAGAACTACACATTCCTTTTAAACTTCATAGTACTTTTCTATCCTCCATTATATCACTCTTCATATAGGATTTGCAATTATTTGCTTACTTGTCCGTCTCTTCTACAAAATTGTGAGGTATTGAGATAGAGTATCTTTCCATTCTCTGCCTTTCTGACACTTGGCATAGTGTCTGGTACACAGAAGATGGTAAATAAAAGTTGGATAGATAAATGGATTGATGGAAAAATGGTGGGACGAATGGATGGAATGAGGTGAATGAGTAAGCAATGGATTTGCTAAGGCATACTTAACTACATAACAACATACTTTGGCCCATAAACAGAGGAACTGATTTAAAATTTCCCATGAGATCAAAGTCTTCCCTACAGAATGATGCAGAATTAAATTTCCATTGTGTTAATCACACAGGTATGATAAATTTGTGAGTGTATGTAGATTAGATACATATGTATATATTTTAAAATATTTCAATAATCTCTTAAAAATACATACCTGGCAAAACACAGGTTTATGGACACTGGAAAAAATTTGCAACAGCTCTTCTGAATCCCTGTAGTCACTGGGGAGTTTATCAATACAAAGGCACTTAGAATGAATGAGCTCTGAAGCCAATAGATTAACATCCATCCATTGTGCAAAGAGTGCTGATGCTCCCAACTGTCTACCCAATAGCTCCAGTCTAGCCTTTGCAGCAAAGTCCTTTTTCATGTATTCCACAAATCCATAGCCTTTGGAATGGCCAGTAACTTCACTATAGACCAGAAAACATCTCTCAATATTTCCATAAGCACGAACAAGTTCTTCAAACTCTTCTGATGTAAAAGAAATGGGCACGTTGGTAATACACAACAAAGCATCTGTTGGCTGAAGCTGGACTATTAAGTCTTTTCCTCTAAAAGAATATTGATGAAACATCTGAATTGCGTTCTGGGCTTGTTCCCCATTCAATAAGGTAACAAAAGCTGGAAGATAACGAAATGAATTAAAGAGTTTTCAAATTGTTTGAAAACACAGTAAGAAATATATCTTACTTCTGTGACTTGGTACACATAAACATACACCTTTTTTCTGAAACAAAATTATAAGTTAATACCCCTACTATATGCAATGCATTGTGACATTTTTTATTCTATTTCAGTGCGTTTTTTAATGCTGACACCTCCATTAAACTAATTTCATCAACAGTAACCCAAAATAGAAAGTACAGGGATTATATTAGGAGTTTCACTGTAAAATCCTATGATATTCTGGGGGGTTTTTGGTAGTCTTTTCCAATCACACACATATTTGATTTCCTCCCACCCAAAAACCTGTGATATAAAATTTTATGAAGACTTTATATAAAACTTAACTGAAATAAAAATGAAGTTACAAAATCTTTCTTTCTTCCTAGAAAGAGTTCTAAAAGAGCCTATTTGACAGCAAGGACCTGAAAAAATGAAGGTACAGCAAAAACATCAAAATGCATAAAGGAGGCCATTTCTTTCTCCAATTCATGTATATATTTCCTTAATATCAGATTAGATTGACATAACACACAGACACTTTTAATTTGGTACACTTTTGATGAATAATATCAAATGAAAAGGTTACAGGATTCTGATCTTAAGACAAGATCTTGAATATTCATAAAACAATAAAAATAGTCTGCCCTGTCTAGCTAATGAAGTTGTTCCAGCATCAAGCAACAAATGCATATGACGGCTTATATAACTGGAAACATAATACAAATATAACATTCTAAATCAATGAAATATTATGTACATTCATATCTGGTAAAATTACATTTTAACCATATCAATTTGTTTACCTTTTGCAATAAAAGAATATAAAAGGTTTTGAGCAATTTTATAGGAAAAGTTTAAAGCCCCCATTAAAAAATACATAGCAATCCACAAATTACAAATAAATTGCTCTCTACAAGTTCCTCTCCCTCTCCCTCTGAAATATATAGTGAAGTTACTCCATATGAACATTTAATTTACCCAAATTCAATTAGAACTGCATGACAATATGTTGTATACAGCAAATATGGATATAGCAAGAGACAGAGAAGTAATTTAAGTAGCATGGGCAATTCTGCCTGTCATTTCACTAAACTTCTCTGCCCTCAATTGGTCTTAGTGCCATGCGGCTCTCAGAGTAAGAGCATCTCACCACACTAAGTGTGATGCTAACATTTAAAGAAACACATTTTTCATTTAACACATGTCCCACACGCAAGAAAACTATTGCCAAAGGAACAGCTAACTGTTCCAACATCTCTTCCAAAAAATGAGAAAAAATGGCTTTACTGCCCTTATTAAAAGGCTATCTCTTAGTTTCTAACAATCTTTTTTAAAAGGCTTGATTTTGATTCTATGTCTTTTTTCCTTATGCTGACATAAAATACAATTTAATTCTGTTTCCCTAAAACAAACGAGCCAACAACAGTTTGTAAATACTGGTTATATTCTCGTATCAGCCCATAAAATCTCAGGTCATATTTAACTTGAATTCTCAGGGCATTTGAACCTGTTAATCATTCCCTTTCTTAACTTTCTTTCCTTTTTTTTTTTTTTTTTTGAGACAAGAGTCTGACTCTGTTGCCCAGGCTGGAGTGCAGTGGTGCCGATCTCAGCTCATCACAACCTCTGCCTCCCAGGTTCAAGCAATTCTCTTGCTTCAGCCTCTCAAGTAGCTGGGACTACAGGGCCTGCCACCACGCCTGGCTAATTTTTGTATTTTTAGTAGAGATGGGGTTGCGCCATGTTGGTCAAGCTGGTCTCGAACTCCTGACCTCAAGTGATCCACCAACCTCAACCTCCCAAAGTGCTGGGATTATAGGCCTGAGCCACTGCACCAGGCCTTTCTTAACTTTCTTGATGTACTCTTTCTTGATTTGCTTCATAACTGTCCAAGCTCTTTCTTCTATTTCCTTTGCTAGCTCTTTCTCCTCCACTCACAGCTGTAAGGTAGTACTCCTTGGGGTGCCTTCCTGGCAGAGTCACACACAGTAACACCTGTGTGGCCACATGTGTTACTCAATGTGTGGCCGCTGAATATCTTTTTTCGCACTCTACACCCTCTTCCTCTGGGGGCAATCACACCCATTCCCATGTATTCCGTATCATGTGCCAGATTCCAAGTTTGGCACTGGAAATGTTTTGGTGAACAGAACAGGTAAGATCCCTTTCAACACAGAGCTCACAATCTAATAGGGGAAGCTAGACATTTAACAAAGAGTTACAAATGTGGTGTCCCCAAAGGGGAAGTATGAGGGGCTATGAAAGCAATGAGCAAAATAATCTCATCTGAGGACTTGCAAAAGGCCTCCCATACCATTATACTCCCCAATCTATCTTTCTAACCTTTAGTGCCACATATATCTTCATATTGACTCCCAAACATAACTCACGATTTTCATCCTATCTCTGCCAAAAAACAAAACGATTAGGAAAAGAGGAAGTCAAATTCTCTCTGTTTGCAGATGACATGATTGTATATTTAGAAAACCCCATCATCTCAGCCCACAATCTCCTTAAGCTGATAAGCAACTTCAGCAACGTCTCAGGATACAAAATCAATGTGGGAAAATCACAAGCGTTCCTATACACCAATAACAGACAAACAGAGAGCCAAATCATGAGGAAACTCCCATTCACAATTCCTACAAAGAGAATAAAATACCTAGGAATACAATTTACAAGGGATGTGAAGGACCCCTTCAAGGAAAACTACAAACCACTGCTCAATGAAATAAGAGAGGACACAAACAAATGGAAAAACATTCCATGCTCATGGATAGGAAGAATCAATATCGTAAAAATGGCCATACTGCCCAAAGTAATTTATAGATTCAATGCTATCCCCATCAAACTACCAATGACTTTCTTCACAGAATTGGAAAAAACTACTTTAAATTTCATATGGAACCAAAAAAGAGCCAACACAGCCAAGACAATCCTAAGCAAAGAGAACAAAGCTGGAGGCATCAGGCTACCTGACTTCAAACTACACTACAAGGCCACAGTAGCCAAAACAGCATGGTACTGGTACCAAAACAGATACACAGACCAATGGAACAGAACAGAGGCCTCAGAAATAACACCACACATCTACAACCATCTGATCTTTGACAAACCTGCCAAAACAAGCGATGGGGAAAGGATTCCCTATTTAAGAAAGGGATTGGGAAAACTGGCTAGCCATAAGCAGAAAGCTGAAACTGGATCCCTTTCTTACACCTTATACAAAAATTAACTCAAGGTGGATTAAAGACTTAAACGTAAGACCTAAAACCATAAAAACCCTAGAAGAAAACCTAGGCAATACCATTCAGGACATAGGCATGGGCAAAGACTTCATGACTAAAACACCAAAAGCAATGGCAACAAAAGCCAAAATTGACAAATGGGGTCTAATTAAACTAAAGAGCTTCTGCACAGCAAAAGATTATCAGCAGAGTGAATAGGCAACGTACAGAACGGGAGAAAATTTTTGCAATCTATCCATCTGACAAAGGGCTAATATATCCAGAATCTACAAAAAACTCAAACAAATTTACAAGAAAAAAACAACCCCATCAAAAAGTGGGCAAAGGGTATGAACAGACACTTCTCAAAAGAAGACATTTATGCAGCCAACAGACACATGAAAAAATGCTCATCATCACTGGTCATCAGAGAAATGCAAATCAAAACCACAATGAGATACCATCTCACACCAGTTAGAATGGCGATCATTAAAAAGTCAGGAAACAACAGATGCTGGAGAGAATGTGGAGAAATAAGAATGCTTTTACACTGTTGGTGGGAGTGTAAATTAGTTCAACCACTGTGGAATACAGTGTGGCGATTCCTCAAGGATCTAGAACTAGTAATATCATTTAACCTAGCTATCCCATTACTGGGTATATACCCAAAGGATTATAAATCATTCTACTATAAAGACACATGTGCACGTATGTTTATTGCAGCACTATTTACAATAGCAAAGACTTGGATCCAACCCAAATGTCCAACAATGATAGACTGGATTAAGAAAATGTGGCACATATACACCATGGAATACTATGCAGCCATAAAAAAGGATGAGTTCATGTCCTTTGCAGGGACATGGATGAAGCTGGAAACCATCATTCTCAGCAAACACAAGAATAGAAAACCAAACACCACATGTTCTCACTGATAAGTGGGAGCTGAACAATGAGAACAAATGGACACAGGGAGGGGAACATCACACACTGGGGCCTGTCGGGGGGTGTAGCGGGGGAGGGATAGCATTAGGAGAAATACCTAATGTAGATGACGGGTTGATGGGTGCAGCAAACCACCATGGCACATGTATATCTATGTAACAAACCTGCACGTTCTGCACATTTACCCCAGAACTTTAAGTATATTAAAAAAAAATCCTAATACTTCTCATCTTCCTTTATTCCCTATTTTAGCTGGTCACACAACACCCAGAAATTGGAAACCTGGGAATTAACCTAGACTCTGTCTCCCTCATTTCCCATATAAAAGGAATCCTCAAATTCCACCCGTCTAATAGGTCTTGAATCCATCCCCCTTTCTTCAGTCCTCTAGCTTTTTCTTTTTTTAATCCTTTCTCCACAGTGACAATAAAGTGATCTCTAAAAAACAGAAGTTTAATTGTGCCTGTTTACTGCCTTAAATGCAAAGGTTTGCTATTACTCACAAAAAAAGCCAAGTGCCAGATTGGTAATCATGCTCTACAATGCCTGCTATATCTAACTCCAGCCTTGTTAACTGCCATACTTCCTCCCTTCCCCAACAGCTCTTTATTCTCCAAGAACACTGAAATATTTGTAGCTCCCTGTAGAGATCCAGTTATTTCAGGTATCCATATATTACACATTTAATTCCCTTGCCTATAAGATCACTCCCCATACCTTAGGATACCTAGAACCTTTTAGCTGATTTTCAAATTCGTCCATGCATTACTCCATCATGATCTCCAGGAAGCTTCCCTGATCCTCTCTTAGAGTTAACCATTCTTTATTTTTTTATACCTCTCTATCTTGAACATTGCTCGGATTATTGCATAGATCACATCACATCGTAATCTATTTGCTTAGATGCCTGCTACCCTACTAAACTGTGAGCTCCCTAATTCCACCAACTATCATGGTGCATGACATATGGTAGAAGCTTTGTGTTAGATGAATGAATAAATAAATGCATATATAAATCAACTAATAATTTAAAAACTGAAAATCTCTTTGTCCTTTTCTTAGGTATCTGCATTTGCTCAACTTAGGTTTTATGGAAGAATTTAAATAACATAATGAAACAAATTTAAAAGTTCAGACAGTAGGGAAAGGAGGTCACATTTTCTGTTCTATAGCTTCTTCCATGTTTTTCCAAGGCCACGAATTCTCTAAAATAATAAAAAATAAAAAAATTCACATACTAGTTCTCATAGAAATGGTAGATGTCACTCTACAGAGAAAAGGCTGTAAGGGAATTTGGGATTAATTACATTACCATTTTCCTTGTGAAATTTAAATATCCCACAATTGATCCCAATTCTTTTAAAAGTCATTGCATGGTCTACTATTTAGTTTATTATTGGGTCTAATTTGAAGGCAAGCATGTGCCAAAACTTTTTCCCCTAATGTATCCTATTTTACTATAATAATTTCCTCATATCTACCATAGGAAGCTCTGGTTGCAAGGTTATAGTTAAGAATTGCATCTTTTATCAACTGAGTTATTAATTATATCTGTTTCCACGAACACCACTATAGGTTCCAAAATCCAAGGCAAAATCATTTAATACAATTAATGATTTCTGTGTTGTGTGATTTTAACAGGTGATTTAAGGTTTACAGTATACATCTTTAACTTATCACAGTCAATTGTCAAACGGTATCACACCACTTCATGTACTGTATAAGAGACTTCAAACAGTGCAATCCCATTTCTCCTCTCCCAGCCTTTGTATTATTGCTGTTACACATTTTATTTCTACATGTGTTACAAATCTCACAATGTAATGTCATTATTTTTGCTTTTAACAGTCAATTATACTTTTAAAAGATTTCAATATTAAGAAAAAAGTCTTTACCCACGTAATGACCATATCACGTATTCATCATTTTGTTGGGTAGGTCCAGATTTCCATCTATAATTTTCTTCCTGCTTGTAGGACTTCCTTAAGTATTTCTTATAGTGCAAGTCTAATGGTGATGATTCTTTTAACTTTTGTATGACTGAAAAACATCTCTATTTCATCACTGTTTTTGAAAGATATTTTCAATAGGTTAAGAATTCTATGTGGACCTGTTGTGTTTTTGTTTATTTTGGTAAAGAATGAAAAGATGTTACCCTACAGTCTTTTCAATTGTGTTGTTTCCAAGATCTATGGTCATCTTAATCTTTGTCCCGCTAAATGTATTAATGATGTATACTTTTTTTCTGGCTGCTTTTAAGACATTCTATCACTAACTGTAAGCAATTTGATTACAACGTACACTGTAGTTTTCCTCATGCTTTTGTACTTGAAGTTGGTTGAGCTCTGTGGATTTCTGGGATTAGAATTTTCATCAAAATTTTAAAACTTTTCAGCTACTAATTCTTTAATTTTTTTTTAACTATTCCTACCCCCAGGGACTCTAATTGCTCTTGAAGCTGTCCCACAGTTCACTGATACTCTGTTCATGTTTTACAGTCTTTTTTCTCTCTGTGTTTCATTTTGGATCACTTACATCATTGTTTTCAAGTTCACTAATTTTTTCTTCCACAGTGTCTATTCTGCCATTAATCCTATCCAGTGTATTTCATGTCAGATGTTGTAATTTTCATCTCCAGATGTTTGATTTGGATATTTTATATCTTCCAAGTCTCTATTTACCATGTTCAATCTTTACTATAACTTACTATATATATGGAACACTATTATAAAAACTGGTTTAATGTCCATTTTTATTAATTCATCTGTGTCAATTCTAGGCCAGTTGTGATTGATTTTTGTCCTCGTTATACATTAGGTTTTCCTGCTTCTTCATCATGTCTGCTACTTTTTTATTGGATGTCTGACATCATAAATTTCACTTTGTTGGGTGTCAGATGTTTTGGATGCATACAAATATTCTTGAGTTTTGTTCCAGGATGTGGTTAAGTTATGAGGAAGCACTTTGATCCGTTCTGGTCTTGTTTTTAAGTTTTGTTAGGTAGGACAAGAGCATCATTGGTCTTGAGTTACTTTTCCCCATTCCTGAGCAAAAACTTTCTGATTATTACTTCTAATGCCCCATGAATTATGAGGTTTATCATCCTGACTAGTGGGAATAGCACTATTCCTGGCTCTATGTGAGCTGTGAAGGCTGTTACCTCTAATCCCGTTGTCAATATCTGTAACATTGAAATTGTGCACACCTATGACTCAGAGCTTCAGTTATGGAGAAACAGTTGAAATGTATATTAGTAATCAACTAAAAGGCTATTCATTGCATCACTGTTTGAAATACTGGGAAAGGTAAAGCTTCCTGAATGCCAGTCAGTAACAAATACATTAATCGTAATAAATTCACATGATAATTACATGTAGTAGCTTAAATCAATGAACCTGAGTTATATATATCAATGTGGAAAGATCTGAAAAACAATGTTGCGTTAACCCAAAAAAAGCAAGTTGCTAAATGAAATATACATTAGAATGCCATTTATGAAAAGTTTAAAACAGAGACTACCATTAATTATATATAGGCACATATGGTAAAATTATAGGTTAGTCAAGATACTGTGGTAACAAACTTCTGCACAATCTCAATGGCATAACAAAACAAAAGGCTTTCTTCTGATTCATGCTGCATATCCCATGCTGAAGGTAAGGAAGGAAGGACGTTTTGCTCATTATAGTCACTCTGAGACCTAGGTTGAAAGAGGTTCTGTTACTTCCCCAATTACTTTAGCACAGGGAAGTGTGAGCAGGAAATCACATGCTGGCTCTGAAATCTTTCACCTGGAAGGGATACATGTCATTTTCACTCTCACTTCATTCATCAACAAGCAAATCACAAGTCCACTCTCAACTTCAAAGAGGCACAGGTAAGTACTATCTTACCTTGTGCTCAGAAGAAAAAGAACAAGAATTTGTGAACAGCTTTAATGGCTATCAAAATGTAATTGCATAAATTGGAAAATATGCACCAAATTCATCAGTGCCTGCCCCTAGACAAGGAGGCTGGGAGGGAATGGAATCAGAGTAGTAGAAAGTGAATTTCATCTTTATCTGTAATGTTCCTTTTTACCATTTTTTTTGAATCTGAAGAAATTCAACAGATCTACATGAGGGCTCTAGCTATGTACATACTTTGTAAAGACAAAATATTACCATTTGATAATTTGGGAGTGGATGTGTACATAGTAATTACATTATCCTCCATAATTTATTTTTAGTCTCAAAAGGATGCTTTTAAACAGCTGCATATTACATGCACAAAAAGGAAATAATCTAGTTTTTTAATCTCACAGATATAAAACTAATACCCAGAAAACCTAAATGAGTTTCTCAATTTCCCCAGCTAAAGGTCAAGTCATACAGTCTATTCACTAAGTCCAGTAACATACAATTAAAATCGAGGAACTCTGAGCCTATGAAGAACATTCACTGTAACAGAACATTCATTATAAAAATTCATAAGTCTCTAGTAACACTATATTCATTTATGCAATTAATATTTAGGATACCAATATTACCTTCAGAAAATAGACAGTGTGGGTTACATTCGAATGATTTAAGGCTTAAAAATTCCATGATTAGCTTAAGCATGAAAAGACACTGAGCTTTTTTGTTCTATAACGAGTACAGGGAGAATCAAAATGAAATTAGACACTTAGAATAGAAATCTTACCTGTTCGTTTATTTCTGTCCACATAACAATATTTTAAGTCATAGTCTTTTAACAAATCATGAACTTCCTGAAAGAGAAAAAAACACGAATTCAGTAAACATACAAATGCAGTTACTAGATAATCTAGCTCTATTAGCCTACCACCACCACCACCATTACCACCACCATGTCCCATGTAAAAAAAAAAAATTATTTCATGGATCCCCATTACTTACTTAAATTAAAGGTCTTCCAGATTCCCCAGACATCCTACACAAAGCCCACATTCCTGCTCAAATGGAAGATTCACTATCTCACAAGTATACCATGCACTGTTCTCTTTCTACTCACACTTATTCCTTGACGTAGCAGGAGGCAAACATATCACTAAATTTCCCAAACTTTGCCTGAAATCACATGCATCTTTATGAAATCTCAGCTCAAATGTTCTTTCATGAAGTTGCTTCTCATAATTTTCCACAGAATGTGACCTCTCCCACCTTTATGCTAACAATGGTCATAACTTTATTTATGCCTCTCTTGTGGAAATAAGTATTATACTTATTTCTATTTCTGCATGCTATAGAGCTTTTAACAAGTAATACACCTGTAGATGCTTAGAGCACAAACGTAGAAAAAATAAATTGTAAAAAAATAAAAATAAAATAGATTGTAAACCTGAGCTTAGAGATCCCTGGATATGAAAAAAACTAACTACTAAGGCATAGCATGCAGTTCCATTTATTTCCCCTTGGCTCCCCAAGATGTTTAAACTGGTTTATGGTTCATTCTGCTTCTATTATTAACATAGCCTAAACTTTTTTTTTCTGATAGCACAACCTCTATCCACTTGGGTGCCCAAAAGAGTAGATTTCCTCTATTTCCCTAATCCTTTCTGTTAGACTGATGGTACTTAGAAACAGAAACTGCATTTTACATATTTATATACTACTTGCATTGCTTTGCATATCGTAGGCACTCAAACATACATTAGAGTGAATATAATTGTTTCGTTGTTAAATCAATATGTGGCCCTGAAAAATTTTACTCATAATACATAACAGATGCAGTTACAATATATTCAAAGGAACTAGACTCTCACACAGGTAGACATTCTGACTCCAGATTAGAGAGTTACAGCCAACCTGTTCTATACTGCAAATGAATATGCTAAATATACACAGGTGCTATTATGTTAAGTATGTAACCTAAAATGCTGAATTCAATAATAATCTTATTATTGCTATTATTATAGTTATCACAAGGTATCAGGCACTGAATTCACTTTTATTAAAAATCAGGAAAAACAGAGTAAAGTTGCCAAGGACATATAGCTAGTCACTTGCTGAGAGGAGATTCACTCTATCTGTCTGGCTCCAAGGATGACACTCAACCTCTATGCCATATTGACTTATTCATTCCAGCATTAACTTTAAAAACAGTACACTATCATTAACAGTTATAAAAACAATACCACGAGTGCCCTAATAAGTAATCATATGAGTAATATAGAAATGGATAATAAATAAGAAGACAGAAGTTGAAAAATATTCTCCCTTTTAATCCAACCCAAGAGGGAGAAAAGAGTGATATAATAGGCAAAGCATGAAAACAAAGCTGAGTGAAAAAAGGTAATCCTCTATGATATGAAAGATAAAGTTGATAATTTAGTATTCTTTATTACCAACCAGTATTAGAAATTTTTTAAAATACATACACTTACCAATTTTGTAAAATAGCATTTGGTGAATCATATGGTACTATGCTCAATTATAAAGATTAGTTTACATATTACTATGGTAATTTTTATCTTGTAAGCTTCAACATTTTCTTGAACTTACAAAAACATCTACTGTACTCTTCAATAAGAAAACATCACTGTCTCAGCAGCATAACATATGCATCTTGCCAATCAACGAATTTAATACTTTATATAGAAGGTGACACGGTTTTTTTGAAGGGATCCAGTGTGTGCTTTTAGTTGCATAGAATCTAATCTCTCATTTCACTGGTTAACAGCCATCAAATGCTAGATAAAGAAAACATGATACTGCTCTTCACATTATCAAGTATCTGTAAACAAATGACATGTTATGTTACTCATTCAGCTAAGAGAATTACCTAAGAGAGCTTAAGTATTCAAAGGTGCATTTTGCAACTTAGAAATGTTATGTTGAAAACACCCATATCTCTACTCATAGCTCTTCTATGTATCAGATGTGGGATACAGAGTTTGCCAACTGCGAAACCTTACAAAGCTTCCTACAAAGAAAAACCCAATTATTTTTCTCCATGCCCTGGTTGCTTTGACCCAGGCAAAAGTGGGTCATCCCTCAATTTGAGCCTTGGTAAGTTGGCCAAATTAAAAACTTAAAACCTGAAAGAGAGTCCCAATAACCATTTGCCAAAATAATTCTATGCTCCATCACACAGAACTAAAAGGACTAAAATTAGAGCCTCCCTATACTAACTTAGCTTTATAACATTTCCACTAACTTACTGATTTTAAGGAATAAAGTAGCACCTTTGATGAAAACACTTTGTCATCTGACTGCCAATGTCAAGTTAAGTTAATAAAAATTGGTATTAGATAGCTTTAGTAAACTATTTCCATACCAGATTCAGTGTCACCTGCTGAAGTGACAAGTTTTGCACATATGAAATGCTTTCTGGAGAGACGATCAATAGCTTCCATGGCAAAGCAGTCAGTCAATGACGTCATCACCCCACCCTCAACAAAAAAGTTAACCATTGTTCCAGCTGATCTAGACCTCCTTGATGAAGCATGGCCTTAGTTATAAACCTGAATTACATTGTCTTCTAAGCTCTTCACAGACTTAGTTTCAGTTTTTAAAAAAATGTTTTAAGAAATGTTTTCATAGATTAAAAAACACTACTTTTAAATTTCAGTGCTTTGGACTGGAAATGGAAGCACGTTTTTGTTCATTTTCTTTTAAAATTTTATGTAACTTGATAAAATGAAAAGATGAAACACCAAACACCAAACATATATTATGAGTAGTAATAAACAAAATAAATACCCAGAAACTCACTACCAAACTTGACGAGAACACTGACATTTGCATCCACCTCTGCATTCCTTCACTATCCCATTCCTCCACCTTCCTCCTCACATGTAGGTCTGTATCTGTATGTAGGCATGTGGCCCCAAACATTATATTGTTTTGTATTACTCATTTGTGAGTTTTATAAAATTGGTATTATGCTATTTTTAAACTTCTGTGCCTTGATTCTTAGACTCAATATTATGTTTCTAAAATTCACTCATTCCACCTGGCTGTCATTCATTTATTCACTGCTGTTTGCTATGCCATTCTGTGACTATAGTATAATTTATGTATCCATTTTACTATGACTGATTATTTGGTTTGTTTCCAGGTTGTTGTTCACTGTTTGAATTTTTAAAAAACTACCATAACATTCTTGTAAATTTCACTTATCCCCTTGCATTCATGTGCAAGAGCTCCTCAAGGAGAGAAATTCCTGTGGTGTACGTATGCATATGATCAACTTTATGAGGAAGTGCCAACTTGTTTGCCAGAATGATGTACCAGTGTACAGTCCCATCAACAGTAGATAAAAGTCCTGCTGATCCACTCCTTTCAATGCTTGGTGTTATCAGACTTAAGTTGTGTCAATTTAATGGATATAAAATTGTGTCTCATTGTGGCCTTAATTTCCATTACATGATTAATAAACAATGTAGGGCATTGTGATTATTAGTTTTATGTGTCAATTTAGCTACAGTGTCCAGTTATTTAATCAAACACTAATATAGGTGTTGCTATGAAGGTATTTTGTACATGTGGTTAATATCTATAATCAGTTGACTTGAGTAATGGAGATTATCTTATATAATGTTGGGGAGAGGAGGACTTCATCCAATCAGTTGAAGGCCTTATGAGCAAGAAGTGAAGTTTCCTGTAGAAGTTCTGCCTCAAGACTACAGCATTAACAGCTGCCTGAGTTTCCAGCCTGCTGGCATGCCCTACACATTTTGGACTTGCCAGCCTCCACAGTCTTGTGAACCAAATCCTTAAAATAATATATTCTGGATTCTCACCTTTTGTTGTTAACTGTATTATGAGTGTATTCTCCTACAGTGTGATGAGTCATTGTGTTTATTTGTGGGATTTTGGGTGAAGAGAAGTTTTTCATTTTAATAATATCAAATTTATCAATCTTTTTCCTTAAAATGTAGGCTTTTTGTGGCTTAAGAAGTCCTTTCCTAAACAAGGTCATAAAGGGATCTTATTTCATCTTTCAATCATTCTAAATTTTTTCCATTTACATTTCAGTTTTTAGTGAGTTTGGAGTTCATTTTTGTGTGCTGTTTTTTTTTCCCTTTTCCCATATGGGAAAATAGTTTTTTTTTTTCCTATATGGGTAATCAACTATTAGGACACCATAATTGTATTGTCCATCTTTTCCTCAATGATCTGCAGGGCTGTCTCTCTCATATATCAACTTCCAAGATATACATGGATATTTTTGTCTCTTGCTTCTGGTTCTATTGGACATTTTGCCTATTCTGTGCTAATATTATACTGTCCTAAATAAAGCTTTATAAACATTGATATCTGACAAAACAAATCCTCTTTTTTATTGCTGTACAATATTCATTTTGGAATATACAACAATGTAACTCATCTCCTGTTGATGGGAATTTGAACTGTTTCTAGTTTGGGGCTATCAAGAATGAAGCTGGGAGTATAATTGCTGAGTAGAATATACTAAGGAGTAGAATTGCTAAATTACATGGTAGGGGTGTGTGTGTGTGTGTGTGTGTGTGTGTGTGTGTGTGTATTTTTGTTTTTTTGAGATGGAGTTTCACTCTTGTCGTCCAGGCTGGAGTGCAATGGTGTGATCTCGGCTCACCGCAACCTCCACCTCCTGGGTTCAAGTGATTCTCCAGCCTCAGCCTCTGGAGTAGCTGGGATTACAGGTGCCCATCACCATGCCCAGCTAATTTTTGTTTTTTTTAGTAGAGACAGGGTTTCTCCATGTTGGCCAGGCTGGTCCTGAACTCCTGACCTCAGGTGATCCGCCCGTCTCAGCCGCCCAAAGTGCTGGGATTACAGGCGTGAGCCACCATGTCCGGCTGGTATATGTTTATCCTTAAGAGACACACCCAGTTTTCCAAAAATCTGTAACCAATTTGCACACTTATTGGCAGAATATGAGTGCCAATTGCTCTACTTTCTAGCCAACACCTGGTCTTGCCTGTCTTTTAATTTTGGCCATTCTGGTGGGAATGGTGTATCCAACTATGGCCTTAATTTGTATTTCTTTGACTTATAATGATATTACTGACCTTTTAATATGCCATTTGGATATTCCTTTTTTGTGAAATGCCTGTTGTAATCTTTCATCTATTTTTAACTGGGTTATCTTTTTTATTAACTCGTAGAATTTTTCTTTTTTTTGAGATGGAGTCTCGCTCTGTCGCCCAGGCTGGAGTGCAGTGGCATGATCTCGGCTCACTGCAAGCTCCACCTCCCTGGTTCACACCATTCTCCTGCCTCAGCCTCCTGAGTAGCTGGGACTACAGGCGCCAGCCACCTCACCCGTATATTTAGTAGAGACGGAGTTTCACCGTGTTAGCCAGGATGGTCTCGATCGCCTGACCTCATGATCTGCCCGCCTTGGCCTCCCAAAGTGCTGGGATTACAGGCGTGACCCACTGTGCCCAGTCAACTTGCAGAATTTATAAATTCTGGATATCAGTCTCCTTTGTCAAATATTGGTATTGCAAATATCCTCATCTAGCCTGTGGTTTGCCTACTGATTTATTAGTAATGTCTTTTTGATAAGAAGACATTAATTTTGCCAAAGTCCCATCTATCATATAATATCTTCTTTTCTGGTTAATGCCTTTTGTGACCTCTTTAAGAAATCTTTACCTACCCAAGGTCATGAAGACACTGATCTATCTTTTCTTCTGGAATGTTTATTGTCTTAACATTTACATTTAGACTATAAGCCATCTTAATAGAATATTTCTAAGTGGTATTAGGTAGGGGTCAAGGTTCAATTTTTTTGATTTGAATATCAAACTGCCCTAGCATCATCTGTTGAAAAGACTATTCTTTCTACTACTGAGTTGCTATATTCTGTGGGTTAATTTCTGGACTCTATTCTGTCCCACTAGTGTACTTGTCTAGTCACTGTACCAATATCACACTGAACAAATTATTTGAGCTTTATAGTAAGCTTTGAAATCTGGTAGTGTAAGTCTTCCAAGTTTTTTTTTTTTCAAAAGTATCTTGGCTATTCCAGGTCACTTGCATTTCTGTACAAATTTTAGAATCAGTTTTCATTAAAAAAAAAACCTACTAGGATTTTGAGTGGATTCCATTGACACTATAGATCAGTTTGGGAACAACTGACATCTAAATGATACTGAGTCTTCCAATCCACAAATGTGGAATGTTCTTCCATTTATTTAGGTCTTCTTAAATTCTTCTCTGAAATATTTATAGTCTTCAGTGTAGAGATTTCGCATATTTTTATCAGATTTTTTAAATTGCATTTGACATTTTTGATGTTATTTGAAGTCTATTTTTAAAATTTGACATTTAATTTTCTAGCAATTGCTAGTATACAGAAATATCATTTATACTTGTACATTGACCTTACAAGTATCAATCTTAGTAAATTCATTTAATTATTATCAACCTCCTAGGCTCAAGTGATCTTCCCACCTCAGCCTCCTGAGTAGCTGGGACTACAGGCATGTGCCACCACTAGGCCCAGCTAATTTTTTTTTTTTTTGGTAGAGACAGGGTTTTGGTTATGTTGCCCAGGCTGGTCTCAAACTCCTGGGCTCAAGCAATACACCTGCCTCGGCCTCCCCAAGTCCGGGGATTACAGGCGTAAACCACCGTGCCTGGCCCACTTATTTCTAATAGCTTATTTATAGATTCTTTTTTATTTTCTATATACACAATCATGTTATCTGCAAATAGACAGTTTTACATCTTTTTTTATATCTTTAAACTTTATTTATCTAGGTGTATTGTGTTAGCTAGGAATTCCAATACAGTCTTGAATAGCAGTGATCCCTGTATTGTTCCTAATCTCAGAAAGAAAGCTGTCAACATTTCACCATTGAATATGATTGCTTTTGGCTTTTCTAGATAATCTTTATGTCTGAAGAAATTCTTCTCTATTCCTGCCTGCTGTAAGTATTACGATGTATGAGTGTTAAATTTTATAAAGTGCTTTTTCTGCACCCATTGAGATGAGTTAAATCTCATCTTCATGATAGTTAATCTCCAAACTCTTACTTCCATTTCAAACTTCTCTCCCAAGCTCCAAGCCTATATATTCCCTTCTCCCTCTTTTGAAACTGCATTTGGATGTCCCACACCAGACAATGAATTTTGGGGGGGGCCCAACGCAGTCCTATCATATATGATGTTGGCTGAGTGGATGTGGTATCAATTTTATCTTGGCTAAATTTTTAACTGCTTTCAATGCAGGGTTTTGGCTGGAAAGTTCGTTTCAATACCAACTTTTTGCCAGGAGCACATTTTGACTTGGCCTAAAATAAATTAATAAACTTTCAGCTTTTTATTGGCAGTATAAAAAACAATCATTTACTGATTATTTACTTTATCCCAGGCACTTTATAGACATTATCTCATTTAATCCTAACAACCTTAAGAATTTGATTTTAAAGCTGGATTTTATCATCCAGATTTTAAAGATGAGAACATTGAGGCCTAGAAAAACTAAGTGACTTGTACAGACAGTTTGTGACACAGCTGTGATTCAAACCCAGTTGACAGACTCTACAGCAAACACAACTATACAGTGGTGTACCTTAAGAATTGCCATTACAAAAACAAAATCTATAAAATATTCATTCCCATCACATTCCTAAAGCTCACTGCATCACTGGCCTCCTAATCTTAGAATGGGAATTGGGGCCAAGAACAACATTTGGGATGTCTACCATGCAAATTCCTTGGAGGTAAAAGCAAAAACAATATAATTTTACTTTCTGACAGGTAGAAATCTCATTGCATCACTCCCTTGTTTAAATATATCCCATTAAATAAAATCCAAATTCCCTAACATGCCCTATACACTTTCAATCATCTAGTAATGCTAAATGTGCCAGCCCTATATTTTACCACTAACCCTATCAAACTCTATGCCTCAGCCACAGTGAACTAATTTTGGCCACGCTTTTCCTTGTCTTTAGGTCTTGGTACATCTTGTTACTAATGCCATGGATGTTCTACATCCCTTTCTTCCCCTTCTTTCCGTTAGCTACCATCTCTCTCCCCAGGACTCAGGTGACTTTCTCTGTCTTAAACTAAAGGTTCCTGAAACATACATCACCCAGAGATTCTGGACTCTGAAGTTGATCTGGGGTTGTCTCCCTTGGGAGAAGGGTTTGGAAAGAAAGGCACAGACTGCTCTCTTTCTAACGTGAGAGAACATATAGCTGAACACAGGGCTGCCCAATAACAACTATATTTCTCAGCCTTCCCAACAAGTAGCTTCCCAGCATGTGACTTAGGCTGTGGCCATGTGACTCCAGCCACTGAACCTCTCAAGTCTGGATTAGATATCTGTGTTTCCACAGGCTTTTTTTTTTTTTTTTCCACATCACAACCCTTACAGCAGCTATCATCCATATTTTAACTGCTTATATGCTTATAATTTTCATAAGATTGTAGGCAAGTATCACATATCTGCCTCATGCATAAACAGATCTCCAACATCCAGCACAATATCTAGCAGAAAGTAGACCTTTGATATTTGTTAAATATATGACATTTTGTTTCCATAGATTACCTTTATCAACTCTAATGCTGCATCTTTTTTTCTGAGATTATTTTACGACATTAACATAAACCAATATGTTTAGAGTGCTCAAAAAACCTGAAAATAGGCCGGGCACGGTGGCTTACACCTCTAATCCCTGCACTTTGCGAGGCCAAGGCGGGTGGATCATGCGGTCAGGAGATCGAGACCATCCTGGCTAACACAGTGAAACCCAGTCTCTACTAAAAATATAAAACATTAGCCGGGCGTGGTGGCGGGCGCCTGTAGTCCCAGCTACTCGGGAGGCTGAGGCAGGAAGATGGCGTGAACCCGGGAGGCAAAGCTTGCAGTGAGCCGAAATCGCGCCACTGCACTCCAGCCTGGGCGTTAGAGCGAAGCTCCGTCTCAAAAAAATAATAAATAGGCCGGGCGCGGTGGCTCACGTCTGTAATCCCAGCACTTTGGGAGGCCGAGGCGGGCGGATCACAAGGGCAGGAGATCGAAACCATTCTGGCTAACACGGTGAAACCCCATCTCTACTAAAAATACAAAAATTAGCCGGGCGTGGTGGCGGGCGCCTTGTAGTTCCAGCTACTCCAGAGGCTGAGGCAGGAGAATGCCATGAACCCGGGAGGCGGAGGTTGCACTTAGCCAAGATCGCGCCACTGCACTCCAGCCTGGGCAAAACAGCAAGACTCCGTCTCCAAAAATAAAAATAAAAATAAAATAAATAAAAATAAAAATAAAAAATAAAAAACCTGAAAATATACTTACACCTGAAAATATACTTACTGTACACTAACCTAATTTGTAACTCACTTCTTCAAAAGAAAATACTTACATAGCTCAAATTAATTAACATTACATATCTAACTATAAAAGGTTCTCCTTGAGCAGTTTTTGCTTGCAGACATCCCAAGAAAGAGGGCTTTAATCTTCAAGAGATAGATTTAGATAGTCATCCATCCAAAGAATAACCATACATAAATCACAATCTCTCCTCCAATATTTAAATATTTAATATGTAAATATTAAATATTTAAATATTTTTCTTTCAAATATCACCTGGATATACTGTATTAGTTATCTATTATTGTGCAACAAATGACTCCAAATTAAGTTGCTTAAAACAATACCTATTATTCTCTCATAGTTCTGTAGATCATAAGTCCAGGCAGGCCCCATTGGGTTTTCTGTTTAGGGTCTCCCAAGGCCAAATCAAGGTGTCAGGCAAGCTAGGCTCTTATATGGAGACCCTAAGGAAGAATACATTTCCACTCACTAAGGTAGTTAGCAGAATTTAGTTCTTTGTGGTATTAGGACTGAAGTCCCTATTTTCTTGCTGGCTGTCAGCTGAAGACCCTCTCAGCTCCTAGAAACTGCTTTAACATCCTTGCCCATGCCCACTCCATCTTCAGACCCAGCAACAAACAGCGAATCACGTCTTTCTTGTGCTTCAATCCTCGAATTTCCCCTAAGGCTTCCAGCCCAAGAAAATGCTCTGCTTTTAAAGGGCACATGTGATTAGATTGGGCCCACCTAGATAATCTCTGTTTTGTGTAACCCTAAATCAACTGATTAGTAACCTTAATTACACCTGCAAAAAAGTCCCTTTTTGCCATTTAACATAATCACAGTGTGATACCTCATTATAGTCAAAGTCCCATGGATTATGGTAGAAAATATGGGGGACCATTTTTAGAACTGTGGCTATCACAATTGCACAAATAATAGATAGCATTTACTGTACACTTACATGTACTTCACACAAAATATCTTAACTTAGTATCTTAGGTTTCAAAGCTCAAACATGGTGAGGAGGGCACTGTACATGAAGGAAGCCAGCAGAGTGTCAGAACCCAGGCAAGGTGATGGTGCCTTCCAGCTACTAGAGAAACCCAGTGCAGGAGGATGGAGCCTGAATTGGGTGAAGTGGGTATCTGTGGGGGGAATGGGGCAAGCATCTGCAGCGGTGATGGGAGATGCCTATGTAAATGGGGTTGATCAAATAAGTAAATAAAATAAGGATAATGAACACCAAACTTTTCACTTCAGATGAAAGAGTCACAAATACAGAATGGGAGAAAACTGGAATGATTAAAATTTAATGTATTGGTATGAACACATTACTTTCAATAGAAATATAAGTGTTTGTGTGTGTGCATATACACACATTTATATATTCTCTAGCTTTGTCTACTAAGAGGACCTGAGAGCACTGACACCCAATGGCAATGAGTATAGCTAGTTTCCAGATCTTGGTTTCTAGGTAGCATTTTCCCCCTAAAAGAAACTAAGCACTGTAATAGTCAGCTCAGGCTACCCTAACACACTACCACAGACTGAGTGGCTTAAACAACAGAAATTTATTTCCTCACATTTCTGGAAGCCAGAAGTCCAAGTCAAGGTTCCAGCTGATTCAATTTCTGGCTGGCTTGCAGGCAGCCACGTTATCACTATGTCCTCACATGGCCTTTCCTTGGTGTATGAGTGGAGAGACCAAGTTCTCTGCTATCTCTTCTTATAAGGACACTAATCCTATCAGATCAGGAACCCACCCTTATGACCTCATTTCATCTTAATTACTTCCTTAGTGGCCCCATCTCCAAATATAGTAACACTGGGGGTTGGGGCTTCAACATATCAATTTGGAGAGAGACACAAACATTCAGTCTAAAATAGGCACCTTCATGAAATGGCTGATTCTAGGGCTGGAGCACAGAAACTACAAAATAAGCTGCAATGTCCTGTTGTGTTGAAAACAAAGGACATACTCAGTGAATGCTGGGGACACGTCAAAAGGACATAGGACCCTTCCCTTAAGTGTATGCTGGAATTAATGT
Organism: Homo sapiens; assembly: GCF_000001405.40. Classification (NCBI taxonomy): domain Eukaryota; kingdom Metazoa; phylum Chordata; class Mammalia; order Primates; family Hominidae; genus Homo; species Homo sapiens. The sequence continues at coordinate 64,757,098 of NC_000001.11, read as the reverse complement.
ATTATTTCCAAAGAATAGTGAATGGGAAAAATAGTATCTTTACAGAGGAGTGACTTAGCAGACATCCCCTTAAGCAAATGATCAAGGTTAACATCACCAGTGGTAAGTCATGTTAATGTCATGTACCCCCTGATATGATGTCATCAGAAGCTACTTCACCTCTGTGGTATTCTTCCCCAAAACCTATAACCCCAATCTTATCTTGAGGAAAAACCTCCTACAAACCCAAATTAAGAGACATTCTAAAAGATACCCAAACAAAACCATCAGGGTCATAGACAACAAGAAAAGACTGAGAAACTGTAACAGAATGGAGACTAAGGAGATAGGATAACTAAATGCAATTATGTATCTCAGACTGAATCATGGAACTTAAGTGAAAAAACTAATGAAATCTAAAATAGAGTCTGTAATTTAGTTAAAATAATATGCCAGTGTTGATTTCTAAGTTTTGACTGATGTACATTGGTTGTATAAGATGTAACATCAGGGGAAACTGGGTAAGGGATACATGGGAACTCTATGTGTTATCTTTGCAACTTTTTCTGCTAATCTAAAATCACCCCAAAATAAAAAGCTTATTCAATAAGAAGACACAGGGGCCAATTTGAAGCTCCCACTCTCCAAATCTAAAACAAAGCATCGAAATAAGTAATGGTAGTAGGAATGCAGCATAACCCATTGAACTAAATAGGAAACCATGAGCCTATATTGCCATAAATAAATGAATAAACTGAATGCTTGAAGGGGAATAGGATATTTAAACAGTCTCAAAGAATTTCCCCTCAAAATCCTTATAGATTACAAGCAGAAAACTTTACATGGAGATGCCTGGCAGATACCACTTTAATCAAAGGGAATCAAAGTGATCAAAGTGAACTTTATCAACAATAGGACAAATGTAAAACATGTACCACCTTGTGATGTTCCTGCTAAAGACATAAAACTTGACTCTAATCATGAAGGAACACCATACGAACCAAAATTGAAAGACATTCTACAAAAAGTGCAATATATGATCTGAACTGAATTCTTTCACTGTAAAGGACATTGATGGGACAACTGCCAAAGCTTAAATGCATCTGAGGACTGGGAGGCAGTAGTGTGACTTTGAGGGTAGCATTGCAGTTATGTTGGAAGTTGTCCTAGTTTGTAGGACATACATAATAAAGTATTCAGGGTGGTTGGGCATTGGGTCAGCACTCTCCAACAGTTCAGGGGGAAAACATTCTTTACGCTATACTTAAAACATTTCTGTAAGTCTGAGATTATTTCAAAGTGTAAAACTTCCCAGATTCACATGTTCTTGCTTATTGCCATCACTTTCTACTCTAGTTCTGGCTACAAAAAAAAAAAAAAAAAAAAAAAAAAAAACTATGAAGCATAAAGTCAGAGAAATGGAGATTACTTTGGAATCGAAAGCAAGTAGTTAAACTGGTAGGGTAATAGAATATCCAAAGTCCAGGAAATAAAGGCAAGCCAGGAACTAAGAGCAGATAATCACTGCAGTGGGTTGAGGAAAGATATAAAAAGCAATTGTCTAAGGGTAGAGCAGATAGGGTGGGGTACGGTAGGGGCAGGAGAGAGTAGCAGGAAGAGAGACAATGAAAGCATGTACAAATACAGAGTCAAACAAATTTCAATGAATCTAATGCTATTTTTGGCATTCATATGGAAATAAAAGTTAAACAGTAAGTCTCAAACACACAAAGAAAATGCCTTAACATAGGGAAGTGGGAAATAAGTTTACAAACCTAAAGATAACAGTAGTAAATAAACATAAAATTAAGCTCCAAATACCTAGAAGACAAGTTTAGGGGCTCACAATGAGTTGCACCCCTAAAATCTAACAAAAGAGAAACTTATTTTCTTACTAAGAAATCAGGATACTTATTGTGAAGACATTAAACAGAATGGATAATATTCTTGATTTGTTTTAAAGAAAAACATTCTTTGTATCAATGTTTGACTTTTAATAAATGTTAAGGAGGAAATATTACATTGTAACTTCTTGAAAACCTCTTTAAAAATTTACTTTGTTGAGCATCCACTCTGGGCCAGGCACAGAACCTAAAATGTCAGTTGTGGGCTGCTGAGTGACTAGAGAGCAATAAGCTTTTGCATCAAACATGAAGTCGCATGGTTGATTTGTTTAAAAAGAAAATTATTGAGCCTGATTTATATTCTTGCCCAGATAAAGGATCACTACCCAAACCCTCATGCATAAACGTGGCCTACAGAAGTTTCTGATGAAAACTCTACTGAAGCAACAGCTTTGGATCTGCCCAAATGGTCCCTACTCAGGTAAAGTCCCAAAGACATGACTAAAATTTTGTTGACCTGCAACAGCACTTTTCAACCTAGGGTCTACAATCCCCTAATGAAATCAGGGATAAGCTATAAGAGATCCATACCCCCTTGAAATAATATGCAAATTTTGTGTGCTTATGAATATTAGCACTTTCTTGGAGGGTTTACAGCTTTCAACAGACTCTTAAGCCATAAACAGTTGACTGATTGAATAATTATAAGTGAATGGAGAGAGTTCCCTGCCAAAAAAGCTAACAGAGTGGTACATTGCAAAATTTATTAACAAATCAATCCTGAGAGTGTGCCGGGGGTCAGACGTCTCAATGGAAATATAGCATTTTAGAACAAGGTAGGTGGGTAGTCCGCTTCTTTTACATTTCTCTTCAAACAATGTGTCAGTTTCTAGGTTACAGGTTGAGGATACAAAGGTAAACACAACATGATCCTTGCCCTTTGAAACACTAACAATATAGCTGCATAGAGAGGAATTATAATACAATGGGAGATAAGGATATAAGCTTTGGAATCAAACAGAATTGGTTCTCCACTCTACCACCAATTAGCTGAATGATCTTGGGCAAATTGTTTGACATTAATTTTGCATCTTTGTTTCTCTAGCAATCAAATGGGAATAAGAAATTCCAATCTTATAGTCTTAAAATGAGGATTAAATATAATATTAAACAACTCTAAGTATGGTGCCTGGCAATGGTAGGCCCCCAAAAAACAAAGGTTATTATTATTATAGACATCCAGAGGAAAGAGAAATTTGTTCTGGCTGGGGATTACAGGGAGATCTCAACTAGACTACCATACTCAATTTTGGGTACCATATTTTAAAAGATACAATGACAAAGTGGTAATGATGTGTATTCAGAGAAAAATAAATGAGATGGCGAGGAAACTTGGAATCATGTCCTAAAAACTAGTCATTTGAAGGAATTTAAGTTATAAGTTAAAAATGAGAGGCCGGGCACGGTGGCTCACGCCTGTAATCCCAGCACTTTGGGAGGCCGAGGTGGGCAGATCACAAGGTCAGGAGTTTGAGACCAGCCTGACCAACATGGTGAAACCCTGTCTCTACTAAAAATACAAAAATTAGCCAGGTGTGGTGGCGGGCGCCTGTAATCCCAGCTACTCGGGAGGCTGAGGCATGAGAATCACTTGAAACTGGGAGGCGGAGGTTACAGTTGCAGTGAGCCGAGATCACTCCAGCCTGGGCAACAGAGTGAGACTCCGTTTCCAAAAAAAAAAAAAAAAAAAAAGAATTCTATACATTGCCAGAGGGTAGACGTTGGATCAAGACTTCAAGTGAATACATTGTATATATTACACATAAATAAGACCTTTATAACAAAGAAAGCTGTCTGAAGATGGAATAGGATACCTTATTTGTGGGGATTTCTTTGAAACAAAAATATTTTTTTTAAAAAAAGCCAGACATGGTGGCTTACACCTATAATCCCAACAGTTTGGGAGGCCAAGCAGGGCAGATTGGTTGAGCCTAGGAGTTTGGGACCAGCCTGAGCAACATGGCAAAATCCCCTCTCTAGAAAAAAATTCAAAATATTAGCCAGCATGGTTATATGCATCTGTGGTCCCAGATACTCAGGAGACTGAGGTAGAAGGATTGCTTGAGCGAGGAAGGTCGAGGCTGCAGTGAGGCATGATTGTGCCACTGTACTCCAACCTGTTAATCTGGGATACTATTGGTTGGTAGTAACAAAAGATCCAACTTGAAATAAGTGAAACAATAAAAGGGATTTAGTGGCTTGCATATATATGAAGTCCAGAGGCAGGTTAAGCTTCAGATATAGTTCGATCAGGGCTCCAGCTCAGCTTCTCTACATTTCCCCTCCAAGGTCAGTCCTCCTTTGCATGTCTGCTCCCTTAATGACTGTCAGCTGCAGCCAGAGCCATATGTCTCTGCATTCATATCCAGCAGAGAGAAAGAGATTCACTTACTTTAACAACCAAACACAAGTCCTAAGTTTGTCTGCTAAGCCAGGCTGAAATAATCACTATGACCAAGGGGCTATCATGTATTGATGGGCTTTGGTCCAGGTTATTGCCCGTCTTTAACCAATCCCTCTCGAAAAAGGGAAGAACTGTGTTCTTTGGTTTATGTCACCCCTACAGATGGGGATAGAGATGAAATCCACCCAAATCATACAGTTGCTAAAAAAGAGGTAGGTCTTCAAGGGGAAATCTGGGTGTAATTAGGACAGGCAAGAGGAAGAAAGGCAACTGAGTAGGCAACAGAATCAGGGCCCCAGCAAGTAACAGAAGGCACACTCAGAAACTAACTGGGGAGAACTTTTAAAAGAGACTATCTACAAAGATTTGAAGAAATCCTAGGCTAGCAACATTCCTGTACTCCTCCTGGACCCAAAGAGACAAGAAGAATGGTTATGATAACCAGGAGAGCTGGGTGGTATGGAGGGAGCCACTGGATAGAAACCGACTTTTAAAGAGGAAGCAGCCAACCCACAGTCACCTGTGAATAAATGCTGGGTGAATAAATGCTCCTCTCCTCAACCCTCTGATCCCCCACTAGTGGCTCTGGCCAAGTGCAACCATAAAACAGAGGATAAGAGAGAGCCTTGTTGGTGCAATCCACAGTACAGGTTAGCCTCCCTGGATAAGGAGTGGGTGAGAAGGGTCGAGAATAGATCTGGAAGAGCAAATGGAAGCTATTCAGCACAACCACCAAGGGCTATCCTGCCCATAATCATCAGCCAAAAAATATACAGTACTGTATAGCCAAATGTTCTAGGTGATCTGATCTTCCGACTTCTCACTTATTACCCCTCTCAGTTCATACTATCTCCTTAGAGTCAGGCAATTGTGTAATTAGGCAAACAAAATACAAACAGCCGAGACACATGATAAGCAATTTTAGGATTTAAAAATATATAAATAATTTTATTTACATTTTAATATTCCTTGGTTTGCCTGTTTTAGCTGAGCGAGGAAAGTTAAGCATAAAGCTTTTTTTAAAAAAATTAAATTAAAAATTAAAAATAAATTTACAAAATAAAGTAAAGATTTTAAAAAAATCAAGGCTGGGCTTGGTAGCACAGGATCTGAGGCCAGGAGCTTGAGGCCACAGTGCAGTGCACTATGATTATGCCTGTGAATGTGTGAATAGCCACTGCACTCCAGCCTGGGCAACATAGCAACATCCCGTATCTAAAAATGAAAAACAAAAACTTTTTGTCCATAAGGAAAGAAGAATAAGTGCAAATAGAAGAATCAAGAGACAAAACTCAGGTAGTTAGTAATAGGAACCCCTTTTGCAGTAACAGCCTTTGATCAGAGTTGACTTCATTTAATGCTTCCCTGATCTGAGTCTTGTTAATTCAAGGAGCAATTTCCTTAAATTCCCTTCTTCCTGAGCTTTTGCCATAAGATGCAGGAGTACCTACTGATGATTTGAAGCTGGGAGAGTTTCTGCTCCTGCACAAAGCTGGAGCTTTGTTAGATGTTGTCGTACTACTTAGTGTAATCTTACACTTAATAAACAATCATAACTTAAATAGAGGCTAAAATGCTAACCTGAAAACTAAATACCATCTACTATATTCTTTCTATGTGAAAACATGTCACAAGTTCAAAAAAGAATTTCTAAGCATAACCCAGTCATTAACTGGGAAATGGGCTATAGATTACATGAGATTTCTTTGGAATGGCTGTTAACACAGCATTTTGATGCTAACCACAAAGTATTCCTCCTCTTCTTGAATGTGTTTTCATAGCAGAGAACTGCATTTCTCAAACACTTTTCAAGAATTTCTTCCAAAACTAGAAACTTAAGGAGACAGTGGTGTCCCAGAAATCTAGAAGTACATTTCCCTAGCAGCTTTCAGTGTTCTTGTTACATTGAGAATAGGATAACAAAACACATGAAAAAGAAGTAGAACCCATAATTCAATTCTGTTTAATTGCATTAGAAAAGAAAATTTAATAGATAATTTTTGCACAGCATACACTAAGAAAAGTAACTTTTGGAGGTAAGCAATGGCATTTTGATTTTAAAGAAAGGATAATTTCAAAAAGAGAAAACACCCCAATATTGTCAGGAAAAAAGTAGAGAATAATAGCCCTATTTTAAAAAGAGGCAATAATTACCAAATATATTGTTAGAGAAAACAAAGTACATTTTTAAATCCCACAGTTAAAGGACATAAAATATGTAAGATAATTCTTTTTTATACTGATGTATAAACAGGAATACGTAGCTTTTATAAATAAGATTATGACCAGCCTGGGCAACATAGAGAGACCGTGTCTCTACAAAAAATTAAAAAATATTAGCTGGACACAGTGGTGCATGCCTATGGTCCCAACTTCTCAGATGGCTGAGATGGAAAGATCACTTGAGCCCAGGAGTTAAGGCTGCAGTAAGCTATGATCACACCACTGCACTCCAGCCTGGGAGACAGAGAAATCTTGCTCTGTCTCTTTAAAAAAAAAAAAAAGAAAAGAAAAAGAAAAGAGAAAGAGCAGAAAAAAATTTAATTACGAAAAAAGATTAACTAGAGTTTCTTACATTTGGTTGTTTGTGATTCTAAAAAGTGCTTACTTGGTAATATTATGGTTTCAAATGGGTCTCTGTAAATAAACCATCAAGCTTCTCAAATTAACTATCATATTAGAGTACTTTGAAATGTAAGTTTATAATATCCAAAGTGACAATAGAATGTTTTGTTTCCTCTATTACTGATCCTGAATGTTGGCCCTAAGCACTTCACATTGTCTTCTAATTTCACAAGAGACTCTCTTCAAGATTTTAGGGTAAACAAGATGACAAAAACAAAACACATGCACACACATAAGACCTGTAAGAAAAAAAACCTAAGTGAACACAAATAATCTAAGAAGCAAATGCCCCTGTTTTCTCCATTTTGAAACCCCAATGACAACAATATTGAAACAGAACCAGGTTAACCGTAATACAATTTATAGAAATACAATAACACATATATTAGAAAAAATATTAAAACATTACCTCAACCAATCAAAATTCTAAATTCAGTTGCAAAAGACCAGACACACACATATACAATGGCTATGAATAGGAACCAGCATTTGCAACATTACTATTGACTATAAATTATTCATTAAAAATAATTATAAATATTATTCACTATAAAGTACTCACTATAAATACATTCCAAAACAAAGATATAACTATAAATATTCAATTCACAGTGGCATGAGGTACTTGGGGATCTAGGTAGTTTGATAAATGTGGAATAGAATCCAATGCAGGACTGGCCGGGCACGGTGGCTCACGCCTGTAATCCCAGCACTTTGGGAGGCCGAGGCGGGCAGATCACCTGAGGTCAGGCATTCGAGAGCAGCCTGGCCAACATGGTGAAACCCTGTCTCTACTAAAAACACAAAAATTAGCCGAGCGTGGTGGCACATGCCTGTAATCCCAGCTACTCGGGAGGCTGAGGCAGAAGAATCGCTTGAACCCAGGAGGTGGAGGTTGCAGTGAGCCGAGGTCACACCACTGCACTGCAGCCTGGGCGACAGAGTGAGAATCCGTCTCAAAAAACAAACAAACAAACAAAAAATCCAATGCAAGACTAATCAGAAATGAACAGAATCCAATGCGGGACTAATCAGAAATGAGACTGATGGCTGGGTGCAGTGGCTCACACTGTGGTCCCAGCACTTTGGGAGGCAAATGCAGGAGGATTGCTTGAGTCCAGGAGGTCAAGACCAGCCTAGGCAACATAGAGATACGATGTCTCTACAAAAAATTAAAAAAAAAAAAATTAGCCTGGCATGGTGGCTTATGCCTGTAGTCCCAGCTACTTTAGAGGGTGAGAGAATCGCTTCAGCCTGGAAGGTCAAGGCTGCAGTGAGCAGTGATCGTTCCACCGCACTCCAGTCCAGGTGACAGAGCAAGTCCCTGTCTCAAAACAATAAATAAAAACTAAAAAGGAATGAGACTGGAAACGTAGGCAGGGGCCAACACACAAAAAGCCTAAGAATCTTAGACTGCTGTCCTATCATTTCATGCTTTTCAAACTCATATCTGTGTACTCCATGGTAATACAGAAATACAGAGAATCAAAAGTCAAATATAGTACATTTTCCATAAGTGTCAAGTTTATGAAAAAAAATTGGGAGTTAAATGCTATTTTTGTGTTAAATCCAATGTTACTAATAGAATATAAAATTAATATAAAATTCTCAGACAGAACACAAAACTTCAAAGCAATTTCAGTCTTGCAACAGTCTAATTCAGATTCACTGTTCTTTACTGTTAAGGACAATTTGAGGAAAAGTTTGAGAGGACGTGCAGCCAAAGGCTGGTTTTTTATGAGCAGGAGAGTGACATGATCAGATTTGTGCTTCAGGAGTATCCCTCAAGGGAAGTAGCATGCAGAAGGAGCTAAAATGTAAGAAACAGGACAGTAATGAAGGTAGGTGACAAACCGAAAAGTTGTTAACAGTGAACAAGAGACGAAAAGGACTTGAACCAGAGCTGAGGCTGTGAAAACAAAGAGGGCCAGGAAGATTCCAGAAAGCTTAGGCAGACCAGACAGGGCTTGACTGAATGCACAGTAATTATTCAGTGAGAAAGCTTTTGAGAACTTAATATAAAGGTGTTCACTTTTTTTTAGAGCCGGTACTTCTATAAGGTATTTGATAAACATACCTCTAAAAGCTTCCAGTTAAAAATACTTTCAGTATGCCTTTTAATTATAGGAACTATAAAGTTGTGGGATGCTATTATAAATCTGCTATACCAAAAATAAAACAAAATTTGAGATTTATGAAAACTACATTTAATAAAGAAAACACTCATATATTTCAAATGTTAAGAAAAAATTATTGGGTTTCTACTAGTAAGTTATTGATCAGTATTTTCTAGAGACATAAATACACAGTTTGAGAACTAGAGTTATGAATGTCTTTGATCCTTAAAGTGATATTCTAAAATAAAGAAATGAGGCCAGGCACAGTGGCTCACACCTGTAATCTCAGCACTTTGGGAGGCCGAGGCGTGTGGGATCACCTGAGGTCAGGAGTTCAAGACCGGCCTGGTCAACATGGCAAAACCACATCTCTACTAAAAAATACAAAAATTAGCCAGGCATGGTGGCAGGCTTATGTAATCCCAGCTACTTGGGAGGCTGAGGCAGGGAGAATCACTTGGACCTGGGAGGCAGAGGTTGCAGTGAGCTGAGGTCGCGCCACTGCACTCCAGCCTGGATGACAGAGCGAGACTCTGTCTCAGAAAAAAAAAAAAAGAAAGAAAGAAATGAATGAATAAACACAGTCTCTTCTGGAAAAGAACAAGAACTTAGTATTTCAAAAATATCTGATTACTTAATAATTGAACAAAAGCCATATTAACCATTTCATAAGGGTAAATATGTAGTTTTAGCACAGGTGATTTTATGTAGGCCTTACTAGCAAAAAGACACAAAATAAAATAAAGTGAAACTTTCATCAGTAAGTTGACAGTAAAATATAGTCACTAAGAAAAAGCAGACATTATAATTAAGGGAAATTGTTAAAACAAAAAATACAAAAAAATTCATGCAGAACATATGAAAATATTAGTTTAAGTAGATGAAATCTCAAAAATACAAATCCCAGTGTAATTCTGAGAAAGCTTCTATCACTAATTAAAACTGCTCCTTTTATTAGACCCTTTGATATATTTTTCATGTCTATTGCGAAGGGAAATGAGAAAGATACCAACAGCAAAGCAAGAATAGACAGAACGTCTTCAATTTGGGGTCTAAATATATTTAGAATTAATGCAAGGAATTGTGATAACAAAAACAGCTGACATTCTACAAAGACATTGAGATACTTCTCTATTTCTCTCCTCCTAGACTGTCTATACAAAGAGCTGCTATTTTTTAAATTTGTTTTTTTAAAAAATGCCATCTGCTTCTTCCAAGCCTCCTCCTTCCTGAGCTCCCTTACAGTCCTCTATTTGTATGGGCAGGGGAGGCTGCTTCCAAGAAATCAGTCCATTGCAGGTGTCCTTAACAGGTAGTATCACAAAACATTACCTGACAGATGGGAAGTGGACCATGGCGGAATGGAAAGAGTTGAAAGACAGATGAGATAAACAATACTGACAGACACTGCATTTTGAAACAAAATAGCCCCCCATGCCTACGGGTTATAAGGTTATATGTTCATATTTATTGTGAATGGCTATGTAAGGTCTCATTACATAGTAATGGGGCATTGGTCTCATTATTTTATAAGTCACATGGAAGAACTGCCATGCAATTGTCAATAGCCAGCCCTCTTGCAATTTCATGCATCCGGTTACAGGAGGAACTACAAATCCGCAACTACCAGGACAGCCCACCACACTCGGAGCAGTATATAAATTCAGGTTATATGTGAAACATGTGTGAACATCCAGACAGCTAAGAAATCCTGAAGAATCAAAGAAATGATTTCAAGCTTTTGATAAAACAAAAATATATATGCATAGGAAAAGAGAAAAGAACAACATCCCAGGATAACAATGGTTATCTTCAGGTATCAGAAATATGGGTAATTTCTGTGTCCCCTTTGTGCTTCTCTGTCTTTCCTAGCTCTCCTACAATGAGCATGCAGCTTTTGAAATCAGGGGAAAAAAAAAGTTAAATAGATGCAGAGTTTCTAATCTTAAAAGCAACAGTTAATCTGGATTAAATACACAGAGTAGCTATCTTTAAACCTCATCCAAGTCACTGAGAACAAACCCTCCAGTACTGTACTTGGCGTAGCAGGAGGCGGCTGCAAGGCTCCAAGGAGCGCAGCAATAACTCTATTCTGGGGCCTTAGCAAACTGAGAAGACAGAGTTGTTTCATAGAAACTTGGGCAAGTGCTTCTGCAACAACAGCGAAACTCACTCCCAGCTCTCTCGTGCCCCTGCCCCCTATGGCACTCCCGAGCACCGGGGACTATACGTTGGAGCCCTCGCCCCTGCCAAGGTGCTCCCGAAGCTTCGGCCCCCTCTACCCCCGCTCCCCCCCGCAAAATGTGTGCTCCACAACTCACCTCCACTCTCCTTCACCTCCTACTCCTCTACGGCCGTAGGGGAAGGAAAGACCGGGCCGAACTTGGAGGCAGCAGCCCCTGATTCCCGTGACCTTGGAGAAGCCGCTTCGCCACTCAGAGCCTCAGTTTCCCAATCTGCCCCCCTCCCTGGCAGGGCGTCTGCAGGCTAGAAACCCCAAGAACTCAGTCAAACCGAGGGGCCGCTCTCACCACTCGGCGCCGACCCACTCCCCAGGACCGCTCTGAGGCGCCCCCGATCCCAGCCTGGACACGGAGCGCCGCCCCGCCGCCCCTCGGGACGCGTCGCCCCTATCACCGTCCCAGTACCTGGCAGTTGCTGTCCTGGGGCAGGTTTTTCACCAGGATTTTCCTGCGGTTGCTCAGCTCCCGCTGCATCCGCTGCAGTCGCGCGGCGACCTCCTCAGGGTGCAGCGCGGCGGGCATCGGGTCCGGGGCGCCCTCGTGCGCTTCGGCTGAGGGGCCCTGCCCGCGCAGCCCCGGCCCCGGCCCCAGCCCCGCCGCGCTGCCCAGGCCCGCGCCCCCCTCGCCGCCGCCGTCTCCCGCCGCCGCCGCCATCTTCCCGGGCGCCCAGCGGCTGCGGACTCCTCGGAGGCTCCAGGGGAAGCGGAGAGAGAAAGCGGGAGGAGGCCCGGGCGAGGGCGAGGCGGGCAGAGGCCGCAGAGTGGGCCCAACCGCGGGGAAGGGGGGCGGTGGGAGGAGGGAGTAGAGAGAGGCGGCGCCGCAGCCAGCAGCCTGCTGGCGGGGAGAGGAAACCTGAGGCGCCGAGGAGGAGCCCGAGAACCACCTCGCGGGAACCTCCCCCGCCGGCCCCCGGCCCCGGCGCACAGGCGCGCCCGCGCCCGCCTCTCGCGGGTCCGCAGGCGGGGCCGGGCGCCGCCACCCGGACACCTGTGAGGGCGCGGACGCGCAGGCGGGCTCCCCCTCTCTGCGAGGCCTTCGCGAACGCCCAGGGTCGTTCTCTGGGGGATGCGGCCCCTTCGCGGTGGCTTCGCCGGGAGACTCAGCCCCAGGCGCCTGTCCCCGGCTGGCCCCCCATGTGACGCCGCAGCTCTCCCCCGGCTCCCCTCGAAACTCCCGCGCTGGGGCGGCCCGGGGGCTGCGGGCGCGAACTCGGTCTTCCCACACCCGAGATGGGGCTGGAGGGGTGGCAGGAGGGCGCCTCCTGCAGCCCGGCTGGCTCCCGATGGTAACCCTTCTGTTGGTTCAAGAAGAGCATATTTGGCAAAGTTTGAGTTTACAATGAGATTTTCTGGGGAGTAAAAAGAGGGACATTGTGGGAGAAATGTTATGTATTTGGTAAAACCTGATCGTAATGTATTTTGCTAGCTGTGTATGAGAAAGCCTGTGCCCTTCACCTGTCCCTCTGTCCCTGTCATGCAGTTCCTAAAATGTAAAACCTGGGTAGTTGGGTCTGCAACATGGAAAGTGATGCTGAAACAAAGACTAGAATGGAAAAGGAGCTGTGGCAGAGGGGCTGGAGAATACGCTGCTTGGAACATTATTTTAATTGAAACTTGGAGGGAGAGTTACAGTGTAGAACTATACTTAGTCAAACGGATGTCATCAGATCAAACAATCCAGCAGCCTTTGGCACTAGCCCAGGTGACCATCAGCGAAGGGGACCATGCATCTTAATTGTGTAGCATGCAAGTACACTAGCAAAAAAAAAAAAAAAAAAAAAAAAAAGACTTTAACACTAATTAAAAGAAAAACAAAATGTTTTAAAGATTTTTTAAAAATACTACAAATTCAGTCCTTACCATGTGCTCCCCCCAACCACGCATTTCTAAATGCTTTACATATACATATTTATTTACTCTTCATGATCATTCAATTACGTAGGTTTTGTTTTCCTCACTTTACACGTGAGGAAATGGGATCTGTTCTGATTGATTCCAAAGCCCAGTGTTCTGAATAACATAAAATAATTCACCCGTAATCCGTCCACCCAAAAATAATGGCTGCTAATACTTGTATCATTAAAATGATATTCGGCAATACACCCTTCTATACCACCACTATTCCTGGTAACCAAAGGATAGAAACAACCCAAATGTCCATTTATTGATGAACAGATAGGCAAAGCGTGGGATATATATATGCTAAGAAATATTTTTAGCCATAAAAAGGAATTAAGGACCCCTACAAGGTGGACGAACCTCCAAAGCATTAAATGAAAGAAGCCAGAGACAAAAGGTCATATATTGTATGATTCCATGCGTATAAAATATCAGAATAGGTAGATTCATAGAGCGGAACACAGATTGGTGTTTACCAAGGGCTGGAGGAGAAGGTAATGGGTGCAAACATCCTTATGGAATGATGAAAATCTAGTTTTGGAACTAGACAGAGGGGGCAGTAGCCCAATAATATGAATGTACTAAATAGTCACTGAACTATTCACTTTTAAAATATTAATTTTATTACGTGACTATTACTGCATAAAAATGTTTTTGAATGATATTCTGTAGTTTACAGCTCTGTTTTCTGCTTTTTACAGTATGTCTGCTGAATCCCTTTCTATGCCAATGTATTTGAATACCATGGTTTTTATGGCTGCATATTATTCTGTTGAATTAGAAAATTCACTTATTTCCTAGCATTAGTATTTCCTATTATTTTTATCTATTGTAAACAGCACTGAGTTTAACCCTCTATACATATTTGAAGATCATTACTTTTCCACAGAGTGAAGAACTAGAAGCAAAATTTCTGCATCTAGAGTAAGCATATTTAAGGATTTTTTGTATGTATTTACAAACTTACCTCAGTTTTCCCTATCACAAGCATTGTATAAGAGCACTTATTTCTCTGCTTGCATCCATGATATTCTAGTATTAATGTATCATTTTGCTTTTAAATTGTATTCCTTTGATTTTAAAAGGTATACATTTTAAACTCCAATAAGGCCCTATTTTGTAGAGCTGAGAGACTTTGAAAAGTACATTCTTTGAAGTGAAGAAGCATGAATAGCCTTAGCATAGGCTGTAACCTTGAGTCATTCATTATGTTTCAGAACATGTATTTATCCAAATGAGTACCACCTCCTTGGCAAACATTTATTAAATGTCCCTTATGTGCTAGATAATATATAAAGGCAATAAGAAGACAGAAATAGTAAAATAATGCTCCTGTACAATAGGGGCTAAGTCTCACTGAGAGAAAATTATGCAATGATTATAATTAAATATAATAAATATGCAAACGGATAGTGGTCTGAATATAACTTCAGTGATTGCTTTTGCTCAAAACATTCTCCAAAGTGCTTTTTTTTTTTCTTTTGTGACGGAGTCTTGCTCTGTTGCCCAGGCTGGAGTGCAGTGGCGTGATCTTGGCTCACTGCAACCTCCGCCTCCCAGGTTCAAGCGATTCTCCTGCCTTACCCTCCAGAGTAGCTGGGACTACAGGCGTGTGCCACCAAGCCCAGCTAATTTTTTGTATTTTTAGTAGAGACGGGGTTTCACCATGTTAGCCAGGATGGTCTTGATTTCCTGACCTCATGATCCGCTCGCCTCGGCCTCCCAAAGTGCTGGGATTACAGGCGTGAGCCACCACGCCCAGCCCCAAAGTGCTTTTTTGGAATTGACTTTATAATCTACAGCAAATTATTCTGCATAGTTTATGTGGTAGCAAATACTCACCTCTTAGAGATGGGTTTAATTTTTGGAAATAATTAAATGTTATTTGAGGTTAAGTCTGGTGAATGAATCAGGTGTTGATTATGTTTTGGGAGTTATGATAATGTAATTCCAGTTTTGGCCCCAATGGGGACATGATTACAATGTTATCAAATTATTAAGCCAATTTTATTAAGTGGCTACTTTGAATTGATCCCACTCCTTGTGCAATATTGCTACGTCGTATAGGGTAGTGGCTTTCAAACTTTTTTGACCCAATCTAGTGGGAAATATATGCCACAGTGGGAAATATATTTTATATCACAATTTAGTAAACACACACACAATCGAAATGAAGATTTCACAAAACATCACGCTCCTTCATCATGTAGCACATTCTAGTATTTCCTATTCTATTCCATTCCATTTTAAAATTGCTTGAATTACACAGTCGATTTTGCATATCACTAATGAGTCCTTACTCACATTTCGAAAAACACTGCCCTAGATTTCAAATCAAGTATGTTTTACATTTGCTCAACTGTTTTCAAGGAATTAAGGGAAATGGCAGAATCTACTGGTTAAAAATAATTTTAAACTGAATTAATTGTTATTGCCACATAAAAGAACTGGATGGAAACTGCAAAGACTTTGGAATGCTACTGTAATTCCAAAGAGTTCCTCTCATGCCAGGTTTAGCCTGACTCTTTAAATAGCTGCTTCCATGGCATACTAAAGGAACACTCTAATCTGAACTTGAAGTGAAGTACAATTATCAAGCAGCAATGTATTTACCAATACCCACAGGTAATTATCATGATCTATATAATGACCATGTTATTAAAATATGAGCCCTATGCTAGCTTTAGCCTTTATTTTTTTAAATATTGGTGGTAATTTTTTAAAGTTTATTTATTTATTTATTTTTTTATTATTCTTTAAGTTTTAGGGTACATGTGCACAACATGCAGGTTGGTTACATAAGTATACATGTGCCATGTTGGTGTGCTGCACCCATTAACTCATCATTTACATTAGGTATATCTCTTAATGTTATCCCTCCCTCTCCCCCCACTCCACAACAGGCCCCAGTATGTAATGTTCCCCACCCTGTGTCTATGTGTTCTCATTGTTCAATTCCCACCTATGAGTGAGAACATGTGGTGTTTGGTTTTTTGTCCTTGCAATAGTTTGCTGAGAATGATGGTTTCTAGCTTCCTCCATGTCCCTACAAAGGACATGAACTCATCATTTTTTATGGCTGCATAGTATTCCATGGTGTATATGTGCCACATTTTCTTAATGCAGTCTATCATTGTTGGACATTTGGGTTGGTTCCAAGTCTTTGCTATTGTGAATAGTGCCGCAATAACATACATGTGCATGATTTATAATCCTTTGGGTATATACCCAGTAATGGGATAGCTGGGTCAAATGGTATTTCTAGTTCTAGATCCCTGAGGAATCACCACACTGACTTCCACAATGGTTGAACTAGTTTACTGTCCCATATTGGTAATTTTTGTGTATTTTTAAAGTTCTGCAGGTGGGGAAAATGCTAGAAATGTTTACTAAGTCTCAGTTTAATAATAATAGTAATAACAACAGCTTCTTGTATCCAAACTCTTATGCTTATGTGATATGATAATATGATGAAAATAAGTTAAGTATGTGAAAAGACCTTGTAAACTATAAACAATACACATTATTCATTTAGCAGTATTTATTGAATGTCTATAATGTACCAGACACTGTACACCGGTGTACCACACACCGAATTTGATTGATTTTTATTCAGAAATGGACTTTTCCCTGGGGAAAGTCATTGCAACTCAGTAATTGTAAATTCCATGTCATAAATGCCATGAATAAAGTACTCTTTGTAGCACAGACAGGCGTTCAATTTTGACTTAGAGGAAGCCATTATGAGGAGCTAGGTCTTAAGGACAAGTAGGAGTTTTCTAGACGAAATGGGGCAAGTACTGAAACAGGAAACAGAGAGGCCCAAAGGCCTCAAAGGGACTGGTAGGTCTATGGAAGAATAAGTTTGGTGTTTATGAAGACTATACTTCTTTTGGGAGAGTAGCAGGAAATAAACGAGAAAGGCAGAAGATGTCATTCCAGTTTAAAGAAGTTGATTCCATTTTAAGTCAATACTTCAGTATGGCATAAAAGGCAGTCAAATAGAGAATAGGAACATTAGAGGTTTTGTGGCAGGGAAGTGACATGATCAGATTTAGCTTTTTAAAATGTAATTCTGACAATCAAGACAATGAATTTATCGGTTCTTATGTTAGGGAGACCAGTTAGAAATCTTTTGAAACACAGTGGAAACATTTGAGGGCTTATACTGGCATAGAATAATAAAAACAGCAATTAAGTATATAGAGCTTTACATAGGTTAGCTAAGCTTTTATTCATTCCATTTTTCTTTATATTATTTCATTTAAAACCTGTGATGTGATTTCATAACCAACCTGTGATGTTGCTAGTATGTACCTATTTACCAATGAGGAATCAAAGGC
This sequence comes from Homo sapiens, assembly GCF_000001405.40. Taxonomy (NCBI): domain Eukaryota; kingdom Metazoa; phylum Chordata; class Mammalia; order Primates; family Hominidae; genus Homo; species Homo sapiens. The sequence goes on along the minus strand of NC_000001.11, from coordinate 64,739,585 downwards.
AGAGAAGGTTAGGAGCCTTGTTCAAAGTCACACAGCAGGCAGGGGCCCCAGGGTTCCAATGCAAATCCATCTGCTTTTGGAGCCCGGGTATGTAACCTTGTGTAACTGTAGCCAGAGAAAGAGCTGGATCTGTGAGACTTTTCTGAGAAAAATACATGGAGCAAAGAAGCAGCAGAATATAGTGGCGAGAGAGCAGGATCTAGAGTCAAACTACCTGAATTCAATTTTGTGTTAACTGGAACAACCATTAGGTTGATGCACAGGTGATTGTGGTTTTTGCCATTACTTTAAATGGCAAAAACCACAATTACTTGTGCACCAACCTAATATTTAAAGCATGAAAGACTATTTTAAATATGCTGAGCCTTAGACTCTTTCTCTCTAAAACAGAGATGATAACAAAACCTGTAAGGCTATCATTAAAGGATGTTTTGAAGATTAGATGAGATTCTATCTATCTATCTATCTATCTATCTATCTATCTATCTTTGAGACAGAGTCTCACTTTGTTACCCAGGCTGGAGTGCAGTAGCACTATCACAGCTCACTGCATCCTTGACCTCCTGGGTCAAGCGATCCTCCCGCTTTAGCTCCCTAAGTAGCTGGGACTACAAGCATGTGCTGATTTTTTGTAGAGTTAGGGTTTTGCCATGTTGCCCAGGCTGCCTCAAGCTCCTGAGCTCAAGCCATCTGCCTGTCTTAGCCTCCCAAAGTGCTAGGATTACAGGTGTGAGCCACTGCTCCCAGCCAAGATGAGGTACTATCTATAAAGGGATAGCAGAGCGCTTAGCTCAAGGGCTAGACAAAAGACAGTCATGTCGAAATATTAATAATTATAATAAATAAGTATTTTTAAAAATCTTAGGCCAGGCCCAGTGGCTCACGCCTGTAATCCCAACACTTTGGAATGCCGAGGTGGGAGGATGTCTTGAGGATAGGCGTTTGAGACCAGCCTAGGTAACAAAGGGAGACTCTATCTCTACAAAAATTAAAAAAAAATAAAACTCTTCGTGACCTATTGGATGTCAGCAAAGAAAATGATATATTATGCTTTCTTATATAAGAGATTGCATGGGTGGTGATGCTGCAACTGAAAGAGGTAGCAATTTAGAAAGTCATATTACCAAAGTCGATTTAGGCATCCGAGCTTCAAATATTACAGGGCATATAGATTAAAAAGACCCAAAAGATTAGTGTGGTGGCCCATACGTATAGTCACAGCTACTCAGGAGGCTGAGGCAGAAGGATTGCTTGAACCTGGGAGGTCGAGGCTGCAGTGAGCCATGATCACACCACGGTGCTCCAGCCTGGGTGATAGAGTGAGACCCTGTCTCAAAAAAAAAAAAAAAAAAAAAAAAAGCTAGACCCGGAAGACACTTTAGAAACTGTAGGAGAACATGGTAGTTAAAAAATGAGGCTGGATGAGATCATCCAAGCTAAGTCTGTAGATTGATAGAGAAGTCCAAGAAATAGGACTATAGGGACCAACTTAGAGGCCAGAGAGGAAAGGAAGTAGAAAGTATTTGGCACTTTCGTTAAGATTCTGCTTGTACTGTTTATGTGCCCAGCCCACAAAATGACAGCCAGGTAAAAATGAAAGAGATTTCAGGCAAAACTAGTTGGATTACATTAGGTATTGTTCCCTGTATTCCTGTCTCCTCGTACCTTATTGGTGTTCAGCTCCTAATCCTTGGCCCCAGCTTCCCATGATAGCTTCTGGCACATCACCTCCTTGGTTTCTGTGTCTTCACAGTATTGACCTTGAATGTCTTTGACTTCCTTCTTGGATCAGAAGCAGAACCAACTTACCATTCACTGCTTTCTGCTACTTACCTTGCAATCCGTGTCATACCCACTATTTAAAAAACCCAAAATCAAAGGGGAAAAAAGGAAATGAACAAAGAAAGAGTGGCTTCAGAGAAGCCAAGGAACAAAAAGTTTCAAGGAGAGTGGTTAATACATCCATGCAGCAGAGAGGACAAATAGAATGAGGACTATAAAGGAGATACAATCATGCATCTCTTCACGAAGGAGATATGTTCTGAGAAATGCATCATCAGGCAATTTCATTGCTGTGGAAACATCACAGAATGTACATACACAAACCTAGGGTATATGGTATACCCTAGGTATATATGGTAACCTACTCCACACCTAGGGTATATGGCATAGACTATTGCTCCTAGGCTACAAACTTGTACAACATGTTACCATACTGAATACTGTAAGCTATTATAACACAATGGTAAGTATTTGTGTATCTAAACATATTTAAACAAGGAGAAAATACAGCAAATATATGATATAAAGGATAAGAAAATGGCATACCTGTATAGGGCACTCGCCATGCATAGAGCTTGCAAGACTGGAAGCTCTGGGTGAGTGAGTGATGGGAGGTGAGTGAATGTGAAGGCCTAGGACATGACTGTACACTGTAGGCTTTATAACTACTGTATACTTAGGCTACACTAATTTTTTTAATTTTCTTTCTTTGATAATAGACTTAGCTTACTATAACTATTTTACTTTATAAACTTTAAAATTGTTTAACCTTTTTACTCTCTTGTAACACACTTAGCTTAAAACAACACATGGTACAGCTATACAAAAAATATTTCTTTATATCCTTATTCTGTAAGCTTTTTTCTATTTAAAATTTATTTATTTATTCTACTTTTTAAGTGTTTTTAAAAACACAAACACACACAACAGCCTAGGCCTCCTCAGGAGCAGAATTATCAATACCGCTGTCTTCTGCCCACACATCTTGTCCCACTGGAAGATCTTCAGGGCAATAACAGGCGTGGAGCTGTCATCTCCTATGACAGCAATGCCTTCTTCTGGAATACCTCCCGAAGGACCTGCCTGGGGCTCTTCTTGAGGAGTATGTTTATTTACAACAGCATCACCACAAACACATGTGTAATGCATTGTATTATGACTGTAGGACAGCTGGGACATCACTAGGTGGTAGGAATTTTTCAGCTCCATTATAATCTTATGGGACCACCTTCCTACATGTGGTTCATTGTTGACTGAAACGTCATTAAGCAGTGCATGACTATAACTGGATTTGGCCATTAGGAAGCTTCTGGTGCCTTTGAATGAGAGCAACTTCAATAAACAAGCGTGTTTATTGAAGGGGAGAGAATAGGGAGAGTGACCTATTAAAAAAAAGTTCAATAAACTTTAAACATTCTAATTTTCTCCAGAAGCAGAAGGAATCATCCTCTGATAGTGGGGAGATTTTAGCAGGACATTAAAATTTGTTGTCTTCATAGGTGATTTACATATATTTAATTCTCACAAGCACTGTTTGGAGTGGGTATTATTATCCCTGCATTATAAACAAGTCTCCTGACATAATGAAGTTAAGAAAACTGCCTAAAGTCATACAGCCAGTATGAAGCAAATTTAGAACTCAAACCCAGGTCTGTTCCCACATTCTCTGCTTTTCTTACTGCTTTCAGATTTAGAGCCACCAAGGGGAATGTGAAAGTATAGATGTGATGATAGTAGTAGTAGTATAAATATTATTATTTATATATAAGTATATAGTAATAGTAACGATGATGAGGAAGATGAATTGATGGTGGTGCTGATGATAACAGAGGAATTAAATTTCTGCTATTCAAAATTTAACTGCAGTCATGGCCTCATATCTAACTTTATGCCATAAAACACAGTGCCTGTGAGTACTTACAACTAAATGATGTTACTTAATACAAATGACTTTTCTTAGTTTAAATTTAGCCACAGAGTGTCACTCATAGACTTTTCACTTGTCATAATCTAAACATACCTTAAAAATATTTTAAGCCCTTACTCTGATACAGATTTACATTTATTTTTATTTGTACAGTTATGGAAGGTATTATAAAAATTATAAATATGCAAACCACGAACATTTCCCTTGAACCTTGAATTGTATGAAATGACACAAAAAGAATTGTTCTCTTGGACATTAAAGTTTAGTTTCTTTTGGCACTTGCTTTCTGAATTGTGGCAGTCTAAGAGAGTAGTGTACTTTCTATCAGAAATGTAATTTATAAAACTGGCAGAATGGAAGCTATAAAATTATAGAAAAAACCATGGAGCAGGCAGCATGAATGTTTGAAAGGTAATAAAGTACAACCCAGCTATCCAGCAGGGAAATAAGTCTTTTTAAATTATAAAAATTTTGTATAGGATGGAGGGACTTACCATTTAAGCATGTGACATTAAAAACCATTTTGTTGAAACTCTTTTAAAATAACACATATTAAGGTGTACATATTTACCTCCTGAAATAGATGATATTCAACTTGAATTGCCCTTTCGTGATGATTCCAGTAATACAGTGATTGCCCTCTGGGTATACTGAGGATTATAGTGTGATTTTTTCGTATATTAAATGGCTCCATAAAGCTATACCCTCTTTATTCTTGTGTCTGCTTTTTATAGATTTTTTTTGTCTCCTTCCTTATCAATGCACATTTCTCATGGCTGTCCATGTACTCACATGAACTCCTTCATGCTTGTTGTAACATTAAACCAGTCCATACACCCATACACTAAACCCACCCACTACAGCCATGCACATGTAAATAAAGGTAGAATTTGCGCATGCCTTTGCTTATTACCTACAATGGGAGCCCCTTTGCAGGCTCCCATCCCATTTTCCAGCTGGCTTCCTGGCCTTGGCTTAATTTACTGCTCCTGCCGCTTAGACTTGATTGTGTAGGTGTACCCTTCAGATCTCCCTTCTAGAGAACACGCCGTCTGAGTGTAGTTGGCCAGCAGCCTCCAGCTAGTGGCTGTACCTACAGATCTGCAGCATTCATACTCAGGCCTCTCTCCCTTCTAGAGAACACGCCGTCTGAGTGTAGTTGGCCAGCAGCCTCCAGCTAGTGGCTGTACCTACAGATCTGCAGCATTCATACTCAGGCCTCTCTCCCCTCTCCCCAACACTGCTCCCAGGCAATACCTGAGTACAGTGGAGTACTATTGCTGGGCCATTTCTGCCTGACAGAAGCTTCTTCTAATGGACGGCCTTTGCAAGAGGCCTTCCCAATCACCTGGTCAAGACTTCTCAGAGCTGCACTGCAGCCTGGAGCTCTTCCTACCCCATTTTTTCTCCTTCCCTCTTTTCTTTCACAAGTGTCACACCTGCCTTGTGGTTTGAAATCTCTCCCCACCTACTCCTGCTCCTCTCCTCTTTATCTTTCACAGACGTTTTCACCAAAATTGTTTTCACATATTATTTTGGCTTGGTGTCTGCTACTCAGAGGCTATCAGTTGACACACTTGGCAAAAAACGGCCTGAGAAAGCAGGCAGTAAAATTAGAGTTGGGGACTGCTCACTCATGTCTGGCTGGCAAGGAGGATCTGATCCCGAGTGGAATGTGAGAAATGAATACTGCTTGGGAATGCATCCTGGTGGAGGGGAGCAGATTTGCTAATGTAAATATTTAGGCACTTGGGAGATATGAGGAGAATGATGTCTACAAGAATGGTGCTATTGGCTGATTATCTCAAGTTCTATGGATTCCTGCAGAGGGATGAGAAACTGAGAAATAATGAAACAGTAAAAGGCAAAGTATGAGAGACAGAGAGGTTGTTTAACTTGGAGCACTTTCTTGGGTCAAGGAGTTTAACATCATTGCAAGGAAAACCCCATCTCTACCCCCAAGATGGGGCAAACTCACTGTATAGTAGCTCTCCAGAAGCCTAGAGGCAGTGATGGCCTATTTTGAGTGAACTGGAAATACTGGAGTTGCCATGGCAAATGGTAGAGGAAGAAAAATATAAAGGTTGCTGGAAGTGGATTCATAATGCAAGGCCAGAAAACCACAGCATTCCACACTATGTTCCGCAGCACAGCTCAGATAACACATTATTCCCCAAGGCCATCAGGAATGCATTGGTGAGAGGGACACCAGCATCAGTAAGAAGTTTAGTGGTGGCTCTCCTTATGGGCCAGAGCCGAAGCTGTCACAGAGTTGGGTTCAGTAATAGCAATAGGGACAATAGTACCCCAAGAAGGTAGAGGCCAGGTAACAATGCTTAACTGCCAGAAGTCAGAGGGCTGCCATGATTGTAACTGCCAGCAATATTGGAATAGCTGTCAAGGGGCATGACCCACAAGAAGTTGTGGAAATGACTTACAGAATCTGGTGTCTCCAGGGGAAAGATAGAAGGGCAGCCAAAGAGATTGGCATTTAACATCTATCATCAGAAACAGGCAAGAACAGAGAAGGCAGCAGGACAAAGGTGGTCGTGCCAATAAAAATTCATAATTCACCCTTCAGTTCCTGCATCTGAGATGATTTTCAGACCCAGAATGCAGTGATTGAGAGGTGGCTGTTTCTAAGGAAGCACTGTGCAACACCATGAGTATAAACTATAGTGATTTCCCCAGTCTTGCCCCAAAGGGACCTGCACCCATTTACTTATGTGACTATGCATTGAAGAAAGAAGAATAAACACATGTAGAGGGCTTTGGACACACTGTCTGAGCTGACATTGATGCCTGAAGACTTAAAGTATCTCAGGGGCCCCTGTTAGATTTGGGGTTTATCATGTAGATCCTTAGCTAGTGGGGTAAGAACCATCATACCATGGAAGGCCAAGAGGAAGCCTTTGAAACAACCACTTTCCTGAGCAAAGATAGTGAATCAAAAATAATGTTGCATCCCAGAAATGATGACAGACATTAATACCACTGTGATGGATAACTTTATGTGTCAACTCGGCTGGGCCACAGTGCACAGATATTTGGTCAAATATTATTCCAGATATCTTTGTGAGAGTGTTTTTAGGTGAGATTTATATTTAAATCAGTGGACTTTAAGTAAAACACATTGCCATCCATAATGTGAGTGGGCTTCATCCAATCAGTTGAGGGCCCTAATAGAACAAAAAACTGACCTTTTCAGAGCAAGAGCAAATTCTGACAATAGACTTTGTTCAGACTTCATCTGCAACATTTTCTCTTCCTAGCTTGCCAGCAGACTGCCTTCAGACTTGAACTGGGACTCTTTCCTGGATCACTAGCCTGCCAGCCTCTCTCATCAGATTTTGGATTAATCAAGCTTCCACAATCATATGGGCCAATTTGTTAAAAAAAAAAAAACTCTCTCTCTTTCTCTCTCCACAGACACACACACACACACACACACACACACACACACACACACACACACACACCCTTTATTGGTTTTGTTGCTCTGGAGAGCCCTGACTAATCCAACCACCATTAAAGATTTAAAGCATGCATAGGGGTGGTCCCAATCATACCTCCATTGACTTCATTGAAGTCTCCAATCTGACATCTATAGAAACCACATGGATTCTAGAGAATGACTATAGATTTCCACATGCTCAACCAAGTAGTAGCTCCAGTCATCGTTGCTGTGTGAGACATGATGTTGATGGTAAATCTATCAGGCCTCAGCTCTAGAGTATGCTGCCATTGATTTGGTGATTGTATTCTTATCTATTCCAATCAGAAAAGAGGATCCGAAACAGTTCACATTGGCATGAACTGGACAAGATTAATTTACAGTTTTGTCCTCTGGGCTATATTCATGCTGCCCTCTGTCATCATCTAGTTTAAAGAGTCTGTAGCATCACATTGATCCAATACATCAGTGATATAATGCTGATCAGTGATATAATGCAGGACTAGCAAGAGGTGGCTTATATGCTGGAGGCCTTGAGAAGGTACATGAGATCTAGAAGGCAGGAGATAAGACCTCTATAGAACCCGGGACCTGCCACTTCAGTAAAGTTTTTAAGAATTCAGTGACCAGGGCCAGGCCCAAGACTTCTCCTCCAAGGTAAAAGACAACTTGCTGCATCTTATGTCTCCTACTAAGAATAAGGAAGCACAACACCTGTTGGACTTCTCGGAGTTCTGGAGGCAACCCTGTCCACACTTAATATTGGAACTAATACAGTTTCAGCCTGTGAACTGGGTGATATGGAAGGCAGCCAGCTTTGGGTAGAAATTGGAGCCAAAAGGAGCTCTGAGGGCTCAGGCTGCAGTTCAAGCAGTCTTACCACTGGAAGATGAGACATGAGGAAGTCTGCCACAGAAGCATGTGGATAGACATAGGGAGTGAACATAAAATGAGAAGATTATTTTGTGTTACATGTTAATGCCCCTAGAAAGTACTCATTTTGGAAAAGGCACTGAAAAACCAAATAGTCAAAATGACTCGGCCAGTTGACATTAGCTAGCCATCAGCAATGGCCATTCTAGATTTGGAACAATGGGCACATTAATGGAATGGCTGTAGTAGCAAAGATGGGCCCTATCAATGAATCCCTCCTTACTTAGGCCAGTCTAACTACTTCTGCCTCAGGATATGCAGTCTATCAGCAACAGAAACCAACACTGAGACCTGATATCACACTATTCCTCAAGAAGACCAATAGCTATTTGGTGCTATTGAGCTCTTCTGTCCTAGAAAGGCCAGTGGTTCAGGCTCAGAGTGATAAACACTATATCTGGGTTTGCCTTTGCTGCCTGAAGAGCTGCAGCCAGCATTAATTATCCAATGATGTATAGAATACATGATTCGCAGGCACAGAATTCCACATAACATGCCATTTGACCAGGGAAATCGCTTTAAAGTGAAGAAGGTGCAAGAGTGAGCCCTTGACCATGGAATCCACTGATCCTTCACCATCTCAACGTAGCCAGCCGCATCAAGTGTTGGAAGAGTTCACTGAAGCACAGCTGAAGAACCAACTCAGGCAATAATCTGAAGGATAGTGCTATGGTTTGGATGTGGTTCATCCCCATCAAAACCCATGTTGAAATTGGATCCCTAATGTGGCAGTATTGGGAGGTGGGGCCTTGTAGAAGGTGTTTGGGTCATAGGGGCAGATAGCTTACGAATAGATTAATGCCCTCCCTTGAGGGTGAGTGAGTTCTTGCTCTTGAGGGAATGGATTAGTTCCTGAGAGTGGGTTGTTAAAGGAGTCTGGCTTCCTCGGTTTCTGTCTCCTGCTTCCTGTCTTACCATGTGATCTCTTTGAACATGCCCACTCCCCTTCCATTTTCTGCCATGAGTTGCAGCAGTCTGAGGCCCTCACCAGATGCAGCTGCCCAATCTTCAACCTCCCAGCACCAGAATGATGAGTCAAATAAACCTCTTTTCTTTAAAAATTACCCAGCCTCAAGTATTCTGTTATAGCAACACAAAACAGACTAAGACAGGTGGGGTGACATTATTCAGGGTACAGTATTTGCATTAAACCAGAGACTTCCATCTGGCACTGAGTCTCCAAACGAAAGAATACATGAGTATAGGAACCTGAGAGTAGAAGCAGTTGTGACCCACTTATCATCACTCTCAATGACCTACTGGAGAACTTTTTGCTTCCTGTCCCCACAACTCTGAGCTCAGAGGGGTGAGGTTCTCATCCCCAAAGAAGCACACTCTTGCCAGAGGGATGGAACAGGTCCCACTTAACCACAACAATGGCTGCTTCCAGAGCATTTTGGACTCCTTGTGTCCAGAGACAAGCAGGAAAGAAGAGAAGTAACAATCTTAGCCAGGGCAATAGACTCAGGAAAGCAGGAGGAAGTAGGGCTGCATTTCCATAATACAATCTGCTTGGGCACCTCTTGGTGCTGCATTGCCTAATTATAATTATGAATAGACACGTGAATGGACATATTAGCCTGACAAGGTGTGATGACCAAGGAATCAGATCCCTCAGGCATGGAACTTTGGGTCATACCACCAGGTAAGCCACCAGGAAAGGCAGAGGTGATTGAGAGTGAGAGGGATTTAGAAAGGACAGTGGAGGAGGGAGAAAATGAATACCAGTTACAGTTCTGAGATCAGCTGCAGCTTCTAGGGGTGTTGTTTTTGCTGCCAGCCTCCCTCTTGGAAGTTTCCTCTCAGGAAGAGAGGCTCAAAGGAACCATGGAGGATTTCTCTATAAACATGTGTGGGAACATGTATGTGTGTGACACAAGGTTAAGCCATAGCAGCCGTGTGGTGTGCCACTCTGATGTCCCTTCCAAAGAACCTGCTGTGAAGAACACAGCTAGCTGACGACATCTAGCTGCTGCATGTTCTGACCTGGCACAGCATTCATGCTAAAGCCATACTGTCCCCAGGGTGCTCCTAGCTAATGACAGAGCACAGTGAGGACACTAGCACTGGGTCATTGCTCCACAGTGCATGACTGCTGTAATGAACATTCCATGCTGGGGCACACTTGCCATTGGCCTGGCTGCACTGCAGTCTAGGGCTCTTTCTACAAGATCCTCCTTCCTTTCTTCTCTCCTTGTACAAGAGTCAGACTTGTATTTTGTGACACCCCCCCTACTCTTGCTCCCTCTCCCCTTTATTCTTCACAGGCATTTCCCCCAATAAATCACCTACCCATCTCATTCTTTCTTGGTGCCTTGCTTCTTGGAGGATTTGAACTGAGACAAATTGTCTTTTGATATTTAGAATCTGCTACAAACTTTGATATATGTATTAGTTCTTTTGTGCTGCTATGACAAAATACCAGAGCCTGGGTAATTTATAAAAGACAGAAATTTATTGCTCACAGCTCTGGAGGCTGAGAAGCCCAAGATCAAGGTGCTGGCAAATTCAGTGTCTGGTGAGGCCTGCTCTCTGCTTCTAAGATGGCGCCTTCTTGCTGTGTCCTCACATGGCAGAAGGTGGAAGGGCAACAAAGGTCTAGCTAGTTCCCTCAAGCCCTTTTATGAGGGCACTAATCCCTTTCATGAGGGCACAGCCCTCATAACTTAACCACCTCCTAAAAGCTCACCTCTTAATACTATTGCATTGGGTCTTAGATTCCAACATTTGAATTTGGTGGGAACACAAACATTCAAAACATAGCAATATGTGTTCATTCTTGTTTTATTCTTCTGCCATCTTAGATAAATCCACTTCAGTTTTACCCCTTCAGTTTAGCCCCTTGAGTGCTCCACCCCTGGCACATTTCCAGGCTGTTTTTGTGAATCTACACTTGAATCTGGCATTCAGGCGTACTTTTAAAGACCATATCCAATTAGGTCAGTCCTGACAACAGTCTTATAGTTGATTAGTAATAGATTACAGTCCTTGGACAATTATTGCTTTTGAAACTGAGCTAACAGGTGCTTCATATCATCAATGCATAAATTATCTGGTCTCATTTAGCAGACAGTTTTTAAAAACATATTAAACTTCTTTTCACAGATTCTACATTCACACATTCCCTCTGAGCCAACTGAGGTGTGGGTTTTCAAGTTAATTTTCCCCACACCTTTCCAAATATATTGCTGGATCTAAATTCCTAGGATTCTCCAGTTAAAGCATGAATTTATTGTAGAATCATTAACATTTGAGCTGCCCACTCAAAAGGAGTGTTCCTACAATTGCCTCTGTTTTCAGCTAATTTTATATTTCTCCATTTTGCTGTATCCCAGTTCTCTTGCCAGCTCTTCCATTTCTTTTTTGGTTGTAATATTCCATTACTCCTTCTGCTTTTGCACTCAATTGTCCATTTACGGGCAGCATTTTGCTTTTATTCACCCAGTAAGAGAAACCCAACCTTTGAAGCTGCACTGTTCCAGAATAGTTTTCACATGAGTACAGATCTTTTTCTTAATATACTTTTCAGCTGGTGAAATTTTTTCTAACACAGAAAAAGATTCCAAGATAGGGCATAACAAAGAAAACCTCAGTAAACTGGGTTAGTGCTAATTCCATATATACAGTTGAAAGTTTCCCAGGTGCCCATGATTATAGAACCTATCTCTGGTGCAACTGCACATTGATGCAATTATATTTTACCTACAAAGTGTTCATTCACAAAGCTCACCCAGGTTTCCACTAAATTGATTCTAACATAGTATATGCATATCTATAACTGCCTCAAAATAACCATCTTGGAGAATCATATGCCTGAAGGAGTTTCAGTTCCACTGTATTCTCCTGTTTTCAGGCAGAATTGTACATACACAAACAAGGTGGAACAAAAGGTTCCCCAGAAAAATTAGTCAATAAGCTCACTCTAGAGTTTAACGATGGGTAGAGACAGAAATTTCTTCTTTGATTATAAAAATGTCTCTGTTGTAGCTCAAATCCATTTTTATTATGTCTGATATAGAAATTTAAAATTCTTTTTTTTTTTTTGAGACTGATTGTCACTCTGTTGCCCAGGCTGGAGTACAGTGGTGGAATCCCGGCTCACTGCAACCTCCACCTCCCGGGTTCAAGTGATTCTCCTGTTTCAGCCTCCCAAGTAGCTAGGATTACAGGCACGTGCCACCACACCTAGCTAATTTTTGTACTTTTTTAGTAGAGACGGGGTTTCACCATGATGGCCGGGTTGGTCTTGAACTCCTGACCTCAAGTAATCCACCTGCCTTGGTCTCCCAAAGTGCTGGGATTACAGGTGTGAGCCACTGTGCCTGACTAAAATTCTTATTATGTGTATTTTTACACAATGGGCAAACATATTCCCCAAGTTGTAACTATTTATTTCATATACAATTTTGTGTAAATTACCATTTTTCCATTTGTATCAAAAGACAACTCATTCATTCATTTATTCAATACCTATTTATTAACCTCAAGCCATCCTTTTAACAATTTTATACAAAATTTATACAAAAACTATACAGCTTCTATCTTTTGAAAATTACAATGAACTCATAGCTTCTTTTTTCTTTTTTTTTTTTTTTTTGAGATGGAGTCTCGCTCTGTCGCCCAGGCTGGAGTGCAGTGGTGCAATCTCTGCTCACTGCAAGCTCCGCCTCCTGGCTTCACGCCATTCTCCTGCCTCAGCCTCCCAAGTAGCTGGGACTACAGGCGCCCGCCTGGCTAATTTTTTGTATTTTAAGTAGAGATGGGGTTTCACCGTGTTAGCCAGGATGATCTCGATCTCCTGACCTCGTGATCTGCCCACCTCAGCCTCCCAAAGTGCTGGGATTACAGGCGTGAGCCGCCGCGCCCGGCGTCATAGCTTCTTTAACAAACTGAATATTGTTCGAGCCTAGGAGTTTAAGACCAGTCTGGGCAACATAGCAAGATCCTGTCTCTACAAAAAACAAAAACAGATTGAATATCTTCCAATTATTGTGATCATTTTTAATGCCAAATTTGTTACCTTTTGCCCAGTGACTATTCTCTCTAGGCTGTACTGTCTTATTTTTAACACTTAATTAGGCATTTCCAAAAACATCTTTAGTGTTTGACAGCAATGAGATGTATCAGGCACTTCTTGCTTTGTCCTCTCCTAAGATCTGGTACTATATACCTTACAAGGAGCCCTAGTTCTTTAGTGAATAATTTTTTAAAAGAAGAACTATGGGACTAGGAATTCAGTTTGTATTTTTCCTCATGACTATTGGAAGTAATTTGAACTGACATCTATAGGGTAAGTCAAAGTTAGCCAGGTGAAGTATAGGAGCAAGGGTGTTTTAGGCAGAGAGGAGATGTAATAAGGCAGGAACATAAATAAGCAGTAAAATAATGTATATTAACTAATACAGAAACAGATTTAAAGGGACTAGGGAAGCACAACAAAGCAACATCATACCTAGTCTGGAAACTGAGGAGTGTTGGTCAGAAAAGGCTCTCTAAACAAAGTGACTATTGGCTTAGGTAGTAGCCATTTCTGATACTCACCAATACCCAGTTCTCTTTCCCTTCCTGAGCATATGGAAAGCTACACTTCCTGGCTCCTTTGTAATTAATCTAGGCTATGTAGCTAGCTAACAAAATGTTAGCAGAAGTGATGTGTGTCACTCCCTGGCTGAGGCAGTGAAAGACCCTCTGTGGTTCTCTAATCCCTCACTCTTCCCATGACAAAGTGGCCAGCAACATTCCAGTTAACAGACATCTGTCATGTAAGCCCTTAAATGACTAGAGAAAGCAGAACACTTCCTTATCAGCCTTGGTATGAATAGGAAATAATCTTTTATGTGCTGAGCTGCTGAAATTTGTAGATTGTTGATTGTCATAGCAAACCTAATCTATTATGACTGATGCAACCTCCTATCTTCCTTACACCTTGGGTAAGCTTAACCCCTCTTGGGTTGGCATGGTAGGAGAGCAGCCAGGCATCAAGATATCAATTTGCAACTGAAGCTAATGACAAAAGCCACCAGGAAAGTAAGATTTTTCTGTCTCCTAATCCAAGGTTCCTTCCAGGAAGTGATGTTGCCAGGCAAAACAGACTTAAATATATCTGATCTGGGCCAGGTGTGGTGGCTTGTGCCTGTAATGTCAACACTTTGGGAGGTGGGAGGATCTCTTGAGGCCAGGAGTTCAAGACCAGCCTGGGCAACATAGCAAGACCCTGTCTCTGCACAAAGAAAAAATTAGCCAGGTGTGGTGGCACACACCTTTAGTTTCAGCTGCTCAGGAGGTTGAGGAGAGAGACTCACTTGAGCCCAAGAGTTTGAGGCTGCAATGAGTTGTGATTGCACCACTAGACTCCAGCCTGGGTGACAGAATGAGGCCCTGTCTCTAAACAAAATGAAACACAAACAAACAAACAAACAAAAACCAAAAACCCCTCCATCTAGTGTGTTTACACTAGTTACGATCAAATCTGTGGGAGCTATAACAGGTCTTCAATCCCTAGAAATTTCTGGAGATCATTCCATCCCTTATGATAGTTGACTTCACTTGCATGTGGCTCTTCTCCCTGTGCCATCATTCCCATGCGGGGAAGGGGATGTGAGCCTGTAACCGAGACAGCTGGGAATGTTGCTGGCGCAGTGGAGTCTTAGGAAGACCCCTGGCTCTATGTTGTCAAATTCCCAAATGCTTAGTTTATCTCAATTATGTGGTTGTAAAATGTAAACACTTCATATCTATTTATCTTGTTTAAGTCTTTATTAGTCAAAACGCATTCTTCTAAACACACTAACTTAATACCAGTATTTCTGTTAATATAACACAGACACATATATCATACCCAGAAAAGTTCCAAGTATAATTAACTACATAATTACAGATTTTAAAATCCTTTGTTGACCCATGCTATGGGTCATTTTGTTCGTTTAATAGTTGCCTTCTGCTCATTTTGCTGAACACAGGGTCTGAAAATAAATAAATAAATAAATATGAGGACCAGGACTCTGTTTTGTGCTCTGCACCTACCCCCAAAGCTTAACACAGGTCCTGACACACAGTAGGTATGAAATACATATTTGTTGAATGAATGGCTCATTTTATAGGGATCACTGGTAGTTGCAATGAAAAGTATACATTAGAATTCAGTGGGACTAGAAGCAGAGTCCAGATGGAGAGCACTGCAGTTCTTCAAATGAGAGATGAAGATGACTCAGGCCAATGTAGTCACAGTGGGGATGTGGAGAAATGAACAGATTTGAGACATACTTAGAAGGGAGGGTAGTTAGGACTTGGTGATTGAATATTAGGAGCCATGCAGGGGCAAAAAGTGAACATTTCCACCTTGGGTAATGAAAAGAGAAAGGGAACCCTGAGGGGGAACGGGTTTAGGAGACCACAGGTAGATGATAATGAGTCCAGTTGGTGTGAATTCCTATGAGCTATCCAAGTATCAGTGCCCAGTAGGCAATTATGTATATCAGCTCTATAACTCAGGCAGGACAGTGGCCTGTGCCTGAAAAACAGGTTTGGGGAAAGGCATAGCCACAGAAATTTGCAGTCATGTAAATATATGAAAGCAGCCCGTGAGATGAGAGCCTAGAATAAAACTCTGAGGACTACCTACATTTAAGGTTCTGTTTTTCTCAAAGGAATTAGAGCTTGTTTATTGAATTTGTTGCATTTGGTAAGGTATACTTAGAAAATAGCTTTCTTTTTCTTCCATCATTGCATTAAAACCATTATACCTGGGGAAAATATCTTGAGCGCAATCCATTAATTTTTGTCAATGTATTGGTATGCAAATAGTCCCATTTTCATATACTAAAACATTCAGACCAATCTAAATTAAAACTTTTATCTCACATCCAGTCCAAACTTTCTTCCTTCCTCTAGCTTGAGCCCGATCCAGGCTCCCAGTCATGGAGTGGAAAGGGTTATGTTCTATTCTTTCACTTTTTTGGTCCGTATTTTCCCCCATTCCTCTCTTGCTCTTGGTTCCCTCCAGGTTAAGATAGGAAGGTATGATAAGAGAAAACATGGAAAAAACATTTCTTTTGCAGTTGGCTGTCAGATGTCCTCTGCCATGACCAATGATAAAATGACTTTCCTCTCGTGGGGGACCTTGTGAGCTCTCTAAGGATGCTTGTTACTGATCTTCCCCCAAAACTTTTGGGGACCTCTACTCTTCCTTGACTTAAAAAATTCATTATCTAACTGGCTTCTTACCATTCCCCACAATTTCCACCTTTTAATTTTTCTTGCTGGAGTCACTAGCTCCTACATGGTCCACTTCTTGGGTAGGATCCTTGCAAGATCATGCTGCCTTCCTTTATTAATCAGGATGGGCTAGGTTATGCCACTTGCTCCTAAATTTCAGTAGATACTCACTCTCATTCATGCTAGCTGTACATTTCAGGTTAGCAGCAAGGTTCTGCTTATTGTAGTCGTTCAGGGACCTAGGATGATAGAGAATGCCTCTTGACTAATGCTGTGATAACCATAGCAGGTGGAAAAAACCACAGTGAATCCTACGCTGGATCTTCAAGCTCCTACCCTGAAGTGATACTTCTTTTTCTGCCCACATTTCATGAGCCAAAGCTGGTCACATATGCAAGGCTAACTTGAAAGAGTTACCCTCTGGTCACATGTTGATGGACAATCCACAGGCTCAGATAGACAGAAGTATTAGAATATTTTTAAACAGCTCTGATGACTATCATATCTCCACATGGTCCAGGTGACCTCAAGGGAAAATTCCAAACCCTGGGAACATAGGCTGCTCCCATCGTCTCTCCCCATCTTCCTGCTCGCTCCACTGACAGAGCCTTTTCAGCCAGCTTCTGTCTTTATCATTGACTCCTAAACTCTTTGAAGGCCATGCCAGGCTCTCCAAAATTTTATGTTTGGCTCTAATAAGAGCCTGAAGGTGGGCTAAGGAGTTTTTGCATTTCAGCAATCATCTAACTAAAAGTAAGAGGCCAGTGTTTATTTGTGGAAAACACCAACCCTAAGCTTCTCTGAGTCTTCACTTTTGCCTCTCTCATTTGGCTTCGAGTGGAGTAGCACACCCCTTACCTCCTCTATTTGAACAGAAATAAGCCACAGCACTCCATACTTGGCCAGCAGCTCTCTTTCAAGAAATCTTCCAGTGAATCCCTAAGTGAGCAAAGGGGCACAGGACAAGATCTGTCCACTCTTTATGCTTCTCTTTTTAATGTGGGGGTCCATGTCATTTGTTTGCAGCTTAAATTTGAGACATCAGGGTGAGTCTCATTTAGCATTTTATTATATCTCCAAATGGACTGAGGATGAACTACCAGAGGTAGGAAGAAAATCAGGAGGACATAGATTCTTGGGAGCCAAGGAAAGAGTTTCTAAAAGAAAGAAGGATTCCAACAGTTTGAAATCTGTTGAGAGGCCAAGAAAAATAAGAACAGAAAAGTGTCCACTGGATCCCAGGGAAAATGTGATGGCCTTGCCAAGGATGGTTTTAGTAGAATGGTGGGGAATGAATTATGTAACTGTGGGCTGAGGAGTGAGAGGGAGGTAAGGGGGTCCGGACAGTCATCATTGCAAGCACATGTCAAGCAGTGTGGCTGTGATGGGAAGGGAGAGATAAGGTGGGGCTCAAGGGGAACATGGGAGTGGGAGGAAGGTTTGGTTTTTCTTTTTTTTTTTACAGTGAAAGACTTGATCATGTGTTAGTACTAACAAAAAAGGAGCTAGTTGAGAATGAGAGTTTAAATGGATGATGCAATGGTTTTCAGTCAGTAATTTTTCCATCTCCAAAAGAAAACTAACTCACATAACTGATGTTACAATTCACTGCAGAGCTGCTGGTAGGCTGTGGGATGCCAGTATAGGTGTACAGGGGTGGGGAAGGGGGATGAGAAGAAGAAGAGCGGGAATACTTTCTCAGTGTGAAGAATAATGATGCTTGGACAGCTGTGGTTTTTCATTCAACAGAGTAGATATGTTCATAGGGTTCTAAAATTTTATAAGCATTTTTGCATTCTCAAGTGAATACTACTGTCGTCTTGGTGGTGAACAAGAGGCTTAACTTGTTCTCCTGGTGCTATTTATACAGCTAATTAAACTGAATGTCATGTATTTCATTGCTTATAATAGGAAAAACCCTAAAGGTACCAGTTAGTATTTACAAGGAACTAATCTGCTAAGTGCTTTTTGTCTCCCAACTCCCACTCAAGTACTTTACTAACCGTTACTCCCCTCTGGATATGTAAACCTTTTGATTTCTACACACTTTAAAGTATTTAATTTTGGGTGATTTTTAAAAAACCAACTTCCTGTGGTATGTGTAAAAAAGATGTGTTTCCACACCTCCATTCAAACTTGTTTCCAAGTTTAGGTCCATGGATTGTTAAATTTGATCTGGAAATGTTCTTAGACATAATTTCAAAGCATGTCATTATTTCTTTCTTTCCCTGACATGCCTCCTCACTGAACATCCCCTGCCAACCATCTAGTACTGTGTCTAGAAACAGTAAAAATTCATTCAGTATCAGATGAAAGAACAAACGAAAAGATGGATGAAAGAATGTATGAAAGATAAGGAATATTGAATGCACGAAAAGTAATATAGAATGTCTGTCTCCATTCCAACCTCCCTGTACAATGCCTTACTGAACAATCAAGTCTGGAAAGCTCAAGCCTCCGTGTTTCAGACTTCCTTACATCTCATTTTCCATATGTAGCCTCACTTCTACCACAGAGGTATATTACACAAAAACTGGAAGATGAAAATGGCTCTTGTAAAATGAGAGCATATGTCTGCCAATTTTCCCCAGAGGTCATTTATCTTTCTGTAGCAGTGGTAGCCAAGGTTCCAGTATCTGGTCCTTACCCCTGTGGGTATTTGGAGGTTGATAATGTGGCTCGGAACCCTAAGAAAGAGAGTGTTTCAGAAATAACGAGGCTGAGGCTGTGTGGTGGTAGAATCAGTTGTCACGGCTGTAGCTTCCCAGTCTTAGAAGAGGCAGCAGCATCCTTGATGGGTCAGTTCTGCAGTATTGTTCTGAGAGTTGTTTGTGGAAGTTCAACCTAGATGTCCCTCCTCCAGTCCTTCTAGGGCTTGGGTAAGCAAAGAAGTC
Organism: Homo sapiens; assembly: GCF_000001405.40. NCBI lineage: Eukaryota > Metazoa > Chordata > Mammalia > Primates > Hominidae > Homo > Homo sapiens. Next base: position 64,720,381 of record NC_000001.11, on the reverse strand, counting down.
ATTAGTGCTGTTTATCAAATATATTTCTGGTTTTCTGTTTTCTAGGCACATGGTAGGATTGCTCCATCTGCCGCTTTGGAATTGATTTTGGCTATCTGATTTGCTTGAGCCAATGAAATGAGAACAAAAGTGTGCTTTCTGGATGCAAGCTTCAAGAAACAGTGCACAATTCATCCCTCTCTTTCTACCATGGGTAACAGCAATTTACCAGAAAGTGGTTGCTCCTTTAACTTGGAATGAGGATGCTACAAAATGGAATCCCCAATAAACCCACAATGTTCACATAGTATAATGTGAGAAATAAACCTTTATTTCTTTTATAGAATGAGATTTGGAGGCTGTTGGTTGCCACAGTATAGCCCAGGCCATCCTGTTAATCCAGTAAGTCATTCCTTTCTTCTTAAACTATCTGGAGTGAATATTGTTGTCTGCAATTGAGCCCTGAGTGATTATTTTCAAGAATGTGATACTGACATACAGTTGAAAAACTAAACATGGTTAAATTTATAGGATCATACCCATCTTCTGCTTTTTAAATTTTCCCCATCATGCATGGAGCCTAGCAGCAGGGCTACTATATTGCACACCTCCAGGGGACACTGTTCACATTGCAATGGTGCCCTGAGAATGCTACACTGTGAATGGCATTCTTGGATTTTGGCAATGCCATGGCCCAACCAAGTAGAGAGCTAGAGGCATAGCATGAAAATTATTTTATTTGGCTTGTCTCATAACAAGGAAGTTAGAAAGTAAACAGAAACAGTAACTATAACATAAAGTTTTACTAAATTATTAACTAAGTTAGTATGGTTATAATGAAAATGAGACCCCGAGATGGAGGGCTGATTATTTGGAACCACAGAGATTTTTATTAAAATGATCACTACAAAAAAAAAAAAAAAAAAGCTCAATGCAATTCTAATGTTTTCTTCTGAGGTTTTAAACCTCAAATCCATTTTGTAACAGAAGACAGATAATATACTTGTTGAGATTAGGTCCAGCAGAAATGTGGCAGAAAAGTCCTAAACAACAGTGACTTATACAAACGAGACTTATATAAGACAAATTTATTTCTTTGTTACACAAAGTTCAGTAAAAGACAGCCCAGAATAGGGCAGCTTCTTTTTTTTTTTGAGGCAGAGTCTCACTCTGCCACACAGCCTGGTGTGATCACGGCTCACTATAGCCTTGAACTTCCCAGGCTCAAGTGATCCTCCCACTATAGTCTCCTGAGTAGCTGGCACCACAGGCACAGAACACCATGCCCTGCTAACTTTCTTTTCTTTTCTAGACATGGGGTTTTGTTATGTTGCCCAGGCTGGTCTCCAACCCCTGGGCTCAAGAGATCTACCCACTTTGGCCTCCCAAAGTGTTGGGATTACAGGCATGAGCCACCACGGCCAGGCAGGGCAACTTCTTAAAGTTGTCAGGAACCCAGGCTCTACCACCCTGAACATGTGCCTTATTTGTTATAGTCCAAAATAGCTGCTTAAGTCAAGCCACTACATCTACATTCCAGGAAACAAGAAAGAGTAAGAGGGTAGAAGAGCATGTTTCTTCTCTTTAGGGATTCACACTATACTTCTGATTACATCTTATTGGCCAGAATGTAGTCACATGATCATACTCTTAGTTGTGAGGATGGGAAATGAAATCTTTACTTTGGATAGCCCTGTGTTTAACTAAGAATTGAGGTTTATATTACTAAGTAAGAAAGAAAGAATAAATGGAGTGGGGGGATATTTAGCAATCTGTATCACAAATGGTTAGTGCAGTGGGTTGAATAGTGTCTCCTCAAAATTTATGTCCACCCCAAACCTCAGATTGTGACCTTGTTTGGAAATAGGGTCTTTGCAGATGTAATTGGTTAAAGATCTTGAGATGAAATCATCCCTGATTTCGAATGGCCCTAAATCCAAAAATTGATGTCCTTGTAAGAAGCGGAGAGGATACAAAGAGACACAGAGAAGAAGGTCATGTGAAGATAGAGGCAGAAATTGGAGTTGTGCTGTGATATGGTTTGGCTGTGTCCCACCCAAATCTCATCTTGACTTGTAGCTCCTACAATTCCCACGTGTTGTGGGAGGAGCCCAGTGGGAGGTAATTATTTCATGGATGCGGGGGGGGTCTCTCCTGTGCTGTTCTGGTGAATAAATCTCACAAGGTCCGATGGTTTTATAAAGGGGAGTTTCCCTGCACAAGTTCTCTCTCTTTGCTGGCTGCCATGTAATACATTCCTTTGCTCCTCCTTCATCTTGTGCCATGATTGTGAGGCCTCCCCAGCTATGTGGGACTGTGAGTCAATTAAATCTCTTTCCTTTATAAATTACACAGTCTGGGGTATATTTTTATCAGTAGCATGAAAACAGACTAATGCATGTTGCCACAAGCCAAAGACCATCAGGAGCTACCAGAAGCTAGAAAAGGCAGTAAGCCACCAAGAGCTACCAGAAGTTAGAAAAGGCAGTGATTATTTGCTAGAGCCTTCAGAAGAAGCATGGCTTAGACAACACCTCCATTTCAGACTTCTGGCCGGCAAAACTGTGAGAGAATACCTTTCTATGATTTCAAGTCACCAAGTTTGTGGCCATTTGTCACAATGTTACTGCTGATGATAATTTCTTCTTTTTCTTTTTCTGATGTAAGTTCTCAGCTCTGTCACCCAGATTGGAGTGCAATGGCATGATCAGAGATTGGAGTGCAATGGGATGACCATAGCTCACAGCAGCCTCAACCTCCCAGGCTCAAGCAATCTTCCCACCTCAGCCTTCCAAGTAGCTGTGACCATAGGCATGTGCCAGCACACCCAGCTAATTTTTTAAAAAAATTTTGTAGAGAAAAGGTCTTGCTATGTTGCCAGGGCTGTTCTTCTATTCTCATCATAGAACCATGATTTTCAGCTCCACACAGAAGAATATAAAGACATAATGTAGACAGTTTACATATATTTAGCACATTATTTGTAGCAAGAATCTAACACATTTTGTCACTTAATCCTTACAATGATCTTATGTGGTTGGTATTATACCCATTTAACAGATGAAGAAACAGGATGAAAGAGGTTAAGTATTACAAGTAGTCAAGGGCAAGAGTCAATGCCTATACCCAGCTCTGACTCTCAAGTCCAAACTCTCTCCCATGGGGTGATTGTGGTGGGAAATAACTGACTCACTCACCTACCTAACAGATCGCTTTGTGCAAAGGGGATGAAGATTTCTATTGACAATGTGTTCACTTCAAGGCATGACTTTCCCATGTCAAAGCAATGCACTTCAAACAAACAACAAACCTTTATGTGCTGGGCATTGAGGGGGATATAACGATATGTAAGACAATCTATCTCAAATTGCTTATGATCTTAGCAGTGGCTAGGGACTAAGAATCTATGATAGGACTATATGAATGTCTTTGAACTCTGGCTCTTATACATGAATACATATCAAAATCAGCTTGGTATACCTTTAGAAATCCAGATTCCTAGGCCCCGCTGTAGCCAATTGAATCAGAATATTTGAGAATGTTTCCCAGTACTCTGCATTTTAAAAAAGCTCTTTAGGTAATTCTTAGCTAGCTAATTCAGCCTCAGTTTAAATACTTTCCTTGTATAAATACCTTCAATATTAGTGATAATTAAAAACACTAGTTATATATGATACTAATGTTATAATTTTTCTTAATAGTAATTATATACTACTTATACCTGAAGAGCTCAGATATAGGATAACTATTTCGACAATTCCTATGTGCACTTATAGTGCCCTTCTGCAGAGTGAATAGCACTTCTTATTCCTCTGATAAATATGACAATAGTCTGGGCGTGGTGGCTCACACCTGTAGTCCCAACACCTTGGGAAGCTGAGATGGGGGGATCATCCGAGGCCAGGAGTTCAAGATGAGCCTGGCCAAAATGGTGAAACCCCATCTCTAATAAAAATACACACACACGCACACACACAAATTAGACAGGTGTGGTGACGTGCACCTGTAATCCCAGCTACTTGGGAGGCTGAGGCAGGAGAATCGCTTGAACCTAGGAGGCAGAGGTTGCAGTGAGCTGAGATTGTGCCACTACACTCCAGCCTGGGCAACAGAGCGAGACTCCGTCTCAAAAAAAGTAAATAAATAAATAAAAATAAATAAATAAAAAAGACAATAGATTGCAAAGAGGCTTTGTAATCCTACTTGCAGGCTAGGCATGGCGGCTCATGCCAATAATCTCAGCACTTTGGGAGGCCAAGGCAGGAGGATTGCTTGAGCCCCAGTTTGAGACTAGCGTGGGCAACATAGTGAGACCCCCATCTCTACAAAAAAATAAAAAATTAGCTGGGTGTGCTGGCATATGCCTGAATCCCAGTTACTTGGGAGGCTAGGGGAAGAGGATTCCTTGAGCCAGGGAGGTTAAGCCTGCAGTGAACCATGATTGTGCCACTGCACGATCGCATGTCTTTTTTTTTTTTTTGAGATGGAGTCTCGCTCTGTTGCCCAGGCTGGAGTGTAGTGGCACAATCTCAGCTCACTGCAACCTCTGCCTGGGCAATGGAGCAAGACCTCGTCTCAAAAAAAATAAAATAAATAAGAAAAAGTGTACTTGCATGCTCTCAAAACAATCAAGCAATAACTAGCTCTGTGATATCTAGATATTTCACATGTGCCAAGTATTGAGGTACCGGAGTTTTTCACTTTGAACATGCCCTTGTTGAATTCAGAATTTAAGAAGTCACAGAGAAAGGTAGACACATCAACTGCTGTCTTAGTTAGATTCACCACAACCAAAGAAGTTTGGATCACAATGTTATAATTAGACCCAAGGTTCTTGCTGATTATAGTGATACCTATTCACAACGAATCCATTGCATCTTAGCTATCACTTGAAGCATGTGTGACTTCCTCAACCCCCAGGAACTTAGGTTATTTTTCTCTAAAATCCTTTCCTTTTAGCAGTGAATGAAATGCTCTAAGGATGCACTCTATTTAATAGGCACGACAGCTGCCAAACAGACCTTCTGGCAAACTTATTTAAATTTTTAATCATCATGGAAGATGAACACAGAAGGAAAGAACTATATAAAATCTCCCACTAGTGTAGCAATAAAAATATCCAAACAGCACTGGAAAGACCAATTTAACCTATTTCCATTTTTTAGAAATAAGTTCTGCTGAGCACATTACACCACTTATTTCTCATAGCCAAAAAAATACTTCCAAGGTATATATATTCAATTAGTTACCCTATAATATATATTCAATTTAGTATTATTATTAATATCAGGATTGGGCTTCCCTTAAAAATGTATTTTCCCATTAATGCAAAAATGATCAAAGCAAGGATTTTATTTGGGAAAGTAATTTATTGAAGGAAATACATTAATATTCTCCAGGTGAATGCTGGGGAAAATAGTTTTTTTCTTTCTTACCAATGAGAAAAAGCAAAGAAATGTTAAAATATTGGAACAAATCTTTACTAACTTGATCTTTTAAAATTCCATGAATAGAAAATATTCTCAACAATCATTCAAGTCATCGGGGATGATGCCAAGAGGAGGCCATTTGCACCTTCAGCAAATACTGGTCATGATATCTAGCATCTAGAGTCACATCGAGCTTTACTCCCTGAATGCCTGTGCTTCTAAGGGGTATAGAGCGTAGAGGGGAAGAACACAGACTGCTTCCAGACTGTCTGGGTTGATATGCCAACTCTGCCTCTCCGAGGCTGTGTGGCGCTGGACATAAACCTTAACCTTTCTGTGTCTCAGCTTCCTCCCCTATGATGAGGCAAATGATAACACTCATCTCAGAGGGTTACTGTGAGAATTAAATGATATACGTACATGTGATGCTGTTAGAACGGTGTCTGGCACAGAGTGAGCACTCGATCAACTTAAGCTGTTATCATCTCTTTCCTAGTTTACCGGAAGAACCAGGATCAATACTGGATTGATGGGCCGCTAAGAGGCCCATAGAAAATGCACCCTACGGTCACGCCTGTAATCCCAGCACTTTGGGAGGCCGAGGTGGGCGGATCACCTGAGGTCAGGAGTTCGAGACCACCCTAACCAATATGCTGATACCCTGTCTCTATTAAAAATACAAAAGTTAGCTGGGCATGGTGGCAGGCACCTGTAGTCCCAGCTAATCTGGAGGCTGAGGCAGGAGAATCACTTGAACCCGGGAGGTGGAGGTTGCAGTGAGCCGAGATTGCGCCACTGCACACCAGCCTGGGTGACAGAGTGAGACTCTGTCTCAAAAAAGAAAAGAAAATGCACCCTGTGGTAATGGGGTAATTCGACAGCAATATTTACTATAAGCTGGTACTGTTCTAGGTACCTGGAATACAACAGTGAACAAAAATAAAAATACAAATCTCTGCCCTCATGGAGCTTACATTCTAGCATGGGCAAGTGGAAAATAAATAATAAACATAAGTAAGTGAGTTAAATAGTATGTTAGAAGATGATAAGTGGTTGGCTTTAAAAAGAGCAGGATATACAGATAATTATGAGGTCAGGTAGAGGGGACAGGTTGCACCGAGGTGACATTTGAGCAATGACATGAAAGAGATAGAGGAGTTGACATTGCAGGGTAGAGGAAAAGTGTTCTGCAGAGGTATCAGCTCTCTTCTCCATTTGCAGTCACTCTCAACCCATCTCATGACTTTAAATATCTATATGATGACAACTCCTTAATTTATATTATCAACATGAACCTCTCTCTTGTCTCCAGACATCTATATTTGTCTCTTCATAACAGTCATTTTCATCTTTGTTGATGGAAACTTCCTCCTTCCACTTGTTTAACAAAAACCTTGTCATTATTCCTGACTCTTTCATATTTTGCATCCAATGTGTCATGAAATTCTGTTGACTCAACCTTCAAAATTATCTAAACTCTGCTCACTTCTTGCCTTCTTCACTGCTACCATTCCAGTTTGAGAGCCCATCACCTGTTGCCTGGATTAGTTCAGTAGTTGTCCCAAAGGGGTGCTTTCTTCCACCCTTGTACTCTATTTTATATTCTCAACACAGGATCCAAAATTATCCTTTAAAAACCTCACTAAGATTGGGTCATTTCTCTTCTCAAAACCCTCCAGTGGGTCTCCATCTCATTCAGAGTGAAAGCCAAAGTGCTTAAAATGAACCAAAAGTCCCAGCACAAATTTCCCTTCCCCCAAAACCGGTCTTACCTTCCCAACCTTGTCACTTTTCTAATCTGGTCAGCCCTCTCCACCTCCTTCACCTTGTTTGAGCCACAGTGTTCTAGCTCAGCCACACACGATCCCATCTTAGGGCCTTTCATTAGCTGCATCTTCTGCCTGGAAGGCTCTTCCCTCAGATACCCAAATGGCCTTCATCTCCTTCAAGTCTTTAATCAAGTGCCACCTTCTCCATGAAGCCCACGCTGACCACTTTGTTCCTGCAAATCTTTTTCCTTAGCCCTCATTGTATTTTTGTATTTATATACTTTATGGTTTTTTGTTCCACCTGTCTTCTGTCTTCCCCCACTAGAATATAAGCTCCACAAGGACTGGGATCTTTGTTTTGTTCACTATTGCATCCAAGTACCTAGTTTAGTCCCTGGCACATAGCATGCTCAATAAGTATATGTTGAATGAATGAGCGCCACTCTTTCTTATGCATGACATTTCCCTAAGAACCTTTTTTGCAGTTTTGTATTAAAAACCTTTTTAGTAGTATATTTACTAATATTTCTCTCATCAGTGTTTATCTTGATAACTTTTTGTCCATTTTGATTATTCTGTGATAACTTATGAGTTAGGTACTGCTTTAACATGTATTCATAGTTTTGTTTTTATTCAGCTATGGTGAGGCCAACAGATCAGGAGATGACTGCTGTTGCAAAGATAGTTTGTTATTCACGGTTCCCAAGAGGAGGGAGCACGCCACAATATGCTGGGCCACATGGGAAAGTGCCAGGGTGGTCAGGATGCAGGAGTGAGGGGAAAACATGGGCACCGGCCTTTGTTGTGTTTTTTGAAGGGAAATAGGCAAGGCAGGGTACGTAGATTTAGGATTGGCCAGTTTGAATATTTTGGCAGGCTCTGGGCTGCAGAGAGTGGTCCTTTGTTGTGCTGTACCTGACCCTGATGTAATTTAGGACAGAGGGATAGGTGAACTCAGGATTGGTTGGGTTGCATATCAAAGGCATGCTCACAGGTAGGTTGTTTGCAGTCTCTGAGGATTAGTTAACTTTGGGAGGGGCAGTACTTCACTAGATCCCTTAAGCTTGAGTTACAGTTTAAAACTGTTTAAAACTGTAACTCAGGAAACTGTTTCATTCAGGTCTTCTGATATGCTCTCCCCTGGCTTGGAACAGCTTTCCTTTCCTTTTTCATATGATCATATTCATCCTTCTGATCCTAACCTGAAGGACATTTATCAGGGAGGCCATGTGAGAGCAGAGGTTGCCCTTTTTGTTCATCGTTATATTTCCAGTACTCAGCACCGCACTGGGCATGTGGCGAAGGCTTAATGAATATCTTCATGATTCTAAAGAGAAATTTAACACAAATGTCAACTTGCAGCTTATAAAGACTGTGAATGAAAATTACAAGTCTATTTCCCAAAGAGTTAAAGCTGTGCACTTGAAATATTTGGATAGCTGTGATTCACACTGTTTCTGTTTTCTTGCTATTGGTCCTATCAACTTCTCCCTTCAGAGTTATATGATTGTATAAGTCATAGGTGTGATAGAAGAGTTTTAAATTAGCCATGGAACCCATCAATTAACAGCCTGACATGGCAATTTGAAGGTAGTCCATTATGCAATGTCCAGAAGCCTTTTAAAACTCTTAATTAAATTTAGTAGGTCAGACAACTTCTTAAAGACTTCACACTGTTACAACATTCAGGCATGCTGTTAATGCAAGTGGTTTCTCAACTTTAAAACATATGTTCCCATTTCCAAAGTGAGATTTTGGAGTTGTTGGAAACTTGAGAAATTTGACCTGGTTTCATCATTTTAAAAACACTCAAAACGTTTACAAGTCACCCTATTTATGTACCATTCATATTTTATCCCATTGACTCAATTGATTTGCTCTGCACTTTTCTATCTCTAACTCACCATAATGTTTAACATAGAGAGTGGTCTGGCAGCAAGGTGCACATTACGGCTGTTCTTGAAGGCCTGAGCAAAGGAATAGTAAATTATAGAAAGTATCATTTGAGGCTGGGCGCGGTGGCTCACGCCTGTAATCCCAGCACTTTGGGAGGCCAAGGCGGGCGGATCACAAGGTCAGGAGATCGAGACCATCTTGGCTAACACGGTGAAACCCCGTCTCTACTAAAAATACAAAAAATTAGCCGGGCGCGGTGGCGGGCGCCTGTAGTCCCAGCTACTCGGGAGGCTGAGGCAGGAGAATGGCGTGAACCTGGGAGGCGGAGCTTGCAGTGAGCCGAGATTGCGCCACTGCAATCCGGCCTGGGCTAAAGAGCGGGACTCCGTCTCAAAAAAAAAAAAAAAGAAAGTACCATTTGATTACCTTTCTACATCAATTTGCATTATTTTTCTTTAATGAGAAACTTTCTGGGTTTTCCAAATGAAGGCTTTTTGCTCCTAAGCAATTAGGGAGAGGTTTTCAGCTACACCTAACCTTTAATTACAAGTGAATTTGAGCATCAACAATATTACGTGGAGTAGAACCATAGATAACATTTCCCAGGCCACCTACATTGAGTGCTTTTCCTATAAGAGGGAGCAGAGAGGGACTCAGATATGTCCTTTTCATTAACTCTGATGAACTCTTACTAATTATTAAATAGGAATGTAGGGCAAGGGGAGTAAAGGCATAGCAATACATCATTCATTCTTCCAGACTGTCAGTCAGCAAGCTTGTAACAGGCATCAGCCACATGCTTGAAACTGGGCTAGGCGATGGAAACTTGAGTTGAGAAATGCAGTCCTTGTCCTCATGGGTTAGTATCATTGGAAGCTCTCTTAGTGAGTGTGGCTTTTCTCCTTATGCTCCCAAAGATATTGTATTAATAGACTTCTTGGTTTTGAGAAAAAAAAAGCTAAATTGATTCAGATTAAGTGAGAAAAGGAAAAATCTTATAAGGCATGTGGATATCTCATGGAATCATGGAATATAAGGTAGGTGCTTCACGGCCTCAGGAAGGATAAAAAGTGGAGTCACATCTGTCATGAAAATCTGGCAGCTGCTATCTCTCTGCTGTGTTTCTCTCTATACATTGGCAACATTCTTTTTTTTTTTTTAATTCCTGAAAACTAGTTTTCTCTACTACTTAGTCCATAAGACAAAAACAAAACAAAACAAAACAAAAAAAAACAACAACAAAAAGTCACCCTCCAGTTCTCAAGTTTGTATCTCTTCCATTCAAAGGAACACTTGGTTTGGTAATCATTTGAATCTCCAAATTTTCAACATATGTAATCTGATTGGCTTAGCTTTGGTCAGATGCCCACCTACGGACCAATTTGCTGTAGCCAAGGGTGTAGGGTCATTTTGTACACTCATGGATCCTGGAGTTACCTCCATGAAGCTGTGGATTTAGGGTGGGAGTTTGGGGAAACTTTCCAGAAAAATTGTCTGTCTGGCTAACCCACTATGTGTCCAAAATAACATTGTAAAATAACTTTTTTTTTCTTTACTAAAGCAATAACAATCATTGTTACAAGTTTGGAAAACAAAGACATATAGAGAAAAATTTAAATATCTGTAACATTCACAACAATCAAAAAGCCATTGTTACCATTTGCATTTTACTTTTTTACCTATGCAAATTGGTCTGTCTATATATTTTTAAATCTGGTTTTAAACATTTTTTATTCCTTTCAAAACTTACATTTTGTACATTTCCCCCATGTAATTATATACTCTTTAAAAACAATTTTAAATGATTGCAAGGTATTCAATTGCATAATAGTTTCTTTAATCAATTCTTCATGATTTTCTCATTTCTGAACTTTTACTATTGAAAATAATGAGATAATTTGATACTGTATTAGTCCATTCCCACACTGCTATAAAGAAATACCTGAGACTGGGTAATTTATAAAGAAAAGAGGTTTAATTGGCTCACAGGAAGCATAGCTGGGGAGGCCTCAGGAAACTTTCAATCATGGTGGAAGGCAAAGGGGAAGCAGGTACAACTTACATGGCTGGAGCAGGAGGAAGCAAGTAAAGGGGGAGGTACTGTACAACACACTTTCAAACAACCAGATCTTGTGAGAACTCACTCACTATTATAAGAATAGCAAGGGGGAAATCTTCCCCATGATCCAATCACTTCCCACCAGGCCCCTCCTCCAACATTGCGGATTACAATTTGACATGAGATTTGGAGGCAGGGGGGGCACAAATCCAAACCATACCAGATAGTAAATATCCTTGTAAATAAATCTTGATGTACTTCTATAAGTATTACTTTTAGTCAATAAAAGGGGTACAAAAACATAAGATATTAGGGGTATCTGTAGTTTCAGGGCATTATAGTAAAAGCTTACTTGAACAACTGTTCTTACCACCATTTGTAAGCAGCATTCCTAACATAGACAAGAGGAATGTAGAATTTTAGAGCTATAATCACCATCTACCCAACCATTTCCTCTTTTTCATTTTCTGTTTGCAACCTGTCACTGGTAGACCATTACTCATTTTTTCTGCCCCTCCCACCTTTTCCCTGAGCCCCTCAAATATACCCCTATTTGTACATTTTCATCACACCTGCATGGGGTACCATCTTTCTGGTAACATATATGACACTGTGTTATAATTCTTTATGTGAGCTTGCCGGTTCCTGGAGGGCGAGGACTGTGTATCCTTGTGCTTTACATATTCAATATCTAGCACTGTGCTTGGTACATAGTACAATATATGATTAATACATCAGTGGGTCAACAAATGAATGAATGAATAACTAACTTGATTGGTCAATTACTTAACTTCCCACTGAAGACAAACATTTTTTCTGTAGGCTTTTCTTGAATACCTCTGAAGTTCTAATCTGTGGAGAAAATGATGAATCTTATTCATGATATAGTCATTTAGGTATCCAAATAAACACCGATTGTCTATTCTGTCTATTGTCTATTTCACTCCAGGCACTTTGATAGTTGCTGGATTCACACTCTTCAATGATTCCCACACAGCACACCTAGATTGCTGGGTGTCCAGGGGCCTCAATATTGACTCAATCCTGTATTAGTCAGGATTGTCCAGAGAAACAGAACCAATAGAATATCTTTATTTATTATAAGGAATTGGCTCACATGATAATGGAGGCTGACAAGTCCCCAAATCTGCAGGGTGATTTGACAAGCTGGAGACCCAGAAGAGCCAATGGTTTCGTTTCAGTCCAAGTTCAAAGACCTGAGAACTAAGCCGATGGTATAGCTCCAGTCCAGAGGCCAGAAAGCTCAAGACCCAGAAAGAGCCTATGCTTCAGTTTGAGTCTAAAGGCAGGAAAAATCTCAGTATCACAGTTCGAAGGCTGTCAGGCAGGAAGAATTTTCTGCTACTCAGAAGAGGACCAGGCTTTTTGTTCTAGTCAGTCTTTTAACGGATTGGCTGAGGCCCACTCACTTTATGGAAGGCTGTCTGCTTTACTCAGCCTCCCCGTTTCAATGTTAATCTCATCCAAAGCACCCTGACAGAAATACCCAGAATCATGGTTGACTAAATATCTGGGTATCCTGTGGCCCAGTTGACACACAAAATTAACGACTACACCTTCCAAACATGTTCTCTCCCCCACACGATGTTTAATATTATTGATATTCAGATGAAAATCTTTCCTTTTTCTTTAAAAAATTGACACCATCGATGGCAATAATAAGCTAAAATTAGCTGCCTTTGTTTATTAACCTCTGCAGGTTGTTAGACATTAATTCACTTATTCAAACTACTCTCTTGTGCTTAAGAATCAAGAAGCCTGTATTTGAGTTCCAGCCCTTGCCATCATCTAGCTTTGTGGCCTTGAGTAAAACCTTCAAGTATGTCAATTTCCTTATTTGTACGAATGCGGTGGGGAGATAATCTTCAAGTTCCTTCTAGCTCTAACATTCAGTCATGAAATTATCATTTCACAAATCAGAGGAATTAAAAAGAACCCACATATTGGGATGATGAAAAAGTTTTGGAAATAGTGATGGTGGTCGCACAACATTTTGGATGCACTTAATGCCACTGAATTGCACACTTAAAAATGGTTAAAGTAGGAAATTTTATGTTGTATATATTTTATGGTAATAAAAACATTTTAAAAAGTACCTACACAGGCCGGGTGCGGTGACTCACACCTGTAATCCCAGCACTTTGGGAGGCCGAGGTGAGTGGATCACTTGAGGCCAAGAATTTGAGACCAGCCTGGTGAGCATGGCAAAATCCCATCTCTACTAAAAATACAAAAAATTAGCTGGGCATCATGGCGTGAACCTGTAATCCCAGCTACCTGGGAGGCTGAGGCAGGAGAATTGCTTGAATCCAGGAGGCGAAGGTTCCAGTGAGCCAAGATTGCGCCACTGCACTCCAGCCTGGGCAACAGAGCACAACTTTGTCTCAAAAAAAAAAAAAGAAAAACAAAAGAAAAACAAGAAACAAAACAAAAAAAAGTACCCACATAGATTCAAACATTGTCCTCCAACATTGAGGATCAGCTATTTAATCCATTAATGAATGAGGCTTATGGGACAGTGAGAAATGGAGAAAATAGCCCACAGTGTAGCTTACGTGGATGGCTCTAGTTCAAAGGTACTCTGGCCCCAGTGGCCTCCCTCATACCCTTCTTATCTGGATGCTATTTCACTGTCTGCCCCAGCCTCCCCGAAGGCAGGGACTGCTTGAGTATCCAGGCTGTCCATGCCATCCATCCCTAACCCCAAAAAGGAAACTAGCAATTTCTAACTACCCTATCAATCTGGATCAAGTTGTGAAAGTATTCTATTTTCTCTCTTTGCTTTTCTTCCAGCTGAGAAAGGCTAGAGTCCTTAAAAACTGAAGTTAACTAAGAAGTGTTTGCAAAAAGCAAAAATAGTCTGAATTTAATTTTTCTTCATATTATTACTGCTGTGACTGTTGGTCTAAGTAATATTTATTGATTGCTTTTTAATGCCAGGTAATGTTGTTAATTTATGGATCCATTTAATCCTCATAACACCCTTCAAGTATTTTATATTTTAAACGTTATGATGAACTTGGTTGGAAGTTGTTATACTTTGTCAGGAATTCTAGTCATCAGCCTAGGAGGAAAAGTATCTATCTACCCTGTCCCTCTCCTCACCACTAGCATAGACACTGTCTGCTGAAATTCCACATTTGCATCCCAGTTTCTACAAGATATGAAAAGAGGATGCAATGAAAAGGCCATTGCCCTTTGGAGGCCAATAAAGAACTACAGCTGTAAGGCTGCCTCTTTTTCTCTTACATGTACATGCCCATTTGCTTTGTTTCTTTGCCCTTTCCAACTTTTCCATAATTAAAAGGCTGAATGGTATCCCTTTCCTATTAATCTATTCTGCTCCCCATCTCTGTAAACTGATTCCTGACATATGCTGATCAGTTAGCACAGTAAGTGACTCACAATTCCTCTCCTGTGTCCCCTTGGTGTGGCTGGCCATTCAGTACTCACAACTCATTCTTCAAAAATAAAACCCCTGCCAACTGCTCACGTTTAACAAATTTAACATATTCCTTCCCTCAAACCATGTTCCTGTGTGTGGCTATAGCTGCCTGGTCATCCTTATGTGGAGTCTTGGGTAACTGGTAATCAACAATAGGATGGCAGAGATGGGAATTCCAGGATGACCATGTTTGGTGAAGAACTGATAGTCTAATTTTCGGTAAAATGGATTTTTAAAACATTGTATCAAGATAGACACAACACTAGACACTCAATTTTGTTAATTTTATTTTTTGAAGTTAAATGTACATCCATCAAAATGCACCAATCACAACTATACAATTTTAACAAATGGATTCACTCAGATGATACATCTTTTTATGACCTCAGAGCCCCTCACCAGTCAGCCCCAGACCCTCAGAAGAAACCGCAGC